>NC_000011.10:3393333-3696363 GCF_000001405.40 Homo sapiens | reverse complement strand
CGCCAGGCTAATTTTTGTATTTTTAGTAGAGACAAAGTTTCATCATGTTGGCGAGGTTGGTCTCGAACTCCTGACCCCAAGTGATTTGCCCGCCTTGGCTTCCCAGAGCACTGGGATTACAGGTGTGAGCCACCGTGCCCAGTGTTTTCCTCCATTTTTCCTTTTTATGTTTAAGATAGAGTCTCGCTCTTGTTGCCCAGGCTGGAGTGCAATGGTGCGATCTTGGCTCACTGCAACCTCCAACTCATGGGTTCAAGTGATTTTCCTGCCTTAGCCTTCCAAGTAGCTGGAATTACAGGTGTGCACCAGCACGCCCGGTGATTTTTGTATTTTTAGTAGGGACGGGGTTTCACCATGTTGGTCAGGCTGGTCTCGAACTCGTGACTTCAAGTAATCCACCTCCCTTGGCCTGCCAGAGTGCTGGGATTACAGGCATTAGCCACCATGCCGGGCTGTTTTCCTCCATTTTGTAGCTGAGGTGTCTTGCCTAGTATCACAGAAGTAGTGGTAGATCTGTTGTTGATGTCTATATGCTATTCAGTCTATAGGTAATTTAGGTTAAACTACTTTGCAAATTTTCTATCCAAGCAGAAAATGGTAAGTTTTTGATCAATATTTTGGCACTACTGCAGAAAGCAGTTAACAATGTTAAATCCTCCCTTCTGAAGGCTGGAAGAAATGAAGATAATGCCCCCAAGTGTTTGACGAAGTCCATAAACCCTTAGTAATAACCAAAAAACTTCCATTTCTCTTATAGGGGATCATCGTCTTGCTCTTCTTTTATCTCAGTTTGTGGGTAGCCAGTCAGTCCGGGAGCTGCTCACCATGCAGTTGGTGGACTGGCATCAGCTCCAAGCAGACTCCTTCATCCAGGATGAGAGACTGCGCATCTTTGCTCTGTTGGCTGGAAAACCGGTATCTTCTACTTTTACCATAATATCTCACATTGGTTTTTTCATAAATTGAAGCTGGTTTGAGGTTGAGGCAAGGAGTGATCTTTGTAAATTGTGCACAGTTACACAAAATGTTTTACACATTGGACAATTTTCAAATTATAAAGGCAGGCATGCACACTTTTAAAAATCTAGTTGTATAGAAATTAAAATGTTAAAATGTATCATATCCCATATCATATAGTGGTAAACAATATAAATAATTTTATCTTCACAGAAATATTCTAGTTTAGTTAATTAATTTTTTTGAGATAGGGTCTGGCTCTGTTGCCTAGGCAGGAGTACAGTGGGGTGATCTTGGCTCACTGCATCCTCCATCTCCTAAGTTCAAGTGATCCTCTCACCTGAGCCTCCCAAGTAGCTGGGACTACAGGCACACGCTACCATACACAGCTAGTTTTTAAGTCTACATCCACATATATGTTGTTCCTATTTACATGTTTGTATATACAAATGAAATAAATTATACATAGGAGTTCTGTGATTTTTTTTATTTATATTTTGTTCATTTAAAAAAGAATTTATAGCAATAGGGTCTCAGTATGTTGCCTAGGCTTGTCTTGAACTCCTGGCCTAAAGGGATCCTGTCACCTATAGGTCTCCCAAAGTGTTGAGATTACAGGCATGAGCCACTGCATCAGCCCTGCAGCATTTTTTTTTTTTTTTCTCTTGAGACAGAGTCTCGCTCTGTTGCCCAGGTTGGAGTGCAGTGGCACGATCTGGGCTTACTGCAAGCTCCGCCTCCCAAGTTCACCTCATTCTTCTGCCTCAGCCTCCTGAGTAGCTGAGACTACAGGCACCTGCCACCACGCTGGGCTAATTTTTTGTATTTTAAGTAGAGACAGGGTTTCACCATGTTAGCCAGGATGGTCTCGGTCTCCTGACCTCATGATCTGCCTGCCTCAGCCTCCTGAAGTGCTGGGATTACAAGCGTGAGCCACCGCGCCCGGCCCCCTGCAGCTTTTTTTTTTTTAAACCTACTGTATGTGAATATTTTTTCATGTCATGAAGCGTTATTTTTGTTGTTGTTGTTGTTTTTTGAGATAGAGTTTCGCTCTTATTGTCCAGGCTGGAGTGAGTGGCACAATCTTGGCTCACTGCAACCTCTGTGTCCCAGGATCAGGCG
Source organism: Homo sapiens (assembly GCF_000001405.40). Taxonomy (NCBI): domain Eukaryota; kingdom Metazoa; phylum Chordata; class Mammalia; order Primates; family Hominidae; genus Homo; species Homo sapiens. The sequence goes on along the minus strand of NC_000011.10, from coordinate 3,694,284 downwards.
ATTCTCCTGCCTCAGCCTCCCAAGTAGCTGGGATTACAGGCGCCTGCCACCACGCCTGGCTAATTTTTGTATTTTTAGTAGAGACGGGTTTCCCCATGTTGGCCAGGCCAGTCCCAAACTCCCGACCTCAGGTGATCCACCCACCTCGGCCTCCCAAAGTGCTGGTATTACAGGCATGATCCACTGCACCCGGCCTTTTTTTTTTTTTGTATTTTTAATAGAAACGGGGTTTCACCATGTTGGCCAGGCTGGTCTGGAACTCCTGACCTCAGGTAATCCGACCACCTCGGCCTCCCAAAGTGCTGGGATTACAGGTGTGAGCCACAGTGCCTGGCTGGCATTATTCTTTTTTATAGCCACTTATGTTCCATTTTATGGCTGTTGGGTTATAATTATTTTAAGCCATTTCTCTTATCACTGCCTACCTCTTATATTATTATCTTAAAGTATTTTCAGAAATAAAAATGTAGCTGGTCAGCACTTATGCTCATTTTAAAGCTTTATACATTGACAACCATAGACAGTGAGAAGATCTCTCTGCTCTCAATGGCTCTCATCTCATTTGAGTACTGATTGATTGATTAAATCCTGGGACCAGGCACAGTGTCTGATTCCTGTAATCACAATGCTTTGGGAGGCTGAGGAGGGAGGATTGCTTGACACCAGGAATTCAAGACCAGCCTGGGCCACACAGTGCAACTCTGTATCAATCGATCAATCAGTTGGTCAATAAAAACAAGTAAATAATATTCCCTCTCACTAGCTGTGAGATTTTATTATATTTGTATATTTTATATCTGAATCATTTAAAATGTTCCTTGAATAAGTGAATATTCACTTCAGTGTTATTGCACACACAGGTAATAACAAGGTAGAATATAGCCATGGTGATGATTTTGTTTCGCACAGGTGTGGCAGCTCTCAGAAAAGAAGCAAATAAACGTGTGCTCCCAGTTGGATTGGAAACGCTCCCTGGCTATCCATCTTTGGTATTTGCTTCCACCAACAGCCTCCATTTCTAGGGCGCTCAGCATGTATGAAGAAGCATTTCAGGTATATGTGGCCAATAGAGCCAAGCAAAAATCTTGCTGGGTGTTAAAGTATTGTCAAATTGAAGCGGAGCCAGGAAATCTGATGGGAAACTATCCTTTACTCCTTCCTCTGGACAAGGCTACTTCCCCAAGTGTCTGTTTTTATTTTATTAAATATCATGAGATTCCACAGTTGACTTTCTCACTGCTGTTTTCCTGCCTCTAAATCAGAGGGTTCTTCTTCATTTCTAATGCTGTCTTACTTCTTTGGGAATTCCCTGTTATACAGCCTGACCTCAGATTTGGTTTATCTTCAAACTTAGTTCTGAAATTTGCCTCTAAATATAATATTTTATATTCCTTGTCAGTTTTGAGGTTAATGTATTGTTACTTTTATGCCATCAGTTCTTGAATTATCTTACTGTTCATATTTTATACTTGTCTTTCATATTGTTCTCTCAGAATTATTTGTCAGGAGTAAGAGAACACTTGAAACTTGAGTATATTAAGAATTGTGGCAAGATAAGTATGGGGGGTTAGTGATAGCTACCTGAAATCTTTACCAGTCCATTGAAGACAGATGAAATACATCATTGACCAAAAAATGTTTAAAATCCCTGATAGATCCTTTGGGTTGTCTGTTTACTTTTTTTTTTTTTGAGATGGAGTCTCGCTGTGTAGCCCAGGCTGGAGTGCAGTAGCGCGATCTCGGCTCACTGCAACCTCTGCCTCCCGGGTAGCTGGGACTACAGGCATGTGCCACTACGCCTGGCTAATTTTTTGTATTTTTAGTAGAGACGCGGTTTCACCATGTTAGCCAGGATGGTCTCGATCTCCTGACCTCATGATCTGCCTGCCTCGGCCTCCCTAAGTGCTAGGATTACAGGCATGAGCCACCGTGCCCAGGTGTTTTTTTTTGTTTTTTTTTTTTCAATCGAGATCAGGTCTCAGTCTGTCACCCAAAACTTGAGTGGCATGCAGTGGGGCAATTATAGCTCACTGCAGCCTTGACCTCCTGGGCCCCAGCCTCCTGAGTAGCTGGGACCACAGGTGCATACCACCATGCCTGGCTAATTTAAAAAAAAAATTTTTTTTTCTTATCTTTTTATGTCAGACGGGTAATATGCCAATATCTTCACAAGGTTCGAGGGTGGCACATCTCACACGCATGCATGAACACCCAATCATCATGCTCATGAACTACAAACTATATAATTTTATTTTTTTATTTGTAGAGATGGGATCTTGCTTTGTTGCCCTGGCAGGTCTTGAACTACTTGGCTCAAGCAGTCCTCCTCCCACTTTCAAAGTGCTGGGATTATAGGCTCAAGCCACTGCACATGGCTGTCTATTCATTCTTAATACAGGTGTCTTAAGAATTTGAAACATAATGGCATCTAGGCCGGGTGCGGTCATTCACACCTCTAATCCCAGCACTTTGGGAGGCTAAGGCAGGCGTATCACCTGATGTCAGGAGTTCAAGACCAGCCTGGCCAACATGGCAAAACACTGTCACTACTAAAAATACAAAAATTAGCCGGGTGTGGTGGTGTGCAGCTGTAATCCCAGCTACTTGGGAGGCTGAGGCAGGAGAATTGTTTGAATCTGGGAAGCGGAGGTTGCAGTGAGCCGAGATTGTCCCACTGCACTCCAGCCTGGGTGACAGAGTGAGACTGCCTCTCAAAAAAAAAAAGAAGAAACATAATGGCATCTAGTAAAACTGATTAGGAGCTAATGTATTGTTTTATCAAATTATTCCTTCAGAATACCTCTGACAGTGACAGATATGCCTGCTCCCCACTTCCTTCGTATCTGGAGGGTTCTGGCTGTGTGATAGCGGAGGAGCAAAACTCACAGACACCACTTCGAGATGTCTGCTTTCACCTTCTAAAACTCTACAGTGACAGGTAAATGAGAGCCAGGCTTTATTGTCACTTGAGTGCTCCATGAGCCCCAGGGGAGTCCTTTGCTGCGTCCTTTCCCTTTTATATGTCCCCAGATTGCTGTAAGTCCATATAAACTACCAAATATAACTTAAAGTAGTTGAATGGAAAGAGCATTAGAACTAGAATTAGAAGTCTAAAAATTATTTTAATCAACTTTAATGAGTATAGTTTACATATAATAAAGTATGCAGTGTGATAAGTTTTATAGTAACTATCGCATTGTAACTACCATTACAGCTAAGCTGATATTTCCACTACCATTGAAAAATGCCTGTGTGCCCCTTTGCAATCAGTCAGATACCTATTGACTAGTTTTTTGTTACTATAAGTTAGTTTTGCTGGTCTAGAATTTTATGTGGAGATCATACTGTATGTTCCTTGTGCCTAGCTTTTTTGATTCTGCATAATAATTGTGAGATTTTTTTTCATGTTTATATGTATCAAAAGTTAGTTTTGGGTTTTTTTTAGCGGGGGTACATGGTTTATGTATCTATTCATTTGTTGATGGACAGTTAGGTTTTCTTATTTTTGGCCATTATTGATAAATCTGCTATGAACATATCCAGAAGTGATTATATCATTTTTATATTCCCACCAATAATGTGTAATATCTCTAGTTGCTCCAAATCCTCTTTAAAATTTGGTATTATTAGTTGTTTAAATTTTACCATTTTATTGGGCATGTAGTATCTTGGTTTGTGTGTGTATATGTGAATCTGTGTGTACATGTTTATTAAAAAATGCAGGCGGCCGGGTGCGGTGGCTCACGCCTGTAATCCCAGCATTTTTGGAGGCCAAGGTGTGCGGATCACGAGGTCAGGAGATCGAGACCATCCTGGCTAACACAGTGAAACCCTGTCTCTACTAAAAATACAAAAAAATTATCTGGACGTGGTGGCGGGCGCCCGTAGTCCCAGCTACTCAGGAGGCTGAGGCAGGGGAATGGCGTGAACCCGGGAGGCAGAGCTTGCAGTGAGCAGAGATCATGCCACTGCACTCCAGCCTGGGCGACACAGCAAGACTCTGTCTCAAAAATAAAAAAAAAAAATGCAGACAGCCAGGCGCGGTGGCTCACACCTGTAATCCCAGCACTTTGGGAGGCTGAGGTGGGTGGATCACTTGATGTCAGGGAGTTTGAGACCAGCCTGGCCAACATGGTGAAACCCCATCTCTACTAAAAATACGAAAATTAGCTGGGTGTTGTGGTAGGCACCTGTAATCTCAGTTACCTAGGAAACTGAGGCAGGAGAATCACTTGAACCTGGGAGTTGGAGGTTGCAGTGAGCCAAGATTGTGCCACTGCAGTCCAGCCTGGGTGATGAAACAAGACTCTTTGTCTCAAAAAAAAAAAAAAAAAAAAAAAAAAATGCAGGCCAGCCATGGTGGCTCACACCTGTAATCCCAACACTTTGGAAGGCCAAGGCCAGCAGATCACTTGAGCCCAGGAGTTCGAGGCCAGCCTGGGCAATATGGCAAAACCCTGTTTCTACTAAAAGTAAAAAAAAATTAGCCATGTGTGGTAGTGTGTAGTCCCAGCTACTCAGGAGGCTGAGGGTGGAGGATCACCTGAGCCTGGGAAGTCGAGCCTGCAGTGAGACATGATTGCATCACTGTACTCCAGCCTGGGCAATAGGAGTGAGAGAGACCCTGTCTCCAAAAAAGAAAGAAATGCAGAGTGGTTTAGGTGTCCAACAATAATATATTAACACATGCTATTATTTCTAACCATGTAATTAGAACTATCTCAGTGTTGGTGTTTTGTTTTTTGGTTTTTTTTTTGAGACAGACTCTCTTGCTCAGTTGCCCAGGCTGGAGTGCAGTGGTGCAATCTCAGCTCACTGCAAGCTCTGCCTTCCAGGTTCACGCCATTCTCCTGCCTCAGCCTCCCAAGTAGCTGGGACTAGAGGCACCCACCACCACGCCCAGCTAATTTTTTTGTATTTTTAGTAGAGACAGGGTTTCACCGTGTTAGCCAAGATGGTCTCGATCTCCTGACCTCGTGATCTGCCCACCTCAGCCTCCCAAAGTGCTGGGATTACAGGCGCGAGCCACTGCACCTAGCCTTGTTTTGTTTTTAGACAGGGTTTTGCTCTGTCACCCGGGCTGGTGTGCAGTGGAATGATCATGGCTCATTGCAGTCTCAACCACCCGGGTTCAGGCGATCCTTTCACCTCAGCCTCCTGAGTAGCTGAGCGCTGCAGGAGTGCACCACCATACTCAGCTAATTCTTGTATTTTTTGTAGACAAGATTTTGCCACATTGCCCAGGCTGTTCTCAAGCTCCTGAGCTCAAGTGATCCACTTGCGCTGGCCTCCTAAAGTACTGGGATTACAGGTGTCAGCCACTGCACGCAGCAGAGAAGTCTTCTTACATTACCTTAGAAATACTTACAGTTTTTGTTTTTTTTTTCTCTAGTCACACAAATAGCTCATCTCATTTCAAATCTTCAAGGTGATTTCTTATAAATATATATATATATATATATATGTATATTTAAATACATATATATATTTTCGAGACAGTCTCTCTCTGTCGCCCAGTCTAGAGTGCAGTGGCGTGATCTTGCCTCACTGCAACCTCTGCCTTCCAGGTTCAAGCGATTCTCCTGCCTCAGCCTCCTGAGTAGCTGGGGTTACAGGCATGCGCCACAAAGCCCAGCTAATTTTTGTATTTTTAGTAGAAATGGGGTTTTGCCACGTTGGCCAGGCTGGTCTCGAACTCCTGACCTCAAGTAATCCTCCTGCCTCGGCCTCCCAAAGTGCTGGGATTATAGGTGTGAGCCACTGTGCCTGGCCAGTATTTAACTATATTAATTATATAGAATGTAGCTTTTTATTGTAGTAAAATGTAACTAAAATTTACTGGTTTTTATTTATTTATTTTATTATTATTATTATTTTTTGAGATGGAGTCTCGCTCTGTCGCCCAGGCTGGAGTGCAGTGGCGCGAACTAGGCTCACTGCAAGCTCTGCCTCCTGGGTTCACACCATTCTCCTGCCTCAGCTTCCCGAGTAGCTGGGACTACAGGCACCCACCACCACGCCCGGCTAATTTTTAGTAGAGACGGGGTTTCACCATGGTTTCACCATGTTAGCCAGGATGGTCTGGATCTCCTGACCTCGTGATCCGCTCACCTCAGCCTCCCAGAGTGCTGGGATTACAGGCGTGAGCCACCGTGCCCGGCCAAATTTACTGTTTTAACCATTTTAAGCATACTGTTCAGTGGCATTAAGTCCATTCACATTGCTATACAATCATCACCACCCTCTCCAGAACTTTTTCATCTTCCCATACTGGAAATTCTCATTGTTTCATTTGCATTTCCCTAATGTCTAATGATGTTGAGCACTTTGTCATGTGCTTATTTACCATCTGTACATCTTTGCTAAAATGTCTATTACAGGCATGAGTCACTGCACCCAGCCTTGTTTTGTTAGCCAAGATAGTCTCGATCTCCTGACCTCGTGATCCACCCGCCTTGGCTTCCCAAAGTGCTGGGATTACAGGCGTGAGCCACCGCACCCGGCCTAAAGTCACAAAATTTATTAGCATCAAGTTATTAATAACATTTCCTTATTAACCATTTTAAATATCTGTAGGATCTTTAACAACGTCTCTTTCTTTTTGATACTGGTCATTTGTGTTCAATAATTGCGTCCTCTTTTTTTCTTGGTTGGTGTACCTAGAGTTTAGCAATCATATTGACCTTTTCAAAGAACCACCTTCTGGCCTCATTAGTTGTGTCTATTGTTTATCCAGCTCATAATGGATTACAAACCTAAATTTCAACTTAACTATAAACCTTCTAGAAGAAAACAAAGCAGAAAATTTTTGCAACTGTAGGTTAGGCAGAAGATTTCTTAGGTGGACACTAAATAACACAATTCATAAGAGAAAAAAATTGGTAAATTGGACTTCAACAAAATTTCAAAACTACTGCTCATAGAAAGACTGTTAAGAGAATGAAAAGGTAAACCATAGATTGGGAGAAAATACTTGCAATTCGTAGATCTGATAGAGAACTTGTATCCAGGAATACATCAAGAACTCTGAAAATTCAGTAATAAGAAAACAGGCCAGGTATGGTGCGTCATGCCTATAATCCCAGCAGTTTGTGACGCTGAAGTGGGACGATCACTTGAACCCAGGAGCTCAAGACCAACCTGGGCAATATAATGAGACCCCATCTCTACAAAAATAAATTTCTTAAATTGGGTGGGCATGGTGGCATGCATCTGTAGTCCCAGCTACTTAGGAGGCTGAAGTGAGAGGATCGCATGAGCCCAGGAGGTTGAGGTTACAATTGAGTCATCATTATTATTATTATTTTGAGTTGGAGTCTCACCCTGTCAGAGTGCAGTGGTATGATCTCACCTCACCACAACCTCCGCCTCCTGGGTTCCAGCAGTTCTTGTGCCACAGCCTCCTGAGTAGCCGGGAATACAGGCATGCACTACCACACCTGGCTAATTTTTGTATTTTTAGTAGAGGCAAGAGTTTCACCATCTTGGCCAGGCTGGTCTCAAACTCTCCTGACCTCAAGTGATCCGCCCACCTCAGCCTTCCAATGTGTTGGGATTACAGGCGTGAGCCACCGCGCCTTGCTCTATTTATTTTCTTGATCGTGATGGTGGTTTTACAGGTGTCTACATATGTTAAAGCTCATTAAAATTGTGTACTCTAGATACGTGCAGTTTTAAATATGTCAGAGAAAGAAAGAAAAGGATACTTCAAAATACCAGAAATGGGCAACAGAGCGAGACTCTGTCTCAAAAAAAAGAAAAAAGTAATGACATTATAATGAAGGAATGGAAGGGTGAGAACTGTGAAGACTCCCTGTATCAGGATGGTAAAATACATACGCCAAACCATTACCAGCAAACCTGTTAGATCACACAACCTTAGAAGAGAAGGTGCCTTGTTTCTTTGTAGGATCTAAAGTCTGGCTGAACCCAGAGATAGATTGATAAAACATAGGCTCAGAGGGAGAGAAGGCCTATAATGCTTTCACTCTCAGGTTCTTTTATTGTCTTAGACATAAGCAGAACAGTTGACATATCAGTCCAGGCCGTCTCCTGGCTGTGTATGTTGACTCTCAACACGTTCTTTGCAGACATTATGATCTCAACCAGCTGCTGGAGCCTCGAAGCATAACAGCAGATCCTTTGGACTACCGCCTAAGCTGGCACTTGTGGGAAGTGCTGAGGGCTCTTAACTACACCCATCTCTCAGCGCAGTGTGAAGGTGTGCTACAGGCCAGTTACGCTGGCCAGCTTGAAAGTGAGGGGCTCTGGGAGTGGGCCATCTTTGTCCTCCTGCACATTGACAACTCAGGGTGAGTGAGAAGCCGTTGAACCCACTGGGTACATCTAGCACTACAGGGCAATTCCAAAGGAATCAGTCTTTCAGGGTTCAGTTTAGCAAGTAATTGTGTAGAATGTGTGTTAGATCCAGCGTTGTGATAAACCTCAAGATAGTTAAACCCTTAGCCTAGACTGTTTCTGTATTCATGTAAACCAGTTAAAACTGAGACTTCCTTTGATTAAGTGCCAAATTATAATATTTATCACAAAGTCTCTCAGCAGTCTGAGAAAAAAAGATCTCTGTGAACTGCATTGATCAGAGAAATTCTTCATAGAGGTAAGAGTCGAAGAACCTGTAAAATTGGAATAGGAAATAATGAAGTGGAAATGAGAGAATATGCCCAGATGGGACAATAGCATTATGCCTGGGCCAAAAAACTAGTCATTTAATTTCAGATCAGAACTATTCTCCTCATAGTGGGCTCTTTTCTGAATCCCAGATTCAGGTGAATGTGGCATGTTTAGGAATTACACAGAAATAGTGCTGTCTGAGCTGCCTCAGTGACTCCACGGCAGGGAAGTAATGGGTTAGCAAAAAGGTCCCTGCTTTTTCTGTGTCCACTGGCTTGCTTTTTCTCTGGTCATCCCTTGTCACCGACCCATTCCTTAAGCTTGATAGTATTGTATTTATTAACACAGCCTTGTGCTTAGGTATATGTGTCTTGATTCTCTGTCCTTAAAGAGAACTGGAGAAATGCCTTTTCACTGCGGTTTGAACAAGATAAGGCCGGAGATTTTTGTTAATGATAGCAGTATGGTATTTCAGTAATTACACAAAATGAACATTTATGTAGTACTTGAAGTGCTTTTACACATGTTTATATTGTATACCATATATATTAACTGTTTTATGTTCATTATGACCTGTGAGATAGACACTGTTATTATCTCTGTTTTACAGGTCAGTAACCCAAGACACAGAGCTTAACTTTTGTCCAAGGTCACACAGCTAGTAAATGGCAGAGTGAGGTTTCCAACTTTCGTCCAGAGTCTGTGCTCTTATCATTATGCTGCACTGTTGTGTTGCATGGTATGGAAGGAAATAGGGTCTAAATTCTAGATCTACCACGTACTCACTTTGACCTAGGGTAAAGCTTACTTTTGACTTTGGATAAAGATACTCTCTTAACTCTCTAAGCCTAAGCCTTTTTTTTTTTTTTTTTTTTTTTTTTTTTTTTGGCCTGTGAAAGCATAACATTAGTTTCTATTTAAAGGTGATTGTGAAATTAAAAAGAGTAAAAGTATAAAGCATCTAGCATAGTCTTATTAAGACTTAAGCAATTTCTCTTTCTTTAAGCAGTTTCTCTTTCTTCTTCCCCTTTAACAGGGAATGAAATGACCCCAGGCTATTTTTTTAAGTTTATTTAAACACAGTCATAAAGGATTTCACATGGTAAAAGACTGGCTTGATAGGATGGCTAATGTTTCGGAGTTGACTATGGAGAAGCAGATCTTGTTTCCTGAAAAAGAATATAAAAAAGGAGGCAGTTGTGATGACAGTGGAAGTCATTGAAAAGCTTAGGAATTCAGAAAAGAGTCCATAATGAGAATAGTTTTGATCTGAAAGTAAATGACTTGACCTCGTGATCTGTCCGCCTCGGCCTGCCAAAGTGCTGGGATTACAGGCGTGAGCCACTGCGCCGAGCCAAGCCCCAACTTTTTGAACATGAAAATACTTTATTTTATTTTTAAAAATTAATGCTATGTGTTTGTTTTGTTTTGTTTTGTTTTTGAGATGGAGTTTCGGTCTTGTCGCCCAGGCTGGAGTGCAATGGCGTGATCTCGGCTCACTGCAATTTCTGCCTCCCGGGTTCAAGCAATTCTCCTGCCTCAGCTTCTTGAGTAGCTGGGATTACAGACGCCTGCCACCACACCCAGCTAATTTTTTTAATTATTTTTTGCAGAGACGGGGTTTCACCATGTTGGCCAGGCTGGTCTTGAACTCCTGACCTCATGTGATCCACCCACCTTGACCTCCCAAAGTGCTGGGATTACAGGCGTGAGGCACTGTGCCTGGCCAGTGCTGTCATTTTTAAAAATTAATACCGGTGTGAGATCACCTTTGATTTTTTTAGTGAAGCTTAAAGTGATCAAGACCCATAGTTTAGGCCAGGTGTGGTGGCTCACGCCTGTAATCCTGGCACTTTGGGAAGCTGAGGCGGGTGGATCACCTGAGGTTGGGAGTTCCAGACCAGCCCAACCAACATGGAGAAACCCTGCCTCTACTAAAATTACAAAATTAGCGGGGTGTGGTGGCACATGCCTGTAATCCCAGCTACTTGTGAGGCTGAGGCAGGAGAATCACTTGAACCTGGGAGGTGGAATTTGCCGTGAGCCAAGATGACACCATTGCACTCCAGCCTGGGCAACAAGAGTGAAACTCCATCAAAAAAAAAAAAGACCTGCAGTTTAAGAGACTGCCCCAAGGGCCACTCTAAGCTGCCTGGGGCAGCCTTCTCCATGAATGAGGATGGGATTTATTCTAGCTTATCTCTCCCTGTAGCATACGTGAGAAGGCTGTTCGAGAGCTGCTTACCCGGCACTGCCAGCTGTTGGAGACCCCTGAATCTTGGGCTAAAGAGACTTTCCTTACCCAGAAGCTCCGTGTACCTGCCAAATGGATCCACGAGGCCAAAGCTGTGCGAGCACACATGGAATCTGACAAGCACTTAGAGGCCCTTTGCTTATTTAAGGCTGAGCACTGGAACCGCTGCCACAAGCTCATCATCCGACACTTAGCTTCTGGTGAGTGCTGGGTTCCACATCTCCTGGAATCACCCCAAATTCCTCCAACCTCTGAACCTCCATGATGGGGTCAGACTGGAAATAAGACTCAACGTAGGACATGGCCATCTTGAATCAAATCATACTTTGCAAAAGCTCTCTGCAGAAGAGGCTTAGCCAGGATGAGGCGCTAGAGGAGCAGGGGTAGATAGCAATATTGTTATCATTTCCCAGAAATATTCTTGATGTGTGCTAATATTATTATTATTTTAATTTGTTTACTTATGGGAATTTTCTCCAGCAACACCAGAAATAATCTCCTTAAGGCCTGAAACTAGAAATTCTTCACATTTTCCATTGGAGAATTTCAGAATACAGGCATACCTCATTTTGTTGTACTTTGCAGGTACTACATTTTTTACAAATTAAAGGTTTGGAAAACTGCACAGAGCAAGTATATTAGCACCATTTTTCCAACATATGTTTACTTCATGTCTGTCTCTGTTTCACATTTTGGTGGTTCTCACATTATTTCAGACTTTTTCATTACTATATCTGTTATGGTGATCTGTGAGTAGCAATCTTTGATGTTGCTGTTTTGTTTTGGGGTGCCACCAACTGCATCCATATAAGATGGTCAGTTGATAAATGTGCATATTCTGGCTGCTCCATCAACTGGTCATCCCCATCTCTTTCCCTCTCTTTGGGCCTTCCTATTTCCTAAGACCCAATAATCACGAAATTAGGCCAGTTAATAACCCTACAATGGCCTCTAAATATGTTCAAGTGAAAGGAAGGGTAGCACAACTCTAACTTTAAACAAAAGCTTGAAGTGATTAGGTGTACAGAGAGAAGCATGTTGAAAGCCAAGATAGGACAAAAGATAAGCCTCTTTGCCAAACAGCCAAGTTGTGTTAAAGGAAAGTTCTTGAAGGAAATTTAAAGTGCTACTCCAGTGAACATATAAATGATATGAAAGTGAAACAGCTTTCTGGCTGATGCGGAGAAAGTTTTTGTGATCTGGATAGATGAAACCAGCCACAACATTCCCTTAAGCAAAAGCCTAACCTCCCTTCAGTTCTGTGAAGGCTGAGAGAGGTGAGGAAGCTACAGAAGAAACGTTTGAAGCTAGCAGAAGTTGCTTCATGAAGTTTAAGGAAAGAAGCTGTCTTTCCATTCCATTAAAGTGCAAGGTGAAGCAGGAAGTGCTGATGGAGAAGGTACAGCAAGTTACCCAGAAGATCTAGCTAAGATCATTGATGAAGATGGTTACACTAAACAACAGATTTTCAGTGTAGATGAAACTGCCTTCTATTGAAAGAAGATGCCACCAAGGACTTTCATAGCTAGAGAAGAGAAGTCAATGCCTGGCTTCAAAGCTGCAAAGGACAAGTTAACTCTCCCTTTAGGGCTAATTCAGCTGGTGATGGTAAGCAGAAGCTCATTTACCATTCTAAAAATCCTAGGGCCCTTAAGAATTATGCTGAATCTACTCTGCCTGTGCTCTGTAAACGGAAAAACAAAGCCTGGATGACAGCATATCTGTTTATAGCTCAGTTTACTGAATACTTTAAGCCCACTGTTGAAACCTGCTCAGAAAAAAAAAAAATTTCTTTCAAAATATTACTGCTCATTGATGATGCACCTAGTCAGCCAAGAGTTCTGATGAAGACGTATAAGGAGGTTAATGTTTTTATGCCTGCTAACACATCTACTCTGCAACCCATGGGCAAAGGAGTAATTCAGCTTTCAAGCCTTATTATTTAAGAAATACATTTCATAAGACTATAGCTGCCATATAGATAGCGATTCCTCTGATGGATCTGGGAAAGTAAATGAAAACCTTCTGGAAAGGATTCACCATTGTAGATGTATTTGTAGGCCAGGCACGGTGGCTCGTACCTGTAATCCCAGTACTTTGGGAGGCCAAAGCGGCAGATTGCTTGAGCCCCAGGAGTTCGAGACCAGCCTGGGCAACATGGTGAAACCCAATCTCTACAAAAAATACAAAAATTAGCTGAGCATGGTGGTGCGTGCCTATATTCCCAGCTATTTGGGAGGCTGAGATTGGCGGATCACCTGAGCCTAGGGAGGTTGAGGCTGTAGTGAGCCACGACCATGCCAGTGAACTCCTTCCTGGGCAACACCGTGAGACCCTGTCTGGGGCGGATGGTGGGAGAGGAACATTTGTGATTGGCCAGGCATGGTGTTATGTTCCTGTAATTTCAGCTACTCAGGAGGCTGAGGCAGGAGTACTGCATGAGCCCAGGAGGTTGAGGCTGCAGTGAGCCATGATCACACCACTGCACTCCAGCCTGGGTGACAGAGGGAGATCCTGTCTTAAAGAAAAGAAAAACAAAAAAGAACATTTGGGTCCGGGCATGGTGGCTTACACCTGTAATCCCAGCACTTTGGGGGGCCAAGATGAGTGGATCTCTTGAGCTCAGTAGTTCGAGATTAGGTTGGGCAACATGGTGAAACCCCATCTGTACCAAAAGTACAAAAAAATTAGTCGGGCCTGGTGGCACACACCTGTGGTCGCAGCTATTCGGGAGGCTGAGGTTGGAGGGAGGATCACTTGAGCCTGCGAGGCAGAGGTTGCAGTGAGCCAAGATCGTGCCACTGTGCTCCAGCCTGAGTGAGAGAGTGAGACCCCAACAAAAAAATACACAAAAAACATTTGTGATTCATGGAAGGAGGTCAAAATATCAACATTAAATAACAGGAGTATGGAAGGCATTGAATCCAGCCCTCATGGATGAGTTTGAAGGGTTCAAGACTTTAGTGGGGGAAGTACTTGCAGATGTGATGGAAACAGCAAGATAACTAGAATTAGAAATGGAGCCTGAAGATGTGACTGAACTGGTGTCACTCATGAGGAGTTTGCTTTATAGACAAGCAAAGAAAGCAGTTTCTTGAGATGGAATCTACTCCTGGTGAAGATGCTGTGAACATTGTTGAAATGCCAGCAAAGGATATGGAATATTACTTAAGCTTAGTTGATAAAGCAGCAGCTGGGTTTGAGAGAACTGACTTCAGTTATCTTATTTTAAGAAATTAGCATAGCCATCACAACCTTCAGCAGGCAACACCCTGATCAGTCAGCAGCCATCAGCATCAAGGAAAGACCCTCCACCACCAGAAAGATGACTTGCTGAAGGCTCAAGTGATTAACATTTTTAGCAATAAAATATTTTTAAATTAAGGTATGTATATTGGTTTTTTAGACATAATGCTGTTGCACACTTAATAAGTGACAGTGGTATAGTGTAAACATAACTTTTATATCCACTGGAAAACCAAAAAATTTGTGATTTTATTGTGATACCTGCTTTATTGTGGTGGTCTGAAATGAAACCCACAGTATCTTTGAGGTATGCCTGTATGTGCTTTTACTTCTGAAGTCCAGCCAACATTATTTCTCCTTCCTTTCTGTCTTCCTGCCATGTCTTCTGTACTTTTGGAAACTATGCACTTGTGCAGACATTGTGCTCAATACTTTGTTTCTTCAGATGCCATCATTAATGAGAACTATGACTACCTGAAGGGGTTCTTGGAAGACCTGGCACCTCCAGAGCGCAGCAGCCTAATTCAGGATTGGGAAACATCTGGGCTTGTTTACCTGGACTATATTAGAGTCATTGAAATGCTCCGCCATATACAGCAGGTACCTGAGATCCTGAAACTGCTGCCTGATTTTCCTTTTCTCAGGCCCTTAAATCTTCAGATACCTCACAAGGCCTTAGTATACACTTGAGAATGCACTGACAGAGATAGCACTGTCAAAGCAGGCATCTTGCTGAGGCTCATTTGATATAACCGTTTCTGACAGCTATATCGAAACTTAAAAATGCTATTTTATGTTGATTACCAACTAGTATGTGCAATAGACATTCCTGAGGCTTGTCCATAGACAGTCTCTTCCCCTTGTTCAGTCCTAGTTTGAGTGAGAAGCCCAAAGATGAGAGATAAAATAAGAATGGAGATTTGGTGAGGGTGAGGATAGCTGTTTTACACATCATTTGGCATGTTTTAAAATTGCAAATATGGGTTTTAAAGTCAATGTCTTCGGTCAGTTTTTTTTTTTTTTTTTTTTTTGGAACAGAGTCTTGCTCTGTCATCCAGGCTGGAGTGCAGTGGTGTGATCGTGGCTCACTGCAACCTCTGCCTCCCAGTCTTAAGTGAGTCTCATGCCCCAGCCTCCCAAGTAGCTGGGAGTATAGGGTGTGTGCCACCACACGCAGCTAACTTTTGTATTTTTAGTAGAGATAGTGTTTCACCACATTGGCCAGGCTGGTCTTGAATTCCTGGCCTCAAGTGATCGGCCCACCTTGGCCTCCCAAATTGCTGGGATTACAGGCATGAGCTTACCGCACGCCTGCACGCAGCCTTAAGGTCAGTCTTTGTAGTCGTAAAATGAGTCTCCACTGCTTGCTTATGGTGCAAAAACCAAACTCATTATAATAAATATAGGATTCAAGTCCTTTTAGAGGCTTTTACCTTTCCTGCCTTACTCCTACCACTCTTATTCCACGTTCCAGCCTTGCTAGCCTGCTGTACTCACACTAAATTACTTCTGGTGTTTCTAACAAACCATATTATGTTCCACACTACCTAGCACACTTAAACTCATCCTTTTAAGATCTAGGTTGCTGTTACCCCTACTTCTCTCTGCTTTTCCCCAGAGATAATTAATTGCACTTTCTTACTACCAAGATACTTAGTACATTATTCTACTAGTGCACCTGTCAGACCATATTGTAGTTACTTATTCATATTTTCAGGTTGCTATAAGCCCCTTTTGGGAAGGTCTTTTACGGTTACAGGCAATAGAGTGTAGAGGTTAACAGCTCAAGTTCTGGAAGCAGACTTATAGATTCAATTTGTGGCTTCCAAATTCACTGGCTATGTAATCTTGAGCAAGTTAACTACCTCTCTCGTCTGAAAGAAAAAGGTGGGTGGGGTAGACAGTAGTACAGATTATAGTTCATATTGACAGATTTTCACAAAGATTAAACAAAATCTACATGAAGTGTTTTACATAGTACCTTTCATGTACTAAATGCCTTTTTTTTTTTTTTTTTAGGCAGAGTTTTACTCTGTCACCCAGGCTGGAGGGCAGTGGCACAATCTCAGCTCACTGCATCTCCCAGCTTCAAACAATTCTCCTGCCTCAGCCTCCCCAGTAGCTGGGATTACAGGCGTGTGCCACCACACCCAGCTTTGTGTGTGTGTGTGTGTATTTTAGTAGAGACGGGGTTTCACCATGTTGGCCAGGCTGGTCTCAAACTCCTGACCTCGGCCTCTACTAAATGCTTAATAATTGTTATCTATTATTATCCTCATCAAAGTTCCAACTCCTAGTACAGTGCCTGGCACATAATAGACATAATTCAATGTTTGCTGTACTTTTAGTATGAATCAAGAACATCATTTCTAAATAATCACTTGAAGAAACCACTTTCTCATTGAATATTGAGTAATTCATTCACACAACCTATTATGGAGAACTCACTGTATGCCAAGCACTGTAGTGGGTTTGGGGAATATAAAGGTAAACAGTATGTGTTCTGCCCTTACCAAAATAATGATTTTGTGGGGGAGATACATACAAGTAAAGCAGCAATTACTATAGCTTGATAAGTATAGGGATTAAGCAAAGGGTACTATCAATGTGCCAGCACATAGCTGGATGTGGTGGTGCATGACTGTAATCCTAGTACTTTGGGAGGCTGAGGCAGGAGGATTGCTTGAGACCAGCCTGAGCAACATAACGAGACCCCCCTTCTCCCAAAAAAAAAAAAAAAAAACCTATGTTACATAAAAACTCTCTAGTATTATCTTGTTCTGCTTCTTCTCCTTACCCTACATGTCACCATGTAAATCTCCTTTGAATTCCCACCTTTGGGGGTTTTAGCTGTCTTCTCTTTGCCTGGAAAGCTGAGCTCTCTCCTTGTTATTCAGGTCTCAATTTAAATATGACCTCCTTAAAGAAGCCTCTCTTGGTCCTCCAGTCTCAAGTAGCTATCCAGTTTCTCTCTGCCACATCCACCTGTTTAAATTATCTACATGGCTTGTGATTTTTCAGGATTTATTACTGTTTTGTGTTTTCTTATTTATTTTCTATCAGTTTCATGAGAGCAAATAACCTGTCTTGCTCTTGATCCTCCTGCCCCCTGCACACAGCTTTTTTGGTGTTTTAGAAAAGGCTATAAACTTGGAGTCAGGGGACCTAAATTAAATGTTGGTTCTGGCTGCATTTTTTACTTCCTTGTGTGCTCTTTAGAAGTCATACCATCTCTCTGAACCCAATTTATCTTGATTTTTGGTGCTGTGTTATTAAAGCTTGCTGTATAGTTCGGGATCTCAAGACTTTTCCTAGTCCAAGGCTAGGTAACTGTGTTACCTTCCTCTTGGCTATTACTGCATAATTAGTGCCTTGTCCTCCACTAGATGGTGGTGGCTTGGCCCTGTGTCATCATCTTGGATTTTCCCCTCCCTCACCTCACTGTTGTTTCAAGGTTTTGTGTAGAGTCTATAGGTGGGATTGGAGTGATAGGAACTCCCCTTGGATTAATTGGCTTCTCTGCTTCTTTGTAGGTGGATTGCTCAGGTAATGACCTGGAGCAGTTACACATCAAAGTGACTTCACTGTGCAGTCGGATAGAGCAGATTCAGTGTTACAGTGCTAAAGATCGCCTGGCTCAGTCAGGTAAGCCTCTAACCTCCTCACTCTTTCTGCCTTCTTGCTTCCTGTTTTTATGATTATTACACCCCACCCTCAGTGCCTACCACCCTTCTCCAGACCCCATGCTCAGTGCTTGACTCTAGTTTTTCTCTCTAGACATGGCCAAACGTGTAGCCAACCTGCTGCGCGTGGTGCTGAGTCTGCATCATCCTCCTGATAGAACCTCCGACTCAACACCAGACCCTCAGCGAGTCCCTTTGCGCCTCTTGGCTCCCCACATTGGCCGGCTTCCCATGCCTGAGGACTATGCCATGGACGAACTGCGCAGCCTTACCCAGTCCTATCTGCGAGAACTGGCTGTTGGGAGCCTGTGAGCCCCAGGCACTTTGCATCACAGTCACATGCCCATTCACACCACACAGAGGTTCCCTGCCTTGTTTGGATTGGCACTGTTTGCCATTCTCTGGGTTGGCTGTGGCATCTACCCTCCCTCCCTGCTGCCAGAAGCAGCATCCTCCACTTGTTCAGGGCTTTTCTTAATACTGAACGTAGCATAAGGGCTTCTGGAACCCAGAAGAGGAGACAGTTTACCATCCTCAAGATCATTCAGTGTTTTTCCTTTAAAAAAATGGTCAATAAAGCTCCTTTGGCAGAATCCCCCAAAGAACCAGGGTATTCTTTTTCCATCCCTAGCCATTCTGGATCTTGTGACCCTCCATGCCAACCAGCTTCCCTACTCCTACCCTGGCCCTTTTATACTAGGACTCCTTAGGAGGAGTGAGACAGGTGATAATGGATCCTTAACAGATGAACTATCCACAGAAGGAAGAGGGATCCGTCTCTTAAGTAATTGGTTAGTTAACACTGAATTTTGGAGGCAAAGGAGGGTTGGCCTGAGTTAGGAAACAAAATGGGATCTTTCTGACACACTTAGGGCAGAAGTGAATGCCTGTCACGGAGGGATTGATCTTCAGGGCTGTTTTTGTTCCTGCCTTTAGAGTTCCATGAACACCATACCTTTGCTACTACTATGTGCAGGAACCCTTGGTCACATGTGACATGTCTGTGGGAAGCTCCCAGAGTTTGGTTTGGTCCCTGGTTTTCAGTCTTGCTGAGACTCTGTCTGGATTTGCCTGCAGAGTTTGGATAAAAAATGGCAGGTTGGGTAACCCTCCCTGTTCATCCCATGTTAGCTCCAAAGCATTTCCCACCCTCCATCTACCCCTTCCAGAAGCAAAAACAAACCATGACTGAGGCAGGCATGGAGTTGGGCGTTAGGGGCAGGCAGAGGGCCTTTGCTACACTGCTGACAGCTATAGGGAGCCCCAGGTAATGGCATGAGATAGCTGGTGTTAGGGCTATCTCAGGCAATATGGCCACACCTGGGTCTTTATGCATGAAGATAATGTAAAGGTTTTTATTAAAAAATATATATATGTATAAATAAATGATCTAGATATTTTCCTCTTTTTCTGAAGCTACTTTCTTAAAAAATAAATAAAATGTTTATAGCATTCCTGGTATTGGCTTTCCCTTTGTATTTTTGAGCCTTCTTACCCTGAGGATCTTTATGGTGGCCTTGTTTGATTTAGCCTGTTTTTGAATTTGCCTTCTAAATGGAGACAGGCCATGGGCTAAAGAGAACAATTGGGTGCTAAACTGAAAGATAGATTAGCCCAAAGGCTAGATTTATAAGGGGAAATTTAGGGGCAAGGGAGTTGATTATTGATTAATACTGATTGCTGTACATATATTTATGCACATAGATTCCCGGGTCTCAAATTGCCCAATAGAATATACCATTCAAAGCCTCCTCGCTCTTCTACTATAGTGGTTTTGTTTTTAAACCCTGAGTGACGCTTCACCTTTCTAAATCAGATTCCCTTTTGTAAAGGGGATAATGATTGCTGATGTTACTTCACACAGGGCTATTTTCAAGAGGAATCAATTGAGTAGCATGAGTACTATTCCAGATCTTATTTTGATCTGTCAAGCTGAAGATGTGAGCAAATTCCAATTAAGATTAGACCAAAGACTTCTGAGACTTTCAGGAATTCAGGGATGAGAAAGCAGAGTGGGTCAGCTCTGTTGTCTGGAACTTCCATTTAACTTAGATGCCTCAGGATAGGGGTTACTCAGCTGGAATCCCCTCCACTACTGACTCACTATGTGAACCTGAGTGAGTCACAAAACATAGTTGGACTTCCAGCAAAGAACACCTGACCTGGTTTCCTTACCAGAGGAATGTTTCAGAAAGTGAGTATGCTATAGAAATGGTTAGCTCTTAGCAGTGTTCGGAATTGTGGGCCAGGAGTGGTGGCTCACACCTGTAATCCCAGCACTTTGGGAGACCAAGGTGGGAGGATCGTTTGAGGCCAGGAGTTCAAGACCACCCCAGGCTACATGACAAGACTCTGTCTCTAAAAAAAAATAAAATTAGTTGGGCATGGTGGTGTGTGTGCATAGTCCCAGCTACTCAAGAGGCCTAAGCAAGAGGATCGCTTGAGCCTAGGAGCTGAAGGCTGCAGCGAGCCATGATTGTGCCACTGCACTCCAGCCTGGGCAACAGAGCAAGAAAAAAAAGGTTCTCAATCAAAGGTTTATCATAGAAGCCATGTTGTGCATAAAAGAGAATATCAACTTCCAGTTCAAGATAAGGGTGATGAACAATCTCTTCTTTTTTTTTTTTTTTTTTGAGACAGAGTCTCGCTCTGTCCCCCAGGCTGGAGTGCAGTGGGGCACGATCTGCAAGCTCCACCTCCCGGGTTCATGCCATTCTCCTTCCTCAGCCTCCCAAGTAGCTAGGACCACAGGCACCCGCCACCATGCCCGACTAATTTTTTTTTGTATTTTCAGTAGAGACGGGGTTTCACCGTGTTAGCCAGGATGGTCTCGATCTCCTGACCTCGTGATAAGCCTGCCTTGGCCTCCCAAAGTGCTGGGATTACAGACGTGAGCCACCGCGCCAGGCCTGAACAATCTCTTCCACATCCCAAAATCCCGTTGAAATAGTAAAAAATGTTTTAATTTCAAAAAAAATTCTCAAAAACATAAAACAGGAACCAGTTACCTCAACATTCGATAGATCTGTGGAATCTACAACATTCAAATAACTTATTTTCTCAACAGAACCCAAAGTTAACAGAGGTCTGGAGAATTAAATATTGGAATAATTAAGCAAAGGCCTGCAGAGTATCTGCTCTTTTTAGATGTTTCATCTTTAGCTCAGTTTTGTTAATTTGTATTTCCAGAAAATTGTTCCAGATTTTTTGTTATTCAAATAACCAGTCCTTAGACGTATTAATCAATTTTACTGGAGTTCTGTATAATCTTAATTTCTGCTTTAAATGTTCATTTCTTAGGCTTTCCTAAGGATTTGTTAAACCTTGTATTGGTTGGGCACGATGGCTCACGCCTGTAATCCCAGCACCTCGGGAGGCTGAGGAGGGAGAATCCCTTGAGCCCAGGAGTTTAAGACCAGCCTAGGCAACATAGGGAGACCTTGTCTCTTAAAAAATGAACAAAAATTAGCTGGGTGGTGTGCACCTTTAGTTCCAGCTATTCAGGAGGCTGAGGTGGCAGGATGGCTGTAGGGTATTTTGGTAGTTGTTCTTTAACAAGTTAAGGACAGTTCCCCTCTACTAGCTTGAATAAGTGAATGTTGGATTTCAATTTGAAATGATGTGAAACGCTTGTGTGTTAGGAAGGTGGTTGGAGATAAGCAGAGTACCTGGGAGAGGGGACGGGTGGAGAAAGTGCAGGGAATCACTGGCATATCCACGATGCCCAAAGTCATGGCTATGGATGTGATTGCCAGGGAAGTATGTGCTGCTGTTGGTCAGGCAACTGGTCAGCTTGAACAAAAATAATCAAAACTCTGTGCATGATAAATACCTGTGACCTGAGGATAGCCTGGCTACCTTACTGGGACCACAGTGTAAATATTGTTGATGACCTGCTGTACCTTAGGCACCGTGCTAGACAGTGCCTTGCACTATCAGGTTATCTCATTTAAATCCTTGCAGTTTTCAAGATGAGTACTGTTAATCCCATTACCAGATTGAGAGAACAGAAACCCAGAGAGTTTAAATATCTTACCCAAGTGAGAGCGCTCATAAGACAGGGCCGAAAGTGACTGAATGCTTGCCCTCTTCTCCCACACTGCCCACAGTGTTTGGGCAAGGTGAAAAAACAGGCTCAGATGGGAATGACTGCAGGGAGTCTGAGGAGAGGATGTGGGCTCCATCTTCTGCTCCACTGGGTCATCTGGAGTGGCCTGAGGCTCAGCACTACTCCCACCAGGAGGGAAGGGCTTGCTTGACCCAAAGTGCCTAGCCTGGAGTGTCTAGTCCCGCACTGCAAGGAGAGCTGCAGGTCTAAGGCAAACCTCCACCTCCAGAATTCAGGCAATGGTGGCTAAGATGAGAGGACAGTTATCCATCCACTGACCCTGGCCCCTCACACTCTTAAGCCCTGGTCTTCCACATACCCTGACCCAGCATACCTGTACTCTCCAACACCCGAGGATGGGCCTGAGCTGAGTCTGTGTGCTGCTTTACAGAGTTTGAATAATTCAAGCCCCAGAGGCCCGAGGTATCAGTTTCCGTTGCTCTGTTGTCATAGGCACGGTGTAATTAAGCTAATGAAAGGGCAGAGAGGGAGGGGCTGTGGTCCTGTGCCTCGGACGACTCTGGGCTGATCAAGGGAGGAGTCCCTGGTCCCTGTTCTGCTGAGAGAGCAGCAGGCCCATCTAGAGTCCAGGTGTGGGGAATGGAAGAAGGAAGGAATGAGGGATGAAACAGAAGTAGGAGAAAGGGAGAGAGAGTGGAAAGAGGCAGGCAGGGGATGATCAGAGTCAGGGAGGCAGAGAGACCAAGAAAGTTACAGACGGAAAGAGAAGGAAGCAGAAACAGAGTGAAAGACAAAGCAGGTGGGGAGCATAGGAAAGGGCAGAGGCAGAGGCCAGAAGAGGCAAGGACCAGCAGAGAAGAAGAAAGACCAAGTACTAAAATCCAGGGGCAGGCACAAATTGGAGGGTCAGAAGACTGGAGGGGCTGCAGGGCTCGCTGGAGGGTGGCTGGACCCACCAGAGATCTGTCTTACTTCTGACTTCTAGGTACTGTCCACACCATCCTTGCCAGCTGGGCCTAATTTTGCCCTAGGTCTGGCCAGGAGGCCTCACATCCAGAGACCTGCCCCCGCTCTTGCAGTGCCAGGGCCATGGGGCTCCGGAGCCACCACCTCAGCCTGGGCCTTCTGCTTCTGTTTCTACTCCCTGCAGGTATGAAGCTCAGTACACCAGCCCTGGCCTCTCCTGGTGGTGCTACTATTCCTGTTCTCCCAAAATCCCTTTCCATGTAGTCTCTCTTGTGTTTCTCCTCAGTACCTGTTCTGAGAACAAGCTCTCTATTTGGGGAGTGTGGAGGAGAGGGGTGCTGAAGTGCGTGAGAGGAGACTTGCCTGGCTAGGGTGGAAACAGTGAGCGGGGAGCTTCCAGAGACAGGGCTGGGAAAATCAGAGGGGCCAGATGTTGAAGGGCCTGCCGGCCAGGCCAGGTCTTTCTCCTGCAGATGACGGGGAGCACTGAAAGGTTTCAGCAGCATACTAGCCTGGTCAGATGTGCATGCTTAAAAGCGTGGTCCTGGGGCATGGGAGGGGTAGAAGAAGGTGAGCCTTTGGGGAAAGGGAGACAGTGAAGGGAGGGCCCTGACCTGGAGGGGAGAGGGTAGACTCAAGACGATGTTTCGCAAAATCTGGAGGATTTGAATGATCTGACAGGATCTGGAGATTAACTGGATTCCCCGAGGAGGAGGCAGCAGAGGGAGAAGGGAGGGATAATTCCCAGATTTCCAACTAAGGTCACTGTTGAAGCTGAGGGCATGCTATTTGCTGAGATAGGGAACATGGGATAGGAAGCAGGTTTCAGAGCATGGAGGGAGGAAGCGAGTTCATATTTTGGACCCTCAGAGTTGAAGGTGCCTGTGGGAAACTCAGGAGTGGACTGTACTCTATTGGGGTCTGGAGCTCAGGAGAAAAATCTGGGATGAAGAAAAAGATGGGAGCCAAGGACAGGATTCATGGGAACAATGTTTAGGTCAGGGATTGAGGAAAATTTGTGTCAGTAAAGCCTGGGGAAGTGTGTTTTCAGAGTGAGGGAGTGTTCCATCGCATCAGAAGTTTTGAAGAAACCAGCTCGAGATGGAGAAGTGGAAACAGGTTTGAGAGATACTGGAGGGGGCAGAGCAGTGGGGTTTAGAATCCCTGGGTGAAAGTCTGGACTCTTGTGGCTTATTTGGGCCCCTCTAGCATTTGTGGAGAGGCAGGCAGACTCCAGGTCCTTGAAAAGGGGAGGGTGGAGGAGAAATTTGTCAGCCTGGCGCCAGAAGATAGTACCAGTTCACTCCATGGCCTTTACCTCATGTGTCCCTGCAGGCAGGCCAGGGAGGAACTAGAGCCACAGCTAGAGCAAGAGAAGGCAGACACCAGGAGGACACTCATAAGGACAGGGCCCCAGCCCTGGGAGTGGAGGGTGTGAGCAGAGGCCCTGGGACTAGGGCCTGGGATGGACAACCCTCCTTACTGACCCTCCAGAGTGCCTGGGAGCTGAGGGCCGGCTGGCTCTCAAGCTGTTCCGTGACCTCTTTGCCAACTACACAAGTGCCCTGAGACCTGTGGCAGACACAGACCAGACTCTGAATGTGACCCTGGAGGTGACACTGTCCCAGATCATCGACATGGTGCGTTGTGGTGGTGGTACAGCTGTGGAGTCTTACCTGTCACAGTGTCAAGAAATGAAGGGGTGAGAGACTGGGATTATTCTCCATGGAATTTCTTTTCTGTAAATGTTAATATTAACAAAGGTAGCAGTTACAAACTGTTGGGTACTGACTGTTGGGTACTGAGTATTGGGTGCCTACCTCGTGCCCAATATTTTGTTCACCTGAACTTACTGAATCCCTGCTAAGCAGGGATTCTCACCCCATATTCCTGCTGAGGAAACAGGGGCAGAAAAGAGAAGAGCCCACTAAGGTCACATGGCAAGGTCAGGTCTGGGTGGGAACTGGACGGTATGGACAAGTCAGGTTTGTGGGTGCTGACCAGAGCCCTGCAGGGGAGTGTGCACAGACAGGGCAGGATATGCATATACATGTCCACATCTCTGCCATTCCCTGCCCCCACTAGGATGAACGGAACCAGGTGCTGACCCTGTATCTGTGGATACGGCAGGAGTGGACAGATGCCTACCTACGATGGGACCCCAATGCCTATGGTGGCCTGGATGCCATCCGCATCCCCAGCAGTCTTGTGTGGCGGCCAGACATCGTACTCTATAACAAGTACTGCCTATCTGGGCCCCTCCTCTCTCTTACCCCTCTCTAGACTTGCCCTTAGCTGTGGGGGTGTAGTGATCCCCTCTCCCTACCACATAACCTGGTTGCCACGCTGCCCTGGAAGCTTTTCCCCAGGACCCTTCTAAGCTGCCAGGCACTCAGCCCCTCCATGGCACCCCCACTTTAGGCTATCCCAGGCCAGCCCAGGCTGAACGTCTCCTCGGAACCTACTGTGTGGTCCAGGGCAGTTGTCTGAATCACAAGGGCCTCTCTAGGGCACACTTTTAGCTCTAAGTCTCTCAGGGCTCCCCGAAGAGCCTGTGTAAGGGTCTCTTTCCTCCAGGACATAGCCCTCTGGAACACTGCTTTATGTCTCCTTGACCAGTTCCGTGTCTCCCAGCCAGCACATAGCTCTGCATATTTTCTCTGGGGCCCTTCTACAAGTTTTGCAGATGTCCCCCAAGGGAAGTCACTGTGTGTCCCGGAGCTACCTCTGGGTTCTGCAGAGGCCTTTTTATACATCCTCTGGCTACGTCTGTGTCCCTTCTGGGCCCTTCAGGCACCACCCCTTCCAGGCCTCGAAAGGCAGCGGGTCTCTCTAGGTGCACTCCACCCTCTGTGTTGCTTTGTTCTGAAAACAAGAATCAAATTAACGAAAAAAAAACAAGCACAAGTTTATTTATTTATTTGAGACACAGTCTCGCTCTGTCGCCCAGGCTGGAGTGCAGTGGCGCTATCTCGGCTCACTGCAAGCTCCGCCTCCCGGGTTCACGCAATTCTCCTGCCTCAACCTCCCAAATAACTGGGACTGCAGGCACCCGCCACCACGCCCAGCTAGTTTTTTGTATTTTTAGTACAGACGAGGTTTCACCGTGTTAGCCAGGGTGGTCTCGATCTCCTGACCTCGTGATCCGCCCACCTCGGCCTCCCAAAGTGCTGGGATCACAGGCGTGAGCCACCGCACCCAGCCACAAGCAGAAGTTTATTAATCTGCTGTACCCATCATGGGAGAGGCCTTAGTTCAAAAGTATTTCTCTCTGAAGGCAGTGACTTAGGGGCCTTGCTTAAATAGAAATTCAAGAAAGAGCCAGTAAGTTATAAATAGTGGCAAGACAAAGGACAGCCACCTTTAAAAGGCGGGAAAACGTGGAAAGAGGGTAAAATCTGTTTCCAGATTCCTCTGGCACCTACTGGTGCCCTTTGGATAAGCAAGTGCTGACTCCAGCAAGGAAGGGCTGATGTCCTGCCATCAGGCCAGCAGACGCTGGGGCCAGGTGCTCCCCTGCGTCGTGAGTGTCTCGAACTTAACGAGCCTCAATATTCTGGGGAGAAGTTTTGGTTTCTTTCAGCCCCTGGGGGTCTGCCCTGGGCTCCCGGCCTCCGGGGCTGCTCCTCAGGCTGGACAGCCTAGGTGAGCCCTGCCCCGCCTGCCCCCAGAGCCGACGCGCAGCCTCCAGGTTCCGCCAGCACCAACGTGGTCCTGCGCCACGATGGCGCCGTGCGCTGGGACGCGCCGGCCATCACGCGCAGCTCGTGCCGCGTGGATGTAGCAGCCTTCCCGTTCGACGCCCAGCACTGCGGCCTGACGTTCGGCTCCTGGACTCACGGCGGGCACCAACTGGATGTGCGGCCGCGCGGCGCTGCAGCCAGCCTGGCGGACTTCGTGGAGAACGTGGAGTGGCGCGTGCTGGGCATGCCGGCGCGGCGGCGCGTGCTCACCTACGGCTGCTGCTCCGAGCCCTACCCCGACGTCACCTTCACGCTGCTGCTGCGCCGCCGCGCCGCCGCCTACGTGTGCAACCTGCTGCTGCCCTGCGTGCTCATCTCGCTGCTTGCGCCGCTCGCCTTCCACCTGCCTGCCGACTCAGGCGAGAAGGTGTCGCTGGGCGTCACCGTGCTGCTGGCGCTCACCGTCTTCCAGTTGCTGCTGGCCGAGAGCATGCCACCGGCCGAGAGCGTGCCGCTCATCGGTGAGCAGCGGGGGCGCGGGGGGACCTGACGATGCGCTGGGGTCCCCCCAGGGCGGGGCCGCGACAGGGCCTGGGTCTGCGGAACGGCCCCACTGCAGAAAGTGAGAGGGGGGCGTCCTGGGAACGTGCCCTCATTTTAAGACTGAGGGGAAAGGATTAGCTCCTTCCAGGGAGAACACCCCTCACGACTTGGCCCTTGATGATGGAACATCAGTATCCCCAGATCCTAATGATAGGCAAAATCTGTCGACTGCTTGCTGTGTGCCAGGCACTCCCCTAAGCACTTGACCTTTATTAACTCAGGTAAGCATCACCACAAACCTAGGAAGTAGGTCCTCTGGGTATCCCATTTGTACAAAAAGGATTCGTATCTTGCCCCAGCTCATGCCCGTCGTTATTTGAGAGCGGGACTGTCCTGGATTGTGTATGAGTGCAGCCTCCAGCAGTGACGGGAGCAATTAGAGAGCAGTAGCTTCCGATGACCCACGTGTAGGAATGAAGGATGGGGAGAACTCGGCCCTTACCTCCTTCCTGCTTCCATCCATGGGGCTTGGAGGGTCTGGAGAGCTTCATGGTGGGCTTATTTCCATTTGTGCAGAGGTGGCTGGGAAGCTCAGGAACCACAGGCTTTTGTTTTGAGTCAATTGGCTTTCTCTCTCTCTTGCAGGGAAGTACTACATGGCCACTATGACCATGGTCACATTCTCAACAGCACTCACCATCCTTATCATGAACCTGCATTACTGTGGTCCCAGTGTCCGCCCAGTGCCAGCCTGGGCTAGGGCCCTCCTGCTGGGACACCTGGCACGGGGCCTGTGCGTGCGGGAAAGAGGGGAGCCCTGTGGGCAGTCCAGGCCACCTGAGTTATCTCCTAGCCCCCAGTCGCCTGAAGGAGGGGCTGGCCCCCCAGCGGGCCCTTGCCACGAGCCACGATGTCTGTGCCGCCAGGAAGCCCTACTGCACCACGTAGCCACCATTGCCAATACCTTCCGCAGCCACCGAGCTGCCCAGCGCTGCCATGAGGACTGGAAGCGCCTGGCCCGTGTGATGGACCGCTTCTTCCTGGCCATCTTCTTCTCCATGGCCCTGGTCATGAGCCTCCTGGTGCTGGTGCAGGCCCTGTGAGGGCTGGGACTAAGTCACAGGGATCTGCTGCAGCCACAGCTCCTCCAGAAAGGGACAGCCACGGCCAAGTGGTTGCTGGTCTTTGGGCCAGCCAGTCTCTCCCCACTGCTCCTAAGATCCTGAGACACTTGACTTCACAATCCACAAGGGAGCACTCATTGTCTACACACCCTAACTAAAGGAAGTCCAGAGCCTGCCACTCCCCTAATTCCAAAAAAAAGAGGAACTCTACAAAGGCCAAGATCACAGAGTACAGTCTTGGAGGGACAGAATTGTTTGTGCTGGGTATTGGAGCTCTCAGTGGGGAGCACATGGGTTATAATGAGAAACTGAACTGTACTGCTGCATTTCCTGTCTTCCTTCCTAGGTGGCTGCTTTGCAGGGCTTTGGCTGTTACCTTTCCCTGCTGAGGGGCTCAGGGAAAAGGGTCGGGGATTCTCAGTCGAGTTTCCAGAGCAGGAGGCCCTACAGACATTTGGCCCCAAATCCCTGACTCAATAAAGTAAGCGTGTACCTAGCACCTCCTCGATGCCCTGTGTTACCCATGAGGTCTGTGGTAGTGGAAGCTGGGGGTCCAGGTCTGTCTACTTCAGGTCTCATGGCCGCTGGCGCAAGTCCAAGTTCAAAGCCTGAGAACCTGAAGTTCTAATGTCCAATGGTAAGAGAAGGATGTCCCAGCTCCAGGAAAGAGTGTGAATTTGCCTTTCCCTTATTTTTTTGTCCTCTCCATGCCCTCCCACATTGAGAGTGGAACTTGCCACTGAGTCCACCAACTCACACGCCAATCTCCTGCTGCAAACCCTCACAGACACATCCAGAAATAATGCTTTCCCAGCTGTCTGGGTATTGCTGGTGTCCATGGTGGTGGGTTATCAGAACTTATTAATGTCACTGTCACTAAAGTTGGTATATAACCCCCCACTGCTAAATTTGACTAGCTTAAAAAAAAAAAGAACTTAGGCAACCTAGGGAGACCCTGTCTCTACAAAAAACACAAAAATTAGTCAGGTGTGGTGGCACATATCTGTAGTCCCAGCTACTTGGGAGGCTGAGGTGGGAGGATCTCTTGAAACCAGGAGTTTGAGGCTACAGTGAGCCGTGATGAGAGGAGCCTCAGGACTCATGGATTAGAGCAGAAGTTACATCTGTGCTGACAAGAGAATGGAATTTGACCGAGGTGCCGATGGAGGACTAGCGCTCTCTCTCCCGTCTCTCCTTCTCTCTGTGTGCTGGAGTTAGGCACCGTCCACCCCATTCCCACACACGGACAATGAGAGCTTGACAGTGTCCAAGGCAGGGGCAGTGCAGGGACCAGCCATTCACAGGTATTTGTTCCTTTCTGAGTTTCACACGTTTCCTGGCACCATCTCTGTGCCTCCGACCCAGTCCCTTCCCTCAGGAAGCTCATGGTCTGATGTGGCAGACAGACATGGACATGTGGTGGTATAGGGAAGCATCCAGGTCTCTGTGGGAGCGTAGAGACAGGGTCACTACCCCAGCCAGGTGGGAGAGGTCACAGAAGGCTTCCTGGAGGAGTGAACAGAAGCTTTCCAGATGGACACGTGAGGCATCTGAGTAACACTAGCAGGTATGACGGCCAAGCGCTTTCCTCTCCAGTCATCCCCCAAATCAGCTGAAGCCCTTCTATCGCCAGGTTAGTTGCTGCCTGTCTTGAAGTACCTGCCACACCGCCGGCCCAACCCTTTATTCAGAGTCTCACTCCTACAGCCCTGGGTAAGGTTCAGTCCCCAGATTGTCTCCTGTTTCTCCACCAGCCGGTCTGGCAGCTACCAGAGAAGGTCCCAGAGTTCCCTGCAGATGGGATTGACAGGAATCTTGGTTACACTGAAAGCACACATGGCCAACATCCTCAGGATGGGCAGAGGCAGCAGGCGAGGCTGTCCCGTGTCTCATGCATCAAAGGAGGCCTGGACCATCTGGAAAGGCCCTCACCACGAGGAACCAGAGCAGCAGCAGCAAAGACCAGACTGCAGAGAGGGGGCTCTGACCCATGGCTGCAGGGAAAACAGGCAGAGAGGTTGGGGGAGAGAGAGAGAAAAAAAGAGGTATTTAGGAGCACAGGAGCAAAAGTGGGGACATGCAGATACAAGGTGGAGAGATTGGCAGAGTGAGCTGGACAGACTGATACACAAAACTGCCACGGGCAACAGAGATGAAGATCAAGTTTAGGGAGGAGCTGGTCCAATGGTAATGGGTTATCAGAACTTATTAACACCAGTGTCACTAAAGTTGATGTACAGTCCCCCCACTGCTAAATTTGACTGGCTTAAAAAATTTTAGGCAACCTGGGCAACATAGGGAGAACCCTTCTCTACAAAAAATACAAAAAGTAGCCAGGCGTAGTGGCATATATCTGTAGTCCAAGCTACTTGGGAGGCTGAGGTGGGAGGATCGCTTGAGCCCAAGAGTTTGAGGCTACAGTGAGCTGTGGTGGTGCCACTGCACTCCAACCTGGGTGACAGACTGAGACCACGTCTCAAAAAAAAATTTTTTTAATAAAGAATTTAGGAAGGTAGACAGAGATGAGACCAATTAGAGTCCCAGTTTCTCTTCCAGAGGTCATTGGGTCTAACTTAACTGCCTTCTATTGCCACAAATAAGGTGCTGCAGAGTGGGATGAAACATGGATTTAAGATCAGAGTGGGATCTGCTGTGGCTGAACTTGGCTCCTCTACCCAAACCCTGGTAGGAGAGGTGTGGAGTGGACTAGAAGGAGAAATCCTAAACTTTTCCAGTATCTGGAATTACATAATCAGAACTCAAAGATGCCTGGGTTGGAAGCTGGAAACCTGGCTTCTTGTCCTGGCTCTGCCATAAACTCATTGTCACCTTGAGCAAATAATTTGTCTCTGGGTCTCACTTGACCATATAAGGGGGGTAATGCCTCCTGTTCTGCCTCCTTCCCATAGATTACTGTGCAGTAAAGATGAGATGAGATGATGATGAGATGAGATGAGATGAGATGAGATGAGATGAGATGAGATGAGATGAGATGATGAGATGAGATGATGAGATGAGATGAGATGAGATGAGATGAGATGAGATGAGATGATGAGATGAGATGAGATGATGAGATGAGATGATGTCTGGGGAGGGGTGGGAACTATCCTGGTGTGGTGGTTCAGAGTTTGGCTCTTGAGCCAGGCTCTCTGGACTCCACTTCTTAGTAGCTGGGTGGCACAGGGCCAGTTGCTTCTCCTCTGCACCTTTGATTTTTTTTGTTTTTGTTTTGTTTTGTTTTGAGACAGAGTTTCGCTCTTGTTGCCCAGGCTGGAGTGCAATGGCACAATCATGGCTCACAGCAACCTCCGCCTCCCAGGTTCAAGAGATTCTCCTGCCTCAGTCTCCCGAGTAGCTGGGATTACAGGCATGCGCCACCACGCCCGGCTAATTTTGTATTTTTAGTAGAGACGGGGTTTCTCCATGTTGGTCAGGCTGGTCTCGAACTCCTGACCTCAGGTGATCTGCCCATCTTGGCCTCCCAAAGTGCTGGGATTACAGGCGTGAGCCACCACACCCGGCCTCTCTTTGCCCCTTTGTGCTTTGGTACTTTCATCTGCAGAACAGAGGTGATGACAGTACCACTGGGGTGTGGTGAGGATGAATGGCATGATGTGCCTGGAGTGGATCAGAGGAAGCTGGGGGGTCCTTCCTGCCCACTCACAGAGTTCTGAAGGACAAAGGAGTTCTGAAGGCTTGGGGAGGAGCTGCTGTTTCTTCCCTGGAAATGGCCCATTCCCACCTAGAAACATGGTGGCCTGGGTAGGCCTTGGCACACCAAGTGTCCGAGGGAAGAGAAGAGTCATAGCTGGGGATCATCTGGTCCAATTTGCTTATTATACACACAGAGAAACTGAGGCACAGAGAAAGAATGGGTTGGTCGTAGAGAAAGTTAGAGCAGAGCCTGGACTAGAGCCCAGGCCTCCAGCACCAAAAGCCTGGCCTCATGGCCTTCAAAGGTGGGTTTGAGGGAGCCCTGAGGGCAGTAACAGAGACAGTGGGTTCTGCACTGGGAGGCAGAGAAGGACCAAAGGAGGACTTTGTGGGGAGCAGCCCTTCTGTCCCTCACCTCAGTGCAGCCTGAATCTCTCAGGGGCCTGATCAGTGGCCTTTTCCTGCAAGGGATAGGCAGATCCAGGCTGGAGAGCAGGTGTCCCTGCTCCCTCAACCATCTGCTCTCCCACACACTCATCTCCTGGCTAAGGCTGGCAACCCCCAAGGTGCCACTTCAGCTAGTGCACTTTTTTTTATTATTAATGCAGTTGTTTCCTTATAAAAGATTCAGGTGGGCCGGGCACGGTGGCTGACGCCTGTAATCCCAGCACTTTGGGAGGCCGAGGTGGATGGATCACCTGAGGTCAGGAGTTCAAGACCAGCCTGGCCAACATGGTGAAACCCCATCTCTACTAAAAATACAAAAAATTAGCCGGGCTTGGTGGCATGCGCCTGTAATCCCAGCTGTAATCAAGAGGCTGAGGCAGGAGAATGGCTTGAACCCGGGAAGTGGAGGTTGCAGTGAGCCGAGATTGTGCCATTGCACTCCAGCCTGGGCAACAAGAGTGAAACTCTGTCTCAAAAAAAAAAAAAAAAAAAAAGATCGAGGTGATGGGGCCAACCCCAGAGCAGCCTGCTCATCCCTGAACTGAGTCCCACAGGTGCCTGCAGCCCTTACCTGAATTATCCAGATGGCAAGGCCCAGACTTGCACTTCTTGTCTATAGAAAAGAAACAGTAAAGAATGAAAGGCTCAGGAGCTGTCAGGATGGAAAGGGACCTCAGAGCCCTGGTAGTCCATCCCTGACTTGTTCTAGGAGAAGTTGGTGCATTTCCCCCTAATTCTGCTCTTTCATGGTGGAACCTCCCTTGACTAGGTTTGCCTCGACCCATGAGCAGCAGGGCCAGAAGGGAGTGGGCCATCAGAGCCAGGGTCTACTCTGGGGCACTCCTGCTCCCTGGGCCTATAACTTTGCCTCCCTGCCACACTCACCTCTCCCTCTTCCATGCCTCGCCCCAGCCTGGTTTGTTTTCTTTGCATGCCCTCCTTACCTTCTGTCAACTCATGCATGCTCCTGATGTTGTCCAAGATAGGAAGTAAAGCCCATAGCCCTTCAGAAATTAAGAACCTGGGCCCATCCTCATGGTTCTTCTTCTGGCCTGTGCTGGGGACATGAACAGGAGGAGCATCCACCACTTCCTGACCACAGCCTGAGCTGGACCTTAGGGGCACAGCACCCAACTGCTGTCTCCTTGCCCCCACCACCCCACCCAGCACACCCTTCAGCACATAATTCCTCTTCCATCTCATAAATGCACTGTTCTCAGAAACTGAGGGTGGGACTCCTACTCATTTCTGGCAACAGCTATCTAGGTGTCAATAATCTGGCTGGAAAATAATTCCCTTCCAGCCTCTGACCAGGAGAAAAGCCCGACCGGGTCTGCTTGCCCACTCAAATGGCCAGAGACCGCTGCGTTGGCCAGGAAACCTCTTCAGCCTCCCAGCAGGCAAGTGGCGAACTATGGCTTAGATCCCTTCAGGGGCAGTAAGTGCACCCCTCAGAAGGTTATGTCTCCCCTTAGATGGAAGGGGTTGGGAGCTGGTGGATATGACTTGTATTTATGTATCCCTGGGACACAGGAGATAGGGGCTTCGGTTTGCCAAAGTCCCTGGTGGATGTGGAAGGTCCACCTTCCGCACAGGTGCCGACCAGCGCTTGCCCTCCTACCTTTGATGTACTCGCAGTTGTAGGTGCTGTGCTTGCCCAGGGCTCGGAGGTAGATGCGGGCGGGGCCCTGGGCCAGTCTGCTGGCATTGATCACTTGGAAGGTCTCAAAGGGGGGGATCAGCACCTCTTCCTCTCCAGGGAAGAAGGAGTAGCCCTTGATAGGGGCCCCAAGGCAGGTCCAGATGCCGAAGAAGGTGTCCTCACCAAACTGCTGGGCTGCAACATGCTTCAGGGAGGCAGAAGCAAAGCCCCCCAGCCTCACGGTGGCCCGGGGCCCTGCTGGCCGGAAGCGCAGGCCGTGCACACCTCGGAACACCTGGTGGCACCGGGGTGGACGCTGGCCGCTGCCCAGGAGCTGCAGGGCCTCAGTCAGCAGGAAATGGAGTGTCTTGAAGGAGAAGTGGTGGAGGTAGTGGGCCCGGGAGCGGCCCGCCTCACGCACGGCTGCATTGAACTCCTTGTGCAGGGGGCTGTTGGCTGTGTAGGCCAGGAGGGCCACCCCATGCTCATCGCGGAAGCCCAGGGGTGGCGGGGATGGACGGGTGGGGCTGAGACTCCACTCTGGCCACCTGGCCTGACGCTCCTGCCATTGGCTGCTTGCCAGTGTCCAGCTGTCTGCATACACCTGGTTGGCCTGGAACTCCGTGTGGTTGAGATCCGGGAGAGCAGCTGTCATGGCAGCAGCACAGCCAGCGTACTGGTCATCAAAGGAGGCCAGGGCCATGTCCAGCTGAATCTCTTGAGAGAAGAGGTCTCGTCGTGTGATGGGGTGGCTCTGGGCCTGAGGGGACAGGAGTAGCAGGGACTGAGAGGATAGGCCCCTGGGAGAATGAGTCCCCTGCCATCCAGCTCTCCCCTCCACTGAGAAAGGCAGGAAGGGCCCCAAACACACCTGGTGGGGAAGGGGATTGGGAACCTCTGGCTGTAATTTCCCCAAGACTAGCATCTGGAGCTGTCCCCTTGGGCTGAGTGATCCCCAGGGGAAGCGTCGGGCATTCTTTCCTCTCTCTCTTTCTCCCTCCAGGGTTCAGAAGAAGCCGATGGCTCAGTTCCCTGCTGGGGTGGGAACAGTGGGGGATGCCCATACCTGAAGTGCTTCCATGAGGCCCACAGACACAAGAAGCAGAGACATCATAGCAGGCATCTGCATGCTGGTGACCCTGGGCCAGTTGCTGTCTCTTTTTGGGTCTCAGTTTCCTCATCTGGAAAATTGCAGTGTTAATCTGTATAGTTTAATAAACATGAATCGACACTTAGTCTGTGCCATTCCTAGTGCTTGGCACTGAGAGTCATAAGACAGACATGGAGGCTCAGAAGAGAGAGGACCCTTCTTGCTGAAAGGAACATGAGTGACTTCCTGGAGGAGTGACGTGAACAGGTCTTGTAGGATGAACAGGAGACTAAGATGTCAGCAAGTGGAGACTGGGAGAGAAAAGACTGGTGTTTGGGTGGGAAAGGACTTTTGTGCAGCAGGAATGGAAAAAGCAAAGGTATTGGAGGTGGGAACTGAGGATGTAAAGAGAGAAAGACATGTCATCTAGGCTGGCAGAGCTTGCGGGGTAGGAACGTTGGGAAGATGGGCCAGTCATGAAAGGACTTGACAGCCACAGTGAGAGACCTGGGCTTCACCTCGCAGGGGTTGTGGGTTTTGGGACAGGGGCAGATCCAGGAGTGTTCAGCTGGTGGGGCCTTAGCAGGATCTCCAGGGACAGACTTAGAGCAGGGCTTGGTCCACCAGTTGCCCCCACTCCCTGCAGTCCTCTTGTGGAATGAGCCTTCGGTGCTTCCAGGGAGGGACAGATATAAACCCCGGGTGCTGGGGGAAGAGGGGATCAGAAGAGCAGGAGAAGACAGAGGATACCAGTTTCCCTAAGAGAAGCAGCAGGAACCACAAGCCTTCCACACCCTCTTTGCTGGGGGACAGGCGGAGTGCCCGAAGTGGTTCCAGGAAGAGGGTGTCCAGGCATTGGGTCTGGATTGGAGCAGGCAGTTTCCTTTTTTTTCTTTCTCTCTCTTTTTTTTTTTTTTTCCGAGACCAAGTCTCACTCTGTTGCCCAGGCTGGAGTGCAGTGGCGTGATCTCGGCGCACTGCATCCTCCACCTCCTGAGTTCAAGTGATTCTTTTGCCTCAGCCTCCGGAGTAGCTGGGACTAGAGGTGCCCGCCTCCACACCCAGCTAATTTTTGTATTTTTAGTAAAGACGGGGTTTCACCATGCTGGCCAGGATGGTCTCGAACTCCTGACCTCAGGTGATCCGCCCGCCTCAGCCTCCCAAAATGTTGGGATTACAGGTGTGAGCCACCATGCCGGCCTTATTGTCATTTTTTTAAGAACTGAAAGGAAACATGCTTACACATACACATTTTATTACCTTTTTTCCTCAGAAAAAAAATATTAACTTCCTTCCATGTCAGTACATAAATATCTCCCTGCTCACATAATGGCAGCTTGGTTTATCTCATGGTATAAACCATAATTAACCATTTCATACTTATGAACACTTAGGTTTCTTCCCTAATTTTAAAATATTATACATAATACTACAGTGAATATTTAGGTATATAAATCCTTCTCTATGTGTGTGCATGTTTTTATAGGAAAGATTTTGAGAAGTAAAATGAGATTTAAAGAATATGAATATTTTTTATTTTGACAGAAACTGCCACCCCACCAACAATGGATGAGAGTGCCCTTTATTCCACATCTTTGCCAGTGCTGAATATGATTGATCTCTTTTTAATTTCCATTTAACTGGTAGGAAAAATGGTATCTACTTTGTTTGTTTGTTTGAGGCAGGGTCTTGCTCTGTTGCCCAGGCTGGAGTGCAGTGGCACAATCATAGCTCACTGCAGCCTTGACCTCCTGAGCTCAATCGATCCTCCTGCCTCAGCCTCCCGAGTAGCTGGGAGTACAGGCACACATCACGATGCCTGGCTTATTTTTATATTTTTTGTAGAGGTGGGGTTTTGCCGTGTTGCCCAGGCTGATCTCGAATTCCTGGGCTCAAGCATTCTACCCACCTTGGCCTCCCAAAGTGCTGGGATTACAGGCGTGAGCCACAGCTCCCAGCCTCTGTTTTCTTTCTGTACACAAATGGTAATATAGTCAATGGGTCTTTATGTTTTGGAATCTGATAAAAGCTGAAACCTCCCTTCAGAAAATGAATATATGCGCCTTCACACAAATGTTACATAAATATCAAGGTGGTTATGCCTCTGCCCCCAATCTCATTTAGGTTAAGCGTCGCTGCTTTATCATCTCCTCTGGCTCTGGGGAGACCTAAGTTTGGATAGTTCAGTGACTCTAAGACACTGGGATTCTATGTGTCTATAATTTCATTAATCTTCAAATCTAAGATCCTATAATTGCCAATACACAATTTAAATGTGAAGTATGAGCTTCTCTGGACAATGGGGTTAGCAGTAGTTTTTACCAAATTCCACATGTCCAAAATGGAGCTCATTATCTTCTCCCCCTCAAAAGCTGCTTACTCATTTATTCAACAATTTTTTTTGTTATTGTTGTTTAGCATCTGTAGCATGTCAGGCATTAAGGATAAAATTATGAACAACAGCCAGCCATGGTGGCTCCAGCCTGTAATCCCAGCACTTTGGGAGACTGAGGCGGGAGGATTACTTGAGCCCAGGAGTTTGAAACGAGCCTGGGCAACATTGTGAGACACCATTGCTACTAAAAATAAAAAAATACATCCGGACAACTCCGGGAGGCTGAGGTGGGCGGATCACCTGAAGTCAGGAGTTCAAGACCAGCCTGGCCAACGTGGTGAAACCCCATCTCCACAAAAATACAAAAATTAGCTGGGCATGATGGCAGGTGCCTATAATCCCAGCTACTCGGGAGGCTGAGGCAGGAGAATAGCTTGAACCCAGGAAGCGGAGGTTGCAGTGAGCCAAGATTGCGCCATTGCACTCAAGCCTGGGTGACAGAGCGAGACTCCGTCTCAAAAATTTAAAAAATAAATAAATAAATAAATAAATAAATAAATAAGCCAGGCTACAGGTGTGGTGGTGCATATCTGTAGTCCCAACAACTCGGCAGGCTGAAGGTAGGAGGATTGCTTGAGACCAGGAGGTTGAGTCTGCAGTGAGCTATGAAAACCCACTTCCCTGGGCCGGGCGCGGTGGCTCACGCTTGTAATCCCAGCACTCTGGGAGGCCAAGGCGGGTGGATCACCTGAGGTCAGGAGTTTGAAACCAGACTGGCCAACATGGTGAAACCCCATCTCTACTAAAATTACAAAAAATTAGCTGGGCGTGGTGTTGTGCGCTTGTAATCCCAACTACTCGGGAAGCTGAGGCAGAAGAATCTCTTGAACCTGGGAGGTGGAGGTTGCAGTGACCCGAGATCGCACCATTGCTCTCTAGCCTGGGCGACAAGAGTGAAACTCTGTCTCAAAAAAAAAAAAAAAAAAAAAGACTTGAGCTCTTGTCTGTGGTCTCTTGAAGTCCAGCAAGGAGGCTAGAGCTGCTGTTACTAGTTCCTCACTTTCCTGTGTAGAATCCAGTCATGGGCTCAGGTGGGGCTTTTCTCATTCTATGCACCCCATGAGAGGAACACATGCCCCAGGACTGGTGCCCTAAGGCTTTGACCATTGTGACTGGCTCATGGATGGGCACATGACCCAAGAAGGCCAATCAGAGGCCTTCCTGCGAGTTGATCTATGGATGCAGGGTAAAAGAGAGTGTACCTGACACTGTGGATTCCTCAGCCCATATTCCCGGAGACTGTCTTCGAGTCCACATGCAGGTACAGTGGATAGTTCTCATGCAGGCTGTCAGCCTCCCACTTCTAGGGCTCACATTTTTCTGTCTCTGAAGCATTCTCCATCACCCTGGGAGCCTGTTTTTTGTGAGCACAGGGCAGGCCAAAAGTGTAAGGGATTTAATATTCTCAAGGACAGCCTTCAACCAATGAGGGCTGGAAGTCAGACTTCCTGTCCCATAGAGGGTCCCCAGTGGGACTAGTTGATCACAGTGGTAACAGGCTTTTAATTGGCTGCTTTTCTCTTCTCTGTCTGACTTTGCCGCTCCCTGACTTGTATTTCTTGGGATCACTTTACAAAGAAGCTCACTGCACCCATGTACTTGTCTGTGGGTCTGCTTTTGGGGGAAGGAAACTGAGAGTCTTTTCTTTGGAAGATTCTTCTTTAGTCTGGACCCCCAGAATGAACACGTGAGGAACAGACCTGAGCCCAGCCCAGAGCAAGGAAGACCCCAGCTGAGCCAGACCGGCGGCCTGAGCAGAGCTGCCCAACCAAGTCCAGTTTAGATAAGCCACTTGCCGTCAACCCAAAGACCATGAGCCTGGGAGTAAATGTTTGTTTGCCACTGAGATTTTGTGGCACACGGCAAAATAGTTATGCAGCAAAAGCCCACTGGGCCAGCTGTATCTCTCATTGTGTCTCCACAGCTCTGTTTCTGTCTGCATCTGCTCTACAATAAACAAGATACATCAGAGGCTTGAGGGGAGGAGAGGCTTGAAGGCAGACTGAGGACATGGAATTAGTGGACCTGAGTAAGAGAATGGCAGTGAGGACAGACAGAGGTAGGAGGTGGAATTTACAAGACTTGATGTCTGATGGGAGAATGGCAGTGAGGATAGACAGAGGTAGGAGGTGGAATTTACAAGACTTGATGTCTGATGGGAGAATGGCAGTGAGGATAGACAGAGGTAGGAGGTGGAATTTACAAGACTTGATGTCTGATGGGAGAATGGCAGTGAGGATAGACAGAGGTAGGAGGTGGAATTTACAAGACTTGATGTCTGATGGGAGAATGGCAGTGAGGACAGACAGAGGTAGGAGGTGGAATTTACAAGACTTGATGTCTGATGGGAGAATGGCAGTGAGGACAGACAGAGGTAGGAGGTGGAATTTACAAGACTTGATGTCTGATGGGAGAATGGCAGTGAGGATAGACAGAGGTAGGAGGTGGAATTTACAAGACTTGATGTCTGATGGGAGAATGGCAGTGAGGACAGACAGAGGTAGGAGGTGGAATTTACAAGACTTGATGTCTGATGGGAGAATGGCAGTGAGGATAGACAGAGGTAGGAGGTGGAATTTACAAGACTTGATGTCTGATGGGAGAATGGCAGTGAGGATAGACAGAGGTAGGAGGTGGAATTTACAAGACTTGATGTCTGATGGGAGAATGGCAGTGAGGATAGACAGAGGTAGGAGGTGGAATTTACAAGACTTGATGTCTGATGGGAGAATGGCAGTGAGGATAGACAGAGGTAGGAGTTGGAATTTACAAAACTTGATGTCTGATGGGAGAATGGCAGTGAGTACAGACAGAGGTAGGAGGTGGAATTTACAAGACTTGATGTCTGATGGGAGAATGGCAGTGAGGACAGACAGAGGTAGGAGGTGGAATTTACAAGACTTGATGTCTGATGGGAGAATGGCAGTGAGGATAGACAGAGGTAGGAGGTGGAATTTACAAGACTTGATGTCTGATGGGAGAATGGCAGTGAGGATAGACAGAGGTAGGAGGTGGAATTTACAAGACTTGATGTCTGATGGGAGAATGGCAGTGAGGATAGACAGAGGTAGGAGGTGGAATTTACAAGACTTGATGTCTGATGGGCTATAGGGGACGTGAGAGAGGGAAAAATCAAGGATGACACCCAGGTTTCCATTCTTTAAACTAGAAACACAGAGGAGAAGCGGAGTAGATTTAAAAAAAATACGAAGCTCCTCTTTTCATGCGCGTCCGTGTGAAGAGACCACCAAACAGGCTTTGTGTGAGCAATAAAGCTTTTAATCACCTGAGTGCAGGTGGACTGAGTCCGAAAAGAGAGTCAGCGAAGGGAGATAAGGGTGGGTCCGTTTTATAGGATTTGGGTAGATAAAGGAAAATTACAGTCAAAGGGGGGTTGTTCTCTGGCAGTCAGAGTGGGGGTCACAAGGTGCGCAGTAGAGGAGCTTTTGAGCCAGGATGAGCCAGGAGAAGGAATTTCACAAGACAATGTCATCAGTTAAGGCAGGAACCGGCCATTTTCACTTCTTTTGTGGTGGAATGTCATCAGTTAAGGCAGGAACCGGCCATCTGGATGTGTATGTGCAGGTCACAGGGGACATGATGGCTTAGCTTCGGCTCAGAGGCCTGACATTCCTGTCTTCTTATATTAATAAGAAAAATAAAATGAAATAGTGGTAAAGTGTTGGGACGGTGAAAATTTTTGGGGGTGGTGTGGAGAGATAATGGGCGATGTTTCTCAGGGCTGCTTTGATTAGGGGCAGCGTGGGAACCTCGAGTGGGAGAGATTAAGCTGAACGAAGATTTTGTGGTAAGGGGTGATATTGTGGGGTTGTTAGAAGAAACATTTGTCGTGTAGAATTATTGGTGATGGCCTGGATATGGCTTTGTATGAATTGAAAAACTAAATGGAATAAGAGAAGGAGAAAAACAGGTATAAAAGGTCTAAGAATTGGGAGGACCTAGGACATCTGATTAGAGAGTGCCTAAGGAGATTCAACATAGTCCTGCCAGCAAAGATTATTTATTTACTTCAAGAGTTTAGAGTGGCAGTTTGGGGATAGCACCAGGAGATATCAGCTGTGATGGCTTGGAGAAACAGTGTAAACCGGCAGTGTAAACAAGAGCAGGACATGTATGAGTAGTTGAGAATGGTGAATAGGAGTATGACTAGACAGAAGATAGTAGGGATGACAAGTTCTTTTGGGGCACAGTCTAAGTTGGTCTGGTGTCTGGAATTAGACTGGGGCCTAATAAAAAGGAGCGTCTATACAGGAGCTCAAATGGGCTGTATCTTGTAGCATTCTGAGGACACGTCTGACTTCTGAGAAGGGAAAGTGGTAGAAGTATTATCCAGTCCTTTTTAAGTTGGTGGCTGAGCTTGATGAGGTGTGTTTTTAAAAGACCTTTAGTCCGTTCTACTTTTCCTGAAGACAGAGGACCGTAAGGGATATAAAGGTTTCACTGAATACTAAGAGCCTGAAAAACTGCTTGGCTGATTTGACTAGTAAAGGCTGGTCTGTTTTCAGACTGTATAGAGGTGGGAAGGCTAAACTGAGGAATTATGTCTGACAGAAGGGAAGAAATGACTGCGGTGGCCTTCTCAGACCTTGTAGGAAAGGCCTGTACCTATCCAGTGAAAGTGTCTACCTAG
The DNA here is from genome assembly GCF_000001405.40 of Homo sapiens. Classification (NCBI taxonomy): domain Eukaryota; kingdom Metazoa; phylum Chordata; class Mammalia; order Primates; family Hominidae; genus Homo; species Homo sapiens. Next base: position 3,652,206 of record NC_000011.10, on the reverse strand, counting down.
ACTAAGAGGTATTTTAGTTATCTGACTCAGGGCATGTTGAGTAAAGCTAATTTGCCCGTCCTGGGTGGGGGCAAATCCTCGAGCTTGATGTGTAGGGAAGGGAGGGGGCCTGAATGATCCCTGAGGAGTAGCAGAATAGCAGATGGAACACTGAGAAGTTATTTCCTTGAGGATAGATTTCCACGATGGAAAGGAAATGAGAGGTTCTAAGAGGCGGGCTGGTGGCTTGTTCTATAGCATAGCCTGCCTTTGCTGGTGTGTGGCGATTAAGCCTGGTGGAGCTGCCATCAATAAATCAAGCGTGATCAGGGTGAGGAACAGGAAAGAAGGAAATATGGGGAAATGGGGTGAATGTCAGGTGGATCAGAGACATACAGTCATGGGGGTCAGGTGTGGTATCAGGAATAATGTGGGAGGCCGGATTGAAGTCCGGGCCAGGAACAATGGTAATTGTGGGACTTAACATAGAGTGAGTACAGCTGAAGGAGCTGGGGGATCAGAAAGTATATGCATCAGGTATGAGGAAGAAAATAGATTTTAGAAGTTATGAGAAATGTGAAGAGTGAGCTAAGCATAGTTTGTGATTTTTAGGGCCTCTAAAACTATTAAAGCAGCGGCAGCCGCTGCACGCAGACATGAGGGCTAGGCTAAAACGTAAGGGCAAGTTGTTTGGACAGAAAGGCTATAGGATGCGGTCCTGGCTCTTGTGTAAGAATTCTGACTGCACTAACCATGACTAGGAAGGAAAGGAGTTGTTTTGGAAGGGATTGAGGTTTGGGAGATTAATCAGACACTATCAGCAGGGAGAGCACGTGTGTTTTTATGAGAATTATGCCAAGATAGGTAACAGATGAGGATGAAATTTGGGCTTGACTGAAGTAATGGGGGCTGTCTGTGAAGCCTTGCGGCAGTACAGCCCAGGTAATTTGCTGAGCCTAATGGGTGTCAGGGTCAGTCTAAGTGAAAGCAAAGAGAGGCTGGGATGAAGGGTGAAAAGGAATAGTAAAGAAAGCATGTTTGAGACCCAGAACAGAATAATGGGTTGTAGAGGGAGGAATTGAGGATAGGAGAGTATATGGGTTTGGCACCACAGGGTGGATAGGCAAAACAATTTGGTTGATAAGGCGCGGATTCTGAACTAACCTGTAAGCCTTGTCTGGTTTTAGGACGGATAAAATGGGGGAATGGTAAGGAGAGTTTATAGGCTTTAAAAGGCCATGCTGTAACAGGCAAGTAATAACAGGCTTTAATCCTTTCAAAGCATGCTGTGGGATGGGATACTGGCATTGAGCGGGGTAAGAGTGATTAGGTTTTAATGGGATGGTAAGGGGTGCATGATCGGTCGCGAAGGAGGAAGTAGAGGTGCCTTATACTTGTGGATTAAGGTGGGGAGATACAAGGGGAGGATGTGAAGGAGGCTTTGAACTGGGGGAAAAGGTGGCAATGAGGTGTGGCTGTAGCCCAGGAATAGTCAGGGAAGCAGATAATTTAGTTAAAGTGTCTCTGCCTAATAAGGGAACTGGGCAGGTGGGGATAATGAAAAAGGAGTGCTTAAAAGAGTATTGTCTAAGTTGGCACTAGAGTTGGGGAGTTTTAAGAGGCTTAGAAGCCTGGCTGTCAATACCCACAACAGTTATGGAAGCAAGGGAAACAAGCCCTTGAAAAGAAGGTAATGTGGAGTGGGTAGCCTCCATATTGATTAAGAAGGGGACGGACTTACTTTCCACTGTGAGAGTTACTCAAAGCTCGGAGTCCCTGATGGTCTAGGGGGCTTCCGAGGCAATCGGGGAATGTCAGTCTTCAGCTGCTAAGCCGAGAAGATCTGGGAAGGAGTCAGTCAGGGAGCCTTGGGCCAGAGTTCCAGGGGCTCTGGGAGTGGCTGCCAGGTGAGTTGAACAGTCCGATTTTCAGTGGGGTCCCACACAGATGGGATACGGCTTAGGAGGAATCCTGGGCTGTGGGTATTCCTTGGCCCAGTGGCCAGATTTCCGGCACTTGTAGCAAGCTCCTGGGGGAGGAGGTTCTGGAGGAACCCCTGGCAGCTGCAGTTCAGGCGTGTGGAAGTTCTTGTGTGCCGGAGATGTGGCTGGTGTTTGTCTCACAGTGGAGACAAGTAGTTGCAACTCAGAAATACATTGCTACTTGGCTGCCTCTATTCTATTATTGTATACCTTGAAGGTGAGGTTAATTAAGTCCTGTTGTGGGGTTTAAGGGCCGGAATTTAATTTTTGGAGTTTTATTTAATGTCAGGAGCAGATTGGGTAATAAAATGTATATTGAGAATAAAGTGGCCTTTTGACATTTTAGGGTCTAGGGCTGTAAAGCGTCTCAGGGTTGCTGCCGAACGAGCCATGAACTGGGCGGGGTTTTTCTTATTTGATGAAAAAGCCTAAACGCTCTGATTCGGGAGAGGTCGGATAAAGAAAAAGGAGCATTAACCTTGACTACGCCTTTAGCTTCAGCCACCTTTTTAAGAGGAAATTGCTGGGCAGGTTGGGGAGGGCTAGTCATGAAATGAAATGGTAAACCAGACCGGGTGTGAGGAGGGGAGGTGATAAAAAGATTACAGGGTGGAGGAGCTGAGGCTGAGGAAGAATTGGGACCTAGCTCAGCCTGGCGAGGAGCAGCCTGGGGAGGAGGGGAGACGTCAGACGGGTCTGTAGAAAAGGAAGATTAGAAAGACTCAGCGACACTTGGGGTTGGGACTGAGGGGACAGGCGGGAGGGAAAGAAGGAAGATTTGGGACAAGTTGCATTGGGCAGAGACTAGGGAGGGACTGATGTGTAAAAGAATGCCTTGACGTCAGGCACCTCAGACCGTTTGTCCATTTTACGACAAGAATTATTTAGATCTTGCAGGATGGAAAAATTGAAAGTGCCGTTTTCTGGCTATTTGGAACCACTGTCGAGTTTGTATTGGGGTCAAGCAGCCTTGCAGAAGAAAATAAGGCATTTAGGTTTTAGGTCAGGTGTGAGTTGAAGAGGTTTTAAGTTCTTGAGAGCACAGGCTAAGGGAGACGGAGGAACGGAGGGTGGAAGGTTGCCCGTAGTGAAGGAGGCAAGCCCAGAGAAAAGAGAGAGTAGAGAAACGGAGGGAAGGGGTTCAGGGGTTCTTACCCTCCAGAAAAGCGGGAAAGGGGTCAGGGCGTGGAAATAAGGGGTTTGGGCGCAGAGATAAGAGGTCGGGGCACGGAAATAAGGGATGGGGCACAGAGATAAGAGGTCGGGGCGTGGAAATAAGGGATTGGGGCACAGAGGTAAGAGGTTGGGGTGTGGAAATAAGGGATTGGGGGTTCTTTCCTCCTAGAAAAGCGGGACTTGCCGCTAAGGGTGAAGGAGAAGGGGTTGAGGAGTTTTTGCCCCTCCCCCAGAAAAGCAGAGAAGGGGTAGAGACACAGAGAAAAGGGGTTGGGGTACTTACCCCTCCTCCAGAAAAGCGGGACTTGCCGCTAAGGGTGAAGGACCAAGGCAGGCGTCCCTGCATGATCTGACACCTCTGAAACGTGGGTGAATAATCAGAGAGGTGTCCCTGCAATGATTAAACACCAAGGGAAGGCTGCCTTCCCAGTCCGTGACCGGCGCCGGAGTTTTGGGTCCACAGATAAAACGTGTCTCCTTTGTCTCTACCAGAAAATGAAAGGAATTGAAATTAAGAGAATGGAGAGATTGAAGTGTGGCGCCAAGATTGAAAGGGGAAAGAGGTTGAGGGATAGTGAGGGAGGTTGGAGAAGTGAGTAAAAAGAGTCTGCTTACTGGATTTGAAATTGGTGAGATATTTCTTGCGCTGGTCGGTCTGAGGACCTGAGGTTGTAGGTGGGTCTTTCTCACAGAGCAAAGAGCAGGAGGACAGGGGATTGATCTCCTAAGGGAGGTCCCCCGATCTGAGTCAGGGCACCAAATTTCATGCGCGTCCGTGTGAAGACACCACCAAACAGGCTTTGTGTGAGCAATAAAGCTTTTAATCACCTGGGTGCAGGTGGACTGAGTCCGAAAAGAGAGTCAGCGAAGGGAGATAAGGGTGGGGCCGTTTTATAGGATTTGGGTAGGTAAAGGAAAATTACAGTCAAAGGGGGGTTGTTCTCTGGCAGGCAGAGTGGGGGTCACAAGGTGCTCAGTAGGGGAGCTTTTGAGCCAGGATGAGCCAGGAGAAGGAATTTCACAAGACAATGTCATCAGTTAAGGCAGGAACCGGCCATCTGGATGTGTTTGTGCAGGTCACAGGGGATATGATGGCTTAGCTTCGGCTCAGAGGCCTGACACCTCTTTTATTGCCCATCTTCTTTTATTGCCCTCTATCTTCTTCCACCATTCTTACATGACTGCAGAGTGTCCTGCTCCAGCACAGCCCTGTGCAACTTTACTTTTTTTTTTTTCAGCCTCATTGAAGTATAATTGGTATACAAAAAACTGCACATAATTAATATATACAATTTGGTGAGTTTGGAAATAAGTATACACTCATGTTACCATTCCCACAATCAAGGGAATAAACATGTTCATCACTTCCAAGTTTCTGTGTATCCCTTTGTTTTCATTTTATTTTTATTTTTATTTATATATTATTTATTTATTTTGAGACAGGGTCTCACTCTGTCGCCCAGGCTGGAGTGCAGTGGTGCAATCTCGGCTCACTTCAACCTCTACCTCCCGGGTTCAAGTGATTCTCCCACCTCAACTTCCCAAGTAGCTGGTACTACAGGTGCCCACAAGCACGCCCAGCTAATTTTTGTATTTAGTTGAGAAGGGGTTTTGCCATGTTGACCAAGCTGTTCTGGAACTCCTGACCTCAGGTGATCCACCTGCCCAGGCCTTTCAAAGTGCTGGGATTATAGGCCTGAGCCACCGCACCCAGCCTCGTTTTTTTTTTTGTTTTGTTTTGTTTTTTTTGAGACGGAGTTTTGCTCGTTGCCCAGGCTGGAGTGCAATGGTGCAATCTCGACTCACTGCAACCTCTGCCTCCCGGGTTCAAGCAATTCTCCGCCTCAGCCTCCCCAGTAGTTGCGATTACAGGCATGTGCCATCATGCCTGGCTAATTTTATATTTTTAGTAGAAATGGGGTTTCTCCACGTTGGTCAGGCTGGTCTCAAATTCCTGACCTCAGGTGATCCGCTGCCCGCCTCGGCCTCCTAAAGTGCTGGGATTACAGGCATAAGCCACCGTGCCTGGCCTGTTTTTATTTTTATTTTGTTTTGTTTTGTTTTTGGTTTTCATGTAGCAAGAACATTTAATGTGAGATGTACCCTCTTTACACATGTTTAAGTGCACAGTGCCTTATTGTTACTATAGGCACAATGTTATACCAGAGTAGACTTGAAAAGCTCATCTTGCTCATTATTGTAGTCCCAGTACAAAGCAGGTGCTCAGTAAAAATGTATTGAATGAATGATCGGGTTTGGAGGGGAAATGGTGAGTTCACTTTGGGAAATGTGAACTCCCTGAAGCAGATGTCCAAGAGGTAGCAGAATGGACAATCAAGGAGACATCTGAGAGTCACAGGTGATTGAAATCAGGGAAGAGATGAGATCCCCAGAGCAAGGGAAAGAGAAGGCTGAAAGGCAGAGGGTGAGCTGCTTGATTGATGAAGCCAGAGGTCAGGTGGAGCCGCACTCCTCCTTGGCTTTCTAGAGGCTCTTTGCATCTGGTCCTTGGGTTCCATGAGATACCCTGGTATCCTTGTGATAAAATCCTCTTTAGGCTTAATCTAGCTCAGGGTGGCTCCTGTTAATTTGCCATGGCAAGTCTCACGTGATAAACCATCCCCATTATTCACCCAGTCACCCATGATGGTCCCCTGGGTGTCCATTCAGTCAATCATTCGTCAAACATTCACATAGTTGCCAACTAATGCTGGGTGAGATAGGGGTCCATCCTAGATTCTCCTTCCCTTCAACATCCACACCCCCTGCCCTGGCTCAGGTTTGCCCCTTCCTCCTCGCTGATCTCCCCGCCTCCACAGTCAGCCCCAATATCCTGCCTGCCCAGGGAGAGCAATGTTTCTAAAGCGCGACTCTGGTCATGTTCCTTACATGCTTAAAAGCCCTCTGTGCCAAAACTGACTGGAAGAAATATCTCAAAATATAGAGTAAAAATGCAGAGATGAAAATCATGAGGGAAGAGATACAAACACATCTAGAAAAAAAAAACAAAACAAACAAACAAAACATCCCTCCATACCCTAAGGACAGAGGCCAGCGTCCTTATCCTGGCCCTCTGCACCCTCTGCAGGCTCGCACCTGCCACTCCTGCTTGGCTTCTGTAGTGCAGAACAACGTCGCAGGTGCGGCTCCGTGGTTACCCTCCCTGTGGCTCTGCACACATCGCCCCTCTCCTTGGGACACCCTTCTCCTGGATACCTACTCTTCAAGGCTTAACCCGAGGGCCACCTCCTCCAGGAAGCCCTCTGACTCCTCTGGGCTCTGGTATCACCCTGTGCTGTCCTCTGTCACTGTCCTTATCACACTGTGCTGCCCTTATATGTGCCTGGCTCCTCTTCTGGCCAGTGAGTTCCTTGAGGGCAGGGACCATGTATGCCAAGGCCAGGGACTGGGGAGGCCCCAGCATGTTTGCTGAGAGTCTGAGGAACTTTCTCAGCGCAGCTAACAGTGTAGACCACTGCAGAGCAGGTGGGTGGCTGGCCTTGGTGACCAGTGTCAGGGGAGATGTGGTGGGAACCGGAGGGATGGGGTGGGCATGGGCCCAAGGAGCTGGGGATGCTGAGCAATTCCTTTTCTAGCCCAAGGGAGCTGCGCTTCTGTCCTCCCTCTCATCCTGCTCGGAGCAATTCTGTCATCAGTTTCTCATCCAGGCCCTTGCTGAACATACCCTCCTGGGAATGTGACCCCAAATCTCCCCACAGGAATCCCAAACTTCCCATGGCTCCCAACCTTCCTAGGTATCCCAAACTTCATCAAAGTTTCCTGGAAACTTTTTCTCATGACTCCTAAAATTCCACCGTTCATCTCCCAAATTTCACCTCAAAACCACTTTTCCTGCCCAGCACCCAGGAGGAGAGTGGTGCACTCCTTACCTAGGCCTTGTCCTGGGTGGGGAAGCTGCTGCTGATCTCCACCATGGCCACCAGGAGAGGGGAGGACAAGTTTCTTTTTGATATTGTTAGTCCCCACCCCTTGAACCTCCCCCACACAGCTGCTCAGAAACGTGACACGCCCCCATCTATTTCTGGATGTCTCCTCAGGGCTCAGGAACACCAGCCTCTGCCCAGTCTGACCTGCCCAGTGTTCTTCTAAGGGAGGAAACCATACCTCATATTGTCTTATGTCCGATTTCTGCCTCCAAAGTAAACACTAAAAGGCAGAAATGAAATCCACAAGCAGACAGCCAGACAGCCCAGCGCCACACCCTGGGCCTGGCAGTTAAAGATTGACCCCTGACCTAATCGGTTATTTGTATAAAAAAGCACTGTGAAGATCCCTGTCCTGTTCTGTTCCCTTCTAATTACCGGTGTATGCATCCCCCAGTCACGTACCCGCTGCTTGCTCAATCGATCACGACGCTCTCACGCGGACCCCCTTAGAGTTGTGAGCCCTTAAAAGGGATAGGAATTGCTCACTCAGGGAGCTCAGCTCTTGAGACAGGAGTCTTGCCGATGCTCCCAGCTGAATAAACCCCTTCCTTCTTTAACTCAGCATCTGAGGGGTTTTGTCTGAGGCTCTTCCTGCTACATTTCCCACAAAAAAGGGAATCCCTGAAGCCAGAGAGGAGGTGGACTGAAGCACTGGGGATCCAGGCTGGGACAACTGCCTCCTCACTGGCTGTGGTCCTGTACTCTGGTCAGCCAAGGAGGAGGAAGAGAGGAGGAAGCTTCAGCACCCCGACCTCAGAGAGCGTCTCCTTAGATTTTGTACCTTTCACACAAACACTGAGACTTAGCTAAGGTGCCAGGAGAGATTCGAACTAAGGAGGCTGTATTCTGAGTCCCAGTTCCAGCTCTGACTTACCAGTGATCTTGCAGGACTTCTTAATGCTATACTTAGGATCCCTGCCCAATGACTAGTTTTTTTTTTTAGATGGAGTCTCGCTCTGTCACCAGGCTGGAGTGCAGTGGCGCAATCTTGGCTCACTGTAACCTCTGCCTCTCGGGTTCAAGCGATTCTCCTGCCTCAGCCTCCTGAATAGCTGGGACTACAGGCGCCTGCCACCACGCCCAGCTAATTTTTGTATTTTTAGTAGAGATGGGGTTTCACCATGTTGGCCAGGATGGTCTCGATCTCTTGACCTCGTGATCCGCCTGCCTCGGCCTCCCAAAGTGCTGGGATTACAGGTGTGAGCCACCGCACCCGGCCCCCAATGACTAGATTTGAATCCATCTCTTGGGGCCTTATTTTGGGTTCCAGGTCCTGGGATGGGAGAAGCAATCCCCCAAAGCCAGAGGGTGGAGAGGGACAAAGCAGTGATTCCAATACATCTGGTCTCGGGTCATCCCAGCAGGCCAAGCTGTCCTCAGGTGGTATCTTTTCAAGCAACTGCAAACACTCAACTTCCTCCAGAGAGTGGGCAGGCAGGATATATAGGCAAATGCTGTTTTTCACCATGATGGGAAACGGTAGGATGATTCCTTATTTTAGAATCTGGGAGGGCTTTGGGATGGCTAGACTCATAGAAGGGGGCAAAAGAACTTGTCCTGGAGCTGTTTTTCTTTCTTTCTTTCTTTTTTCTTTTTTTTTTTTTTTGAGATGGAGTTTCGCCCTTTTGCCCAGGCTGGAGTGCAGTGGCTCCATCTCAGCTCACTGCAATCTCCACCTTCCGGTTTCAGGCGATTCTCCTGCCTCAGCCACCCAAGTAGCTGGGATTACAGGCCCCTGCCACCACGCCCGGCTAATCTTTGTTGGCCAGGCTGGTCCCGAACTCCTGACCTCGTGATCCTCCCACTTCAGCCTCCCAAAGTGCTGGGATTACAGGCGGGAGCCACTGCGCCCTGCCCTGGAGCTGTTTTTCTAACAAGCACTCAGAAGCACCTCCCTCCCCACCCTCCTCCAAGCCTGGACCCACCGTATGTCTTCCCGTTTGGTCTACAGAAAGGATTCTGGGAGATAGCAGGATTCTAGGTGGAGGAAACTTTTTATTTGGCTGACACTCTGAGGGGATGGGGGGACAGGGATGGGGAAAATTAATGAGCCAGACCAGGATGGATTCCTTTGGGTAGCTCTAATCTTTCGTGCCCACCTCAGCCCCAGCAGGCAGCATTTCTCAAATCCTAGCTTTCGGCGACCCTCCGGCCGCTGGGGGAAGGAGGGGTGACAACCCCACCTCCTCCTGGCTCTGGCTGCTAGGAAGCTCTTCCCTGAGTTACCAATTCCTCCGCTGGCCCCTTCTCCCATGACCTCTGACGGGGCATCCAAAACTCAGAGCCAGGTTATTTATAGATAAGCCCAGAGGAGGTGGGGGAAAGGCCAGTGTTTACAAACATGGGTCACCTGAGTCTGAGCGGCCACGAGAGCGGTCTGGGGGAGGGGCGAGACCGGACCCTGTGGATCTGCGACCAAGGGCTCTGTCTCTGGCCCAACCCCACTGAAGGCGAATGGGGAGAGGGCCCAGAGCAGGCAGGGAGTGGGCGCTGCTCAGATGCTGGAGCACGTGGCCCAGGGTGTGGGCCAAATGCAAACTGTATGCAAATCGCAGTGCTCCGGGGGCGACCTCTCGGCCGGCGGGACCCCCGCGGGGCCCCTGGCCTGGTGGGCCGGGGACCAGGGGCCGACCGGGTCAGGGCCCGCCTGAGGGAGAGGCCGAGTCTCACAAGTTTCCTCCCCATCACTCACAGCCAAAGAGGGTCCCGCAGAAAGACCCCGCAGGCCTTGAGAAAGGGAATTGCTCCTCAGTCCCTGCCCTGGCGCGCCCGCTCCCGGCCCCGCGTGCGGCGCTGGGAAAGGGGTGTCGGGTTACCAGCGCGGGGGCTACAGTTAGCCTCGAGAACCTTTGCTTTCAGCCGGACTCCGGACTCCTCCGGGGACAGCGCAGCGCCCGCCAGAGCCCTCGGCGCTCCCTCCCGCTGGCGGCTTCCGCAGCCTTCAAGTGGGTCCTCCGCCCCCGGCCCTCCCCTCTCAGGCGGAGCCAAACTGCGGCCCCGCCTTTACAGTCTCGGAAAGGTCCCCAGACTGGAGGCTCTGAGGAAGGGGTGTGGGGAGTCGGGGGCGGAGACTTGGGGCGGGGGGCGGGCAATAAACTCCCAGGCCCCGCCCACGCCCCGCCGGGGCCCTAATCCTGGACCCGGGATCCCGTGCGCCTGGAGACAGGGTCCAGATCTGCCTCCAGCCCCTCGAAACCAGGACTCCAGCACCTCTGGTCCCGCCCTCACCCGGACCCCTGGCCCTCACGTCTCCTCCAGGGATGGCGCTGGCGGCTTTGATGATCGCCCTCGGCAGCCTCGGCCTCCACACCTGGCAGGTAACTCCAGGAACCATCTCCTAGCCCCAAGGGGGACATTAAGGGACAGACCCTGAGGAAGTGGACCCGGGGCTGACTCCTCACATCCCTCTCCCAGGGACTCTTCCCTAGGATTCCACTCTTAACTCTCTTCCTCTCAGGAACCTCCATCTCTGCAGGGAGCCCCAAGTTCCCATTCTGTCTCCTAGAACCCCCATCTCCATCCCTCTCTGGATGCCTCCAACGTTCTCCTCCCCACCTCTCATCTCCCAGCGCAGGCACAGCCCGGCAAAGCCTCCTTGGGTTACCTGTGTGCTGCAGTCCTGGCAGCCCGTCCCAACCAAGGCTTGGCCTCCCCACCACCCCTACCCCAAATGTGGGTACAGAGCAGGGGAGGACTCAGGCGTCTCAGAGCTCACAGTGATTTGGTGTGGTGGCTGAGCACCTACCTGCAAGGGCTTCCTGCTGGATGAGAGGGAAAGAGAGCCCGAGGAGAATGGGGCTGGGGGTTAGGCAGCTGGACACTGGCTGTGTGTAATATTTGCACATCACCTGCCTGCCAGATCTTACAGCCGGAAAAGTGCTTGATAGTCATCTAGTCCCACCTCCCACCGACTGCAAGAACCTTTCTAATGACAGGATGACCCCTTTTAGGTTGTACAGAAGTAATGCTCTTTATGCTGTCTTCATAATAACTGTGAGGTTGGAAGTATCCTCAAGTCCAGAAAAGTTATGACACTTGCCCAAGGCCTCACAGCTAATAGGTGGTAAAGTCAAGATTTCAGCCTGCGCGCGGTGGCTCACTCCTGTAATCCCAGCACTTTGGGAGGCTGAGGCTGGTGGATCACTTGAGGTCAGGAGTTCGAGACCAGCCTGACCAACATGGTGAAACCCTGTCTCTACTAAAAATACAAAAAATTAGCTGGGCGTGGTATTGCGCACCTGTAATCCTAGCTACTTGGGAGGCTGAGAGAGGAGAATTGCTTGAACCCGGGAGGCAGAGGTTGCAGTGAGCCAAGATCGTGCCATTGTACTCCGGCCTGGGCAACAGAGCGAGACTTCGTCTCAAAGAAACAAACACAAAAACAAATTAGCCAGGCATGGTGGCATGCACAGGTAATCCCAGTTAGTTGGGAGGCTGAGGTGGGAGAATCACTCCAACCTGGGAGGTGGCGCTTGCAGTGAGCCGAGATCTCACCACTGCACTCCAGCCTGGGCAACAGAGCAAGACTCCATCAAAAAAAAAAAAAAAAAAAAAAGATTTCAGTCCATGTCTGACTGACTCCAGTGCCTGTGTTATTTAAGCCTCTTATTGGGCCCTTGCCAAATTGCATATACCTGATATTTAGGGATAGAAATGAGATTCTGTGTTTCTGGATGGGTTTGCCCCCAGGACCCATGTCCAGTGCTCTGAACTTATGCTCTTTTCGGTGTGGCACCTCTTTTGCTCCACAGGCCCAGGCTGTTCCCATCCTGCCCCTGGGCCTGGCTCCAGACACCTTTGACGATACCTATGTGGGTTGTGCAGAGGAGATGGAGGAGAAGGCAGCCCCCCTGCTAAAGGAGGAAATGGCCCACCATGCCCTGCTGCGGGAATCCTGGGAGGCAGCCCAGGAGACCTGGGAGGACAAGCGTCGAGGGCTTACCTTGCCCCCTGGCTTCAAAGCCCAGAATGGAATAGCCATTATGGTCTACACCAACTCATCGAACACCTTGTACTGGGAGTTGAATCAGGCCGTGCGGACGGGCGGAGGCTCCCGGGAGCTCTACATGAGGCACTTTCCCTTCAAGGCCCTGCATTTCTACCTGATCCGGGCCCTGCAGCTGCTGCGAGGCAGTGGGGGCTGCAGCAGGGGACCTGGGGAGGTGGTGTTCCGAGGTGTGGGCAGCCTTCGCTTTGAACCCAAGAGGCTGGGAGACTCTGTCCGCTTGGGCCAGTTTGCCTCCAGCTCCCTGGATAAGGCAGTGGCCCACAGATTTGGTAATGCCACCCTCTTCTCTCTAACAACTTGCTTTGGGGCCCCTATACAGGCCTTCTCTGTCTTTCCCAAGGAGCGCGAGGTGCTGATTCCCCCCCATGAAGTCTTTTTGGTTACCAGATTCTCTCAGGATGGAGCCCAGAGCTTGGTGACTCTCTGGAGCTATAATCAGACCTGTAGCCATTTTAACTGCGCCTATCTGGGTGGTAAGCTGTGCATGGGGGAAGCAGGACTGGCAGTGTGGGTGAAATAAGCCAGGATGTCCTTACACAATAATCCCCGGGGCCTTCGGGAGACCCACTTGGTTAAAGGGGAAATGAGGGCTGGAAGTCAGCTGGAGTTGCTGTCCTCTGTGACTCAGGTTTTTTGGGGTCCTATAAGTGTTTTCTAGATTCGTGAACATTCTTAGATGATTCTATATGTCCTCAAAAGGGTCCATCTGCTACATGGTCTAATAGACCAAAAGAACCTGGTTAAGGAGATTAGCAAGCAGCAGAAAGAGCCAAGGGGACTGCTTCAGGTCTCAGGGGGGCCCTGGGCTCGATGGGGCTGACAGGGCACGTATGTGCCATTCCCAAGTGCTAAGGCAGGGAGAGATGGAAGAGTGACTGGGTCTTGGGTGGGAAGAGGGATGGAAAGGCAATCTGGAAAGAGTTCCTGGAGGACGGAGGAGGAAGGGAAATCAGAAGTTTCCCTTTAGGTGAAGGGAAAGATAGATTGAGAAGGGAAATGGCCCTGCCAGGGCCTGGTGGGCCAGGCAGTTTGGGTGCGAGTCTGTCCACGCGGAGGCCTCACCCTGCTGTCTGTTGCAGGGGAGAAGAGGCGGGGCTGTGTGTCTGCGCCAGGTGAGTTGCCCTTCCATCCTCCTTCAGCTGCTTTGACTCCCCCTCACCCTGCTGACCCCTTCCTCCTCTTTTCCCTTCAGCAGGGGTGCAGCTAGGGTCACAATCTGAGGGGGCCTCCTCTCTGCCCCCCTGGAAGACTCTGCTCTTGGCCCCTGGAGAGTTCCAGCTCTCAGGGGTTGGGCCCTGAAAGTCCAACATCTGCCACTTAGGAGCCCTGGGAACGGGTGACCTTCATATGACGAAGAGGCACCTCCAGCAGCCTTGAGAAGCAAGAACATGGTTCCGGACCCAGCCCTAGCAGCCTTCTCCCCAACCAGGATGTTGGCCTGGGGAGGCCACAGCAGGGCTGAGGGAACTCTGCTATGTGATGGGGACTTCCTGGGACAAGCAAGGAAAGTACTGAGGCAGCCACTTGATTGAACGGTGTTGCAATGTGGAGACATGGAGTTTTATTGAGGTAGCTACGTGATTAAATGGTATTGCAGTGTGGAGACATGGAATTTTATGATTGGTTTATTCCATGAGACTAGACCTTCTGCCCCGCTGTGGCCTTGCTGGGCTGAGGGACTGACTGAGGGACTAAAAAAAAAAACTTCTTGGGGCCAGGAGCAGGTGGCTCACGCCTGTAATCCCAGCACTTTGGGAGGCTGAGGTGGGTGGATCACGAGGTCAGGAGATCGAGACCAGTCTGGCTAACACGGTGAAACCCCGTCTTTACTAAAAATACAAAAAAATTAGCCGAGCGTGGTGGCGGGCACCTGTAGTCCCAGCTACTTGGGAGGCTGAGGCAGGAGAATGATGTGAACCCGGGAGGCGGAGCTTGCAATGAGCCGAGATCGCGCCACTGCACTCCAGCCTGGGCGACAGAGCAAGACTCCGTCTCAAAAATAACAATAATAATAACTTCTTGTTATTATTAACACGGTCTCCTGTGCAGACCTGTGTAACACTCTAACTTGCAAATCCAGAAGCTAGAACAGCTAGAGGGTCCTCACGACAACCATGAAGGCAGGAAAGCAGGCAGGTGATTCCTCAGCCCCACTTGTCAGGTGAGGAATGCAAAGCCAAGGAAGGAAGCAACTGGTCAGAGGGTTCCCATTGAACCCCGGCCTCCCGCCTCCCCGGTCTCCTGCCTCCTGGTCCAGAACTCTGTCCATAAAAGATCTGAGGAAACTCAAAGTAGGATCCCAAGCCCAAGATACTTGGGAACACAGAGCAAGTCATTTCTCTCTGCCCTGCTCCCACAAGGGTCCATTTCAGGGGAAAGAAGAGGGAGGACCTCAAAACATCAAGAGACAGAGATTCTCACACAGCCTGGAGGCCTCTCACATCCAGAGCAGAAACTTTATTGAAGCAAGAAAAGCAGCACAGGCTCCTCCCAAGGGGCCCCCCACCCTCACCCTCCTAGGCTACCACGCTCAGCAACAGAAGAAGGGACTCTTCCACTGTATCAGGACCTCCTCTCAGTCCCCGAATCCTCCCCCTGGGGCAGGTCCCCAGCCCCCTCTGCTTCCTGCTCCCTATGAACTAGCACATGAGCTGGGGAGCAGGGGCCAGACTCTCCGGAAGCCAGAGTCCTCACCCCTCCAGTGTCCTGAAGCCCGGTTCCTGATGATTCCTGGGTCCTCACAATCCCAGGCCCTGTCAGCTCTGGGGTCTCAGGGATGGGAGGCCCCAGGTTCTGGAAGCTGTTGTGCACTTGAGTGATGTAGTGACTGAGGACGCTGGCACCGTCGGGAGGCCGGGGCGTCCCTCCCTCTGCCAGAGTTCACCGCACACCGGCTACCTCGCTTTGCAGTCGAGATATGGTCTTGGTCAGCTCTGTGAGTCTGTTGCCCAGATCTGGAGGAGGTGGAGTACCAAGGGGCCTTTCAGAGGATGAGCCTGCCCTATACCCCTTTTACCCTTTACAGTACCCCAGGGGTTGCCCTATCCAGGATTCCTGAGGGAGAACTGGAAGAAGTGAGGAACGGGTTTGTGGGCTAGGGGTCAGGTGGGTGGGTGAAGCTGGGGCAGGTGAATCTGATCGGGGGTGGGAGGGAGTAGCTGAGGAGCTGGAAAGAAGGAAAGTCTGGGGGCCAGAGAAAGATGACAAGCCACGGGGAAAGCTTACTGGACTGCGTAGACATTTGTGCGTTCACCTGCCTGCCCTCTCCCGAGTCTACGGCCAGCCAGCTCACCCCATCCTTCAGGGCCCAGTTCAGATCCCACCCCCTTTGTCCCTTCTGCTACTCTATCCTTCTGCCTTCTCATGAGCCTCTCAAAATGACGTGCTCCTTCTCCCTTCAGGCGCCCATGGCAATTCGCGTCTCTCTTAGCTGCACTTCATGCCCGCTGTGATGGTTTCTCTTCCTCACCAGACTGAAAGCTTCCCGTGTGTCCCTGCCCTACAGTGCCCCGTCTCTCCCTCCAAGACAGGGCCTGGAACAAAGGAGGCCATAGTGATGAATGTTGGTGGAACGAGTCAATAAGCGAGTGAATGAAAAAGGTGAATGAGTGACTGGGTAAGGGAGTGAATGGGAGAATAACTGAACACACCTGAAGGCAGGAATGAGCACTTACATGAAATGAGTGGGACAAATGCCCGGATGGGTCAGAGGGTAATGGAGTGCAAGGGGCATGCTGTGCAGGTTACCCTTCCAAGGGCAGGGCAGGATGGGACCACATATTATGCAGGCTGAATGAGGACATGACGCTGGGTATGGAGCCTTTATCCCAGCTGAACAAGGAACAGGAATGGGGAGGGCTTGGAGGTGGGTGACAAACCTTTCCGCCGGGTCTCCTCGAATTCTCGCCGGGCAGTCTCTGTGTAGCGCTGTACCAGGGCCTTGATGACGTGAAGGCGGTAGGATCCACGCTCTCCCTCCCCAGGCACAGCCCCTGCCCTGGGATTGGCCTGGAATGGGAAGACAAGAGGGTGAGGGAGATTCTCTACCTCCAGCCTTCCTCTGATCACTGCCCATTTCCCCCCACCCCCAGGCAAAAAAGTCTGTGTAGACTTTTCTGTCCCTGACCCACCTAGCCCCTGGCCTCCATCTCACAGTGCGGACCTGGAAGGTAGAAGGACAGGGGCCAGAAGCTGGGAAAGGGCTGACGGTGAGAGGACCAGGAAGGGGTGGGCGAGGGCTGGGAGGCTGATGGTGTGGAGGGGGAGAACCCCCTACAGACCTGGCAGTACCTGAATTAGGAAGGCACCCTCATGCCAGGCCAGACTGGGCTGGGGAGCTCCTTGGATGTCCGGCCTCTTGGCTTCCTCTCTTAGGCCACTGTCAGCCATTTAACTGCCCAGTTTGTGGGACATTTACCTTTGGCTTCTTAACATGTTTTTTTAAAAAATGTTCAACTACGTCTTGGACCAGTTTAGGACAAAAAGGTCTGTCTGGAGCTTAGTGGGTATTTCTAGCTTGGGAGGAGGGTGGTAAGGACTTCTGTTTAGGCTGCATGACACAGGGTTGGAAATTCAGGAAATGGCCAGAGCCTGGAAGAGGGAAAGGGAAGCCACGTGAGAGAGTAGGATTGGGACAGGCTTTCTGGGGGAACATACTGGAAAGATAGATAAGCCCGGGGTATGCAGACAAATGGATGGTATAGACAATACAAGTGAAGCCTTACGCCAGGGCGACCAGCAACAAGCCGAGGAGGTACTCACAAAAGTAGGGATCGGGGGATAGTCTGGCTTCTTGGTTTTGCAGCAGGAACAGCAACAGCAAATGAACTGGCAAATTCTCCTGAGAGATTTCAGTGGTGGGAAGAGGTCGGTTAGAGGACAGGGAAATGGGGGCAGGGGCTGGGGATTTAGGGGGTGGGAGTGGGAGCTCTGAGGTCATCACCTGAGAAGGTAGAAGACAGCCTTCGAGGAGGGCAGGATGTTGAAGGGCACAGGCAGTGTCAGGCCCTCTCAGAAGTAGAACAGATACAGCTTGGAGCGAGCAAACGTCCACTCCACGTCAGCATCATCCTGGGAGCCAGGCAGCAGGGGGTGGTGCAAGGACCCCTTGCATATGGCCCTCCTGCCCACTCAAACTGTCTCTCTTTTCTCCGCTCCTCACATCTTTGATTCTCCAGTGTGCCTATAATCCTAGCCAGCCTCTTTCTTCTCCCCAGACTTATCTCCCACCTCCCCTATCACCCGCATTTCTCCTGCCTGTCCCCCGTTTCCTCTCTCCCCACCATTGTCTTTCATCTTTCTGACATCCAGTTCCTGCCCAGCCTATTCTCCAGCCTGCAGACCCTAACCCATCCATTTCCTTCCCTCTCCCTCTCATGTTCCCGTTTACTTCTCTACAACACACTCCTCTGCCCAACCCTAAGGGGGAATGAGCACTAGACTTGGTGTCTGAAGATACTAATAGCATCACTAAGACCCTCATTTTACAGAGGAAAACTTGTCCAAAGCCACAAACAAGACAACAGTGGAGGCAGAGCATGGCGCCACATGTCTTGCCTCTTTGCACCCTATTCCTCTCCATTCCTTTTTCCCTTCTTGGCCCTGGCCTAAACTGGCCTCTGTTTACATACCTCAATCTTCTGGAAGGAGTTGGTGATCATAGCAATGAGCATGTTGAGCAGCACAATGACCATGATGATGGTAAAGATGCCATAGAGGGCCCGGCCTGCAAACTCGGGCACCAGAAACTGAGGCACGTCCACCACGCTGTGCTCTTCCATACCGAACATGGTCCAGAACAGAAACTGAAACGTCTCATTGAAACTGGCATGCCAGGCCAAGTAAGGAACAGGAAATGAGGGGTGGGAGAAAAGCCTGAGCTCACCCAGACACACTCTTTCCCACCCCCCAGGACCTGGCCAAGAGTGCCCACTTCCATGCAGCCCTTTGGACCACCTTGGCCAGTGCAGACACTTGTGCTGTTTCTGAGCTCCGGATCTTATTCTTTCAGTCAACCGGTATTTACTGAGCGCACAGTCGTGTCACAGGTGCTAAGGATACATCAGTGGACAAGACAAGCACGTTCCTGTCTTCATGGCCTTATGTTCTGGGGTGCGGGGGGCGGGGTGAAATGGATACTACTTATACCAACAATTTAAATTTGTAGCTGGGTGTGGTGGCTCACGCCTATAATCCTAGCACTTTGGGAGGCCGCAGTGGGCAGATCGCTTGAGCCCAAGAGTTGGAGACCAACCTAGGCAACATAGTGAGACGCCGTCTCAATTTAATTTACAAAATATTTAAAATTAAAAAATTAAAATTGTGACAAGTGCTGTGAAGGAGCAGCCCAGGATGTTATGACCTAGTCTGGGGCTGGGGAAAGCTTCTTTGAGAAGCATTCAAGCTGAGCTCTGAAGGATGTGTGGGATTCCACATGTCAAAGGGAAGGAGAAGTGTGAAAAAGGGTATTCCCCAAGGCAGACGAGCTCTGGGCATCTGAGAAACTGAGAGAAGTCCGGCACGGCTGGTCTCAGAAGGCAGAGGAGAGAGATGCTTGTGAGAGGTAGTTAGGGACCAGCCACCTCATGCAAGAGCTTGTAGGAGAAAAACAAAAATCCTTACCATGGTCTATGAGCAATAGGAAGCTGTGAAGAGTTCTAAGCAGAGGGGTGACGCTGATTTACATTGGAAAAGATCATGTTGGCTGCTGTGAGTAGAATGGAAGGGAAGTAAGTGAGACAGCAGAGGTGCAGAGACCAGGTAAGAAATTGTTGTCATGGGCTGGGCATGGTGGCTCACGCCTGTAATCCCAGCACCTTGGGAGGCTGAGGTGAGCCAGTCACCTAAGGTTGGGCGTTCAAGACCAGCCAGGCCAACATGACGAAACCCCATTTCTACTAAAAAATGCAAAAATTAACCAGGTGTGGTGGTGGGTGTCTGTAATCCCAGCTACTTGGGAGGTTGAGGCAGGAGAATCGCTTGAACCGGGAAGGTGGAGGTTGCAGTGAGCTGAGATCACGCCACTGCTCTCCAGCTTGGGTGACAGAGCCAGACTCCATCTTGAAAGAAACTGTTCTCATGGGCTAGGTGAGACAGGTTGGGGGTTTGGAGCACCCTGGTAGCAGCTCCAGTGCTACCTCTTTCAGGCAGTCCTTCCCTTCCCTACCTCCAGCAGAAAGTTCGCCAGTCACAGACCTGACCACATTTTCCTTCCTCTTGTATTTATTTGTGAATCCGTCTCATTCCCTCCGTCTCAGCACCAGTTCAGGTATAGATTCTCACAGCTTTGCACTGGTCTGTGGGCTCTGTCTCTCTTATTATTCTGTCCTCCACAGTGCATCCAGGGTGCTCCTTCTAAATGTGAACCTGACCTAATCTGTTGTACTTTGGCTTGTCAACCTTTAAATGCTCCTAACTACCCTCAGTCCAGACGTCTACCATACAACCTACGTAAGAATTTTAGCAAAATTATTTTTGATGCACTGGTCATGGTGGCTCACACCTGTATTCTCAGCACTTTCGAAGGCAGAAGCAGGAGGATCACTTGAGGCCAGGAGTTAGAGACCTTGTCTCTACATAAAATAAAAAAAATTAGCCAGGTGTGGTGGCACACGCCTGTAGTCCCAGCTACTCAGGAGGCCGAGGCAGAAGGATAGCTTGAGCCCGGGAGTTCAAGGCTGCAGTGAGCTGTGATTGTGCCACTGCACTCTGGCCTGGGTGGCACAGTGTGACCCTGTCTCAAAAAACAACAGCAAAAAACAACTTTTGACTTACTTAGCAGTCACTCATGAATGAATAGCCCAGGAGGGCTTGGCCTTCCCTTGCCACTGTGAAGTGATGTCACCAGGAGCCACAAAGCAGGCTGGTCTGAGTAGTTCCTATCCCTGGCACTAAGAGTCACAGTAAACTCAATTCCTTTAAGCTAACAGCCTGAAGCCAGGCTATGAACAAGAATTCTTTGTAAGAGCATAGGTCTGAATACAGCTTCCATATACACTGGAACCATGAGAGAGCCTTGACCAAGTGTGGGTCCTTTAGCATCATCGATAAAACTATCAGGCAGTTGCACTCATGAGGAATTTATGATTGGGCAGCTGCTTGGGAGGCCACCTAGAGCTCTCTGGCCTCCTGGAGAAAGCCCAAGCTTCTCACCAAGACCTCCCTGAGCTTCTGACGTGGGCCCAGCTACCCTCTCTCACTTCCTTTCACAAAATTCTCTCCATGTGCCAACTATGGGAGGCATCTTGCTGTTCTCCAAATATACCTCCCTGCTTTGGCGCATGCCCCCTCTCTGCTCAGAATGCCCTATATCTTCTCTGAAGTCTGTAACCTTCCTAGCTGAAGTCCAGATTCTCTCTTCTCTGTAAAGCCTCCCCTGGTCATCTAAGACAGAGGAAGGTGCTTCCTCCGCTGGGCACAATCAGTATAAACTCTCCTTTCTCACAGCACTTGTCGCAAATTGAGCTCATTTGTGCACATGGCTGTCTTCTCTATGACAAAGAGTCTGGTTTATTTCTCCTGCCTGTGCTTCCAGTGCCAGGAAACAGAACCTACTAAAAGAAAGTGTCAGTAAATAGGTATGAAGTCAGTGACAACAAAAAACCTACAACAACTGAATGACTAAGAAAGTGAATGAATTTTAAAAGTGAGTGAGACTGGGTGTGGTGGCTCATGATGACATCATGAAATGCTGTCATCTCAGCATTTTGGGAGGTTGAGGCCAGAGGATTGCTTGAGGCCAGGAGTTCGAGAACAGCCTGGGCAACACGGCAAGACCCTATCTCAACAAAAAGATAAAAAATTAGCTGAGTGTGGTGGTGCATGCCTGTAGTCCTAGCTAATAGGAAGGCTGAGGTGGGAGGATGGTTTGAGCCTGGGAAGTCGAGGCTTCAGTGAGCCATGATCACACCACTGCACTCCAGCCTGGGTGACAGAGCAAGACCTTGTCTCTAAAAAAAAGAAAAAAAATTTTAAAAAGTGAGTGAGTGGGCCGGGCACAGTGGCTCACACCTGTAATCCCAGCACTTTGGGAGGCCGAGGAGGGTGGATCACCTGAGGTCAGGAGTTCCGGACCAGCCCGGCCAACATGGTGAAACCCCGTCTCTACTAAAAATACAAAAATTAGCTGGGTGTAGTGGTGTGCCTGTAATCCCAGCGACTCAGGAGGCTGAGGTGGGAGAATTGCTTGAACCTGGGAGGCGGAGGCTGCAGTGAGCCAAGATCGCGCTGCTGCACTCTAGCCTAGGCAACAGAGCAAGACCCTATCTCAAAAAATAAATAAATAAATAGAGTGAATGAACAATAAATGAGGGAATAAACAAATATATAAATTAGTTATTAGCCACATTTAGGAAGAATTGAGCACCCAAAAGAATAATGACTGTAATGGATTATCATATTGAGTCCATAGTGATATTCAAAAAAGAGGAAAGGCCGGACGCGGTGGCTCATGCCTGTAATCCCAGCATTTTGGGAGGCCGAGGTGGGCAGATCACCAGAGGTCAGTAGTTTGAGACCATCCTGGCTAACATGGTGAAACCCCGTTTCCACTGAAAATACAAAAATTAGCCGGGCGTGGTGGTGCAGGCCTGTAATCCCAGCTACTCAAGAGGTTGAGGCAGGAGAATTGCTTGAACCTGGTAGGTGGAGGTTGCAGTGAACCGAGATCATGCCACTGCATTCCAGCCAGGGTGACGGAGCGAGACTCTGTCTCAAAAGAAAAAAAAAAAAAAGAAGAAGAAGAAAGTAGGTGAAAACACTTCTTCACAGAAGGATGCCAGTGAATAAATGTAGAAGAAATGACAGAGGCAGAAAATCATGATCTTGAAACCACCGTAATAACCAATTCAGGTAAAAATCATCTATGGATGCTAAATCCACTGGGTAAAAGGTTTTGAGGGAGCAGTGTTGTCACACAGTCTCAACATAGCTTCCTGTTACTAAAAGGGCTTCCCTGGTACCATTACAATGAAGACTTTGCTACAGCAATTGGCCTCACCAATAGGCCACACTGATATCATGCACCTTCTACTGTGATGCAGTAGAAAGTACACACAATCAACTAGGTCATGTTCTTGCCAAAACTGCTTAACTTGAATCTAATTATGATCAATAATTTATAGATAAATCCAATTTGATCTACACTCTTCATGCAAGACAAAGAGGTCGGGGTGTGTTCGAGATTAAAGGAGACTAAAGAGATAGCACAACAAAATGTAATGTGTGATCCTAGATTGGATATCAGATTTTTAAAACTAGAGAGACTTTTTTCCAGGCAATTGGGGAAATATCAATAAGGACTGTATAGTAAATAATATTAGGGTATGAGGCCGGGTGCGCTGGCTCATGCCTATAATCCCAGCACTTTGGGAGGCCGAGGCGGGTGGATCATGAGGTCAGGAGTTAAAGACTAGCCTGGCCAACATGGTGAAACCCCGTCTCTACTAAAAATACAAAAATTAGCTGGGCCTGGTGGCGGGTGCCTGTAATCCCAGCCACTCAGGAGGGTGAGGCAGGAGAATCACTTGAACCCGGGCGGTGGAGGTTGCAGTGAGCTGAGATCGCGCCACTGCACCCCAGCTGGGCGACAGAGTGAGACTGTGTCTCAAAAAAAAAAAAAAAATATATATGTATATATATATGTGTATACATATGTATGTATACGTATGTATGTATGTATACATATGTATACGTATGTATGTATACATATGTATACGTATGTATGTATACATATGTATACGTATGTATGTATACGTATGTATATATGTATACGTATGTATGTATACGTATGTATATATGTATACGTATGTATGTATGTATACATATGTATACGTGTGTGTATATATAATATGGATGTTAAATTTTTTGAGTGTGATAATACTTTTGTGGTTATGTTCTTAAAAGACATCCTGAACTGTTTAGGGATGAAGTGTCATTATATTTACAACTTCCTTTTAAATGTTTCAGGAAAAAAATAGAATAAAGGGAGCAACAGATGAAGCAAGTGTGGTAAAACATTAACGATTGGTGAAGCTGGGTGAAGGATATAGGGGTGTCCACTGTACTTTTCATAGGATTGACATTTTTCAAAATAACAAGTTTGAGGAGAAAATGGGTAAACGAATGAATGTATAAATGAACAAATGAATGAGTGACAGAGTGAATCAAAGAAGGAGTGAGCAAACAAGAGAATTAGTTGAGTGAATAAATGAGGGAGGGAGGGAAAAGGAGAGATCACTAGGGCTCCAAGCTGTAAGGTCCCAGGCTCTCTACCTCCCATCCTGCCTCTGCCCCTGCATACTTGCCCAGCCACTCTGTCTTCTGGTAGGGCACATAGATGTTGTTGAGGCCACAGAGGAAGGCGGTCAGGATGATCATGAGGATGAACATAAACCTGGCAGGGGGTGGGATGTGGGAGGGTCAGAGCAGGTCTCCACCTTGAGAGAAGTCAGGCTCCAGGAAGAGGGATGAAGGCCTCCCTGGCTCTCTGCTCAACAAGTATTCAATTTGGTTATTTATTTATTTATTTATTGAGACAGAGTCTTGCTCTGTCGGCCAGGCTGGAGTGCAGTGGCACGATCTCAGCTCACTGCAACCTCCGCTCCTGAGCTCAAGTGATTCTCCTGCCTCAGCCTCCCGAGTAGCTGGGATTACAGGTGTGTGCCACCATGCCGGGCTAATTTTTTTTGTATTTTTAGTAGAGACAGGGTTTCACCATGTTGGCCAGGCTGGTCTTGAACTCCTAACCTCAGGTAATCTGCCTGCCTCGGCCTCTCAAAGTGCTGGGATTACAGGCATGAGCCACCACGCCCGGCAGGTTATATATTTATTTATTTATTTTTGAGACGGAGTCTCGCTCTGTCAGCCAGACTGGAGTACAGTGGTGCCATCTTGGCTCACTGCAACCTCTCAATCTCAGGTTCTAGCAATTCTCTTGCCTCAGCCTCCCAAGTAGCTGGTACTACAGGTATGTGCCACCACACCCAGCTAATTTTTGTACTTTTGGTAGAGACTGGGTTTCACCATGTTGGCCGGGCTTGTCTCAAACTCCTGACCTCAAGTGATCCACCCGCCTTAGCCTCCCAAAGTGCTAGGATTACAGGCGTGAGCCACCGTGCCTGGCCAAATTTGGTTATTATTAAGAATGGAGGCCGGGCGCAGTGGCTCACGCCTGTAATCCCAGCACTTTGGGAGGCCGAGGAGGGCGGATCACAAGTCAGGAGATCGAGACCATCCTGGCTAACACGGTGAAACCCCGTCTCTACTAAAAACACACAAAATTAGCCGGGTGTGGTGGCTGGCGCCTGTAGTCCCAGCTACTCGGGAGGCTGAGGCAGGAGAATGGCGTGAACCCGGGAGGCAGAGCTTGCAGTGAGTCGAGATCACGCCACTGCACTCCAGCCTGGGCAACAGAGCGAGACTCCGTCTCAAAAAAAAAAAAAAAAAAAAAAAAGATTAATGGGTACTAAGTCCAAGCAGTCAAAGCTGAGGACAGAGCGGTCTCCCAGGGAGGGAATGAGATGCTGAGATTCTAAAGGAATGACACAGGGATAGCTGGGAGTCAGAATCCCACTGAACAGGAGTTATCACCAGAAGAGTCAGAGTCACATGTGAGAATGAGCTGGCCTGCCATGGGGAGGCCAGAAAATTCCTGGGGTGGGGTGGGAGGTTCTCCCTCCAGCTAAGCTGAGCTAAAGTTGTTAATATTAATAGATGCAGCTAAGGTTTTTCCCACCAAGGACACTCACTGTAGTCCTACCTCAGGCTGAGGATTCCCAGGGAGGCAGGCATTAACTATGGGGCCTGATTAGGTGAGAGGCCAGGATTTGCTGGACATGATTAGGTGATGAGCACCAAGAAGGCCAGTTAAGGTCAGGGGCTCAAAGAGCTGAGTGGAAGGGATCCAAAGGGACCCCTGAGTCCACTGCTTTTTCCTTAATGATGGGAAAACTGAGGCCCACAGAGGGGTCATGGAGACTGACAGAACTGGGACTGGAACTCCCAACCAAGGGCTTTTTCTGCTATCTATGGTTCCTAATCTTTTCTGGGGTCATGGCCTCTTTGAGAATTAGATGTAAGTTGTAGACCCTCTCTGCAGAAACATATACACTTACCCTCCAAATTTTGCCTGTAGTTTCAGGGGGTCAGAGGTCTTTGGAGCGCACGTCTCTGTAGGAACACAGGTCAAGGATTCCTGTGTTACCCAAGAGCTGGGGAGTTTTGGAAGGAAGTCAAGTGGAGTCTACAGAGAGGAGCGAGCTCAGAGCAGGGCCGGTACGCACCGGATCATGTCTTCAATCATCTTGCCAATGGAAATCTGCAGAGTGCCCAGCGACTCGTGGGCCGGCAGAATGTAGGCCAGGCGGGTGAAGCTGAGCATGCTGGTGGCAGTGAAGAGCACCTCAGCCAAGAACTGGGGATCCTCGGTGTGCCACTCGCTTCATTCTGCACGGGGTGGAATGGGGGCTGTGGCTGGGAGCCAAGAGCCAAGAAAGAAGAACTGGGGGATTCAGGGCTGAATTGAAGGGACACTCACCAGCCATGGTGAAATAGTGGCAGGCAGCCGCTTGGGAGGCGTCCCGGCAGTGCATGGGGGCAAGCCCAGCCAGGAGGAGGCGCAGTGCGAAGGCTGCCAGGTACAGGGACAGGACGACCATATCCAGGAAGTTCCACCAGTCCAGGAGGTAACTGCGCAGGCCCTCAATCCACACTTCCTTGCACTCAAACCACAGGAAGCCTGAAGCGGGGTGGCAGGGAGCCAGGACAGAATGGGACCGAACTTCTCCTTCTATGTCAGAGCTAGATTACGAGGCAGGGGTAACCTATGAATGGCAGTGAGGTGCTAAAACATTATGGGGTGAAGTCAATGACATGTAAACATGTAATCTACTCAGGAACAGGTGATCTTATGTGAACATAAAAAAGACGCCTTGCTGATGCAGACACTGCTGGTGTGACCTGAACCAATGATCCCAGTCAGCGGATACTCCGAATGTGAGTATCACCTGGGACAGGCTGTCTATTAGGAGGGAATGACTGAAATTTGTTTCTCTGTGCCCTCCATCAAGTAAATACTGGACAAATAACTGAAGAATATTGATTTGAGCCTGGGTGCGGTGGCTCACGCCTGTAATCCCAACACTTTGGGAGGCCAAGGCAGGAGGATTGCTTGAGCCCAGGAGTTTGAGACCAGCCTGGGCAACATGGTGAAACCCCATCTCTATTAAATTATTTTTAAAAATTAAAAAATACAGAGTATCGACTTGAAGGGGTTCCAAATTCTCAGGCTGCTCAGGGTGCCTGTGTTCCAGTGAGGCCCAGTACCAGACCTGGGGCTGGGGGTCTTGGGAGCTGGACCCCATAAGCTAGGTGGCCCTGCCACATTGCACCCTTCTCATTCCCTGGATACAATCACATGCTTTTCCACTCATGGTTTGTTCCCTGTGCCTAGAATGTCCTTCCACATCTTCTGGAAGCCCAGCTCACCTTTGTGGCCCAGGTCGCATGTTATCTTCTCCAAGTAGCCTTCCCTAAGCAGGTGGAGTGAATTTCTTGGGGTTTTGTGTTCTCACAGCTCATATCTCTGTGATCCCATCACTACAGGGCACTGCAGGATCTCTCTCCACAGGTCTGTCTCTACCCTGCCTCCCCCTGAACTTGGAGCCCCTCAAGGGCAGGGACTATGTCCACTCATCTCTGTCCCTGGTGCCCAGAACAAATTAAACAAATATGAAAAAGAATGTATATATATATATTTTGAGACAGAGTCTCGCTCTCTGGTCCCCAGGCTGGAGTGCAGTGGCCCGATCTCGGCTCACTGCAACCTCCGCCTCCTGGGTTCAAGCAATTCTCCTGCCTCAGCCTCCCGAGTAGCTGGGATTACAGGCACATGCCACCACTCCTGACTAATTTTTGTATTTTTTAGTAAAGACAGGGTTTTATCATGTTGGCCAGGTTGGTCTCGAACTCCTGACCTCAGGTGATACACCTGCCTCAGCCTCCCCAAGTCTTGGGATTACAGGCGTGAGCCACTGCGCCTGGCCTAAACAAACATTTAGTAAGCTCCTACCATGTGCCAGTGGGAACCTGTGGTGAATAAGACAGTCCCTGCCCTCCCAGGGCTTACAGTCTGTGAGGAGCATAGTGGGTAACCCAAGCGGGTCTCACACAATGTGGTAAATGCTAGGACTAAGGAGCAGGGGGACAGAGGGACTGTTATGGGTGTTTAGGGATGGACCCTCACCCTGATTTAGGGGCCAGGGAAAACTTCTCCAAAAGTGGCATTTAAGCTGAGACCTGAAGGAGGAGTGGGAGCCAGCCAGGTGAAGGGGCAGTGCAGGAAGAGGCAAGTGCTCCAGGAAATGTGAATGAGCAAAGGCCTAGACAAATGTGAATATCATGTGGTCGGGAACCTAAATCAGTCCTGTAGAGCAGGAATGCCCTGTGAGGGTAGGGTGCACGCTCAGTGAATGTGTGTTGGATGGATGGGGCCATGTTAAACTTCTCCATGTACCCTTAGGGCTTCACTTATGATAGGGCATCAAGAAACATTTATTACATGAATAAATGGGTTTTGTTTCATATGTTTCTAAGACCTTTCTTCTCCCACGGGTAGGAATTGTATTGGTTTCCTCTCCACTCAGCACAGGTCAATCCATGTTTAGTAAACAATAGGATGAGAAACTTTCCCTCTTGGGCTGCTCTTATTTTCTTTCCCTAAAGTTTCTGCACCAGATTTCCTTTCTGACATCACTGACTGGCCTGGTACAGGGTGGAGCAGTGGACTTGGTATACTGGTGGCTCTAGAGTTTACTAACCAAGCCAGAACTAAATGAGAGGAGGACAGCCGAGGAAGGCGCCACCAATTCGGCCTGCTGAGCTGACAGGCCAGAGGCTGCTGAAGCTCTGGGGATTCTTGTAAATTGCATTTGCTAAATTGTTTGAGAATACTCAATTCTGCTATAGAAGAAAAGAAAACCAATGGAATGGATGAAACTTATGCGTTAAGTATAGGCTAGTTACTTTAGTGACACGTTGAACAAGTAAAGTTAGTAGAGCATGTGTGGGTGAACATACATAGAAAGAGATGGACAGACTATAAATATTCATGATATACTGAATATGCATGAAGCATACGAGGCCCTCAGTATTCATGAGATCTTAAATCAGCTACCCACTGGCACCAGCCATTCTGTTTCGACATGTCCTCTGCCCGAATAATACATATGAAATTAATAGCTACTCATCAGGATAATTGGCAAGCTACAGCTGCAGCCAAACATACCTGCCACTGTGTTTCTCCCATAGATCAAGTCTTGGGCCAAGGTATCTTCTTTTATTATTTTTTATTTTATTTCATTTTGGAGACAGAGTCTTGCTCTGTCACCCAGGTTGGAATGCAGTGGCACAATCTCAGCTCACTGCAACCTCCGCCTCCCGGGTTCAAGCAGTTCTCCTGCCTCAACCTCCATAGTAGCTGGGATTACA
Organism: Homo sapiens; assembly: GCF_000001405.40. Taxonomy (NCBI): domain Eukaryota; kingdom Metazoa; phylum Chordata; class Mammalia; order Primates; family Hominidae; genus Homo; species Homo sapiens. The sequence goes on along the minus strand of NC_000011.10, from coordinate 3,623,629 downwards.
GGCACATGCTGCCGTGCCTGGCTAATTTTTTGTATTTTAGTAGACACGGGGTTTCACCATCTTCCCCAAGCTGGTCTTGAACTCCTGAGCTCTGGCAATCTGCCCGCCTCGGCCTCCCAAAGTGCTAGGATTACAGGCGTGAGCCACCGCACCTGGCCAATCTTCTTTTATTTTTAAGGGATGGCGTCTCTCTATGTTGCCCAGGCTGGTCTTGAATTTCTGGCCTCAAGCAATCCTCCCACCTCAGCCTCTTGAGTGGCTGAGATTACAGGCATGAGCCACCATGCCTGGCTCCAGGCACCTTCTGTCCATTGCACCACCCCCCTAACCCCAGCCACTCAAACCTCAACTCTGATCCTTATTACAACACCATCATAATTACACCACTTACGGATTTAACTCTCTGTATGATTTGAGTCCTTTCATTTGGTCTGTGAGCCTTTCTGCTCCATGACCTCCAGGAGAGTCTGTCTTGCAGTACTTGGGGGCTGCCATGACACCAAGGTAGTTTCCCACCTCGCACTGTGGACCAGGGTCTTATTTGTGAGAGAACAGAAACCTCCAGGGTGGGTAGTGACTGATGCCAGGGATGGGGAAGAAGGGGTCCTTGCTCAGGGAGTCTACCACAGGGCTAGGTCCCTGACTAGGGGTGAAGGGAAAGGGCCCTGTAGTGTGCTACAGCCCAGAGGGGTCTGGTTATATGTTCAGGGTCATCTACAAAGCAGGATCCCCCTGTTGGGGTGCTTATTGTGAAGGACAGGAAGGAGGGCCCCTAAGGGACACTGCCACAAATAAAGGGTCCTACACGTATACCTGTGACACAAATCATGTGTAGTGAAGTCTCCCAGACACTCTGGCTGCGGCCACGGAAGGTGCTCAGCTGTGTCTCCATGACCAGGGACTCTCCCAGCAGGAAGATGAGGAACCACAGATAGGAGGCAGAGTGCAGCAGGAACTTCAGTACTGGGATCTTTAGCAGGTGGCCCAGCTTCCAGGGGAAGGAGGGAGAGTAGGGCTCTCAGTCCTGGGTGTCTCTCCCTCCTGTGAGCCCTTCCTAGACTGCTCCACCCACATGTGACTCCCCTTTCTCAGATTCAGTCACGCACTATTCAGACATATATTGAGAATGTGCTACATATCAGGCCGTAGACTCCTATCTGTTGTCTCCTTCCAAACCATATGAGGTAGACATTATTATTCCCTTTTTTTTTTTCAAGAACTGAGGATCACAGATGTAAAGTAACTTTGCCTCGGAGGCCCGACAGGCTCTTCAAACTCAACCACGTTAAAAAATAAATTCATCATCTTCTATCCTATCTTGCTCTTCCATCTTCTGTGTCCCCACCTCATAAAATGACCTTGTCACCCAGGCCGGGAATATGAAACATCTCTACGTGCTTGTCCCCTCACACCCAGTCTCCCTAACTCCTGCCCTGCACCCCCAGCCCACCTTTCACACCCCTAGTAGAGGGCACTTTCTGAAACACAAGACTGATGCGGGACTCGCCTCATTAATCCTACAATGGCTCCCATCCTGCGTGGCTTATAAGGGCTGTGTGAGATCTGGCCCCTGCATGCTTCTCCACCACTCTTCATCTAATTCCTTTCAGTTTCTCTAACACTTTGGGTTCTCCCTCCCCCAGGCCTTCACACGTATGCTCCTGCTTCCTGGAAGACCCCTCTCCCCATTCCTCACCTGCTCAGCAGGAACAGGGCTTTTCTTCATGATAACCCCAGTGCCAGGCACCATGCTTGGCTCACAGTTGGGTCTCAAGGACATATTGGTTGGATGAAGGGCTCCCATAGAATTTGTAGCTGGGGTGGGCCTCTCTTTAGGCGAGTATAGGGCTGTTAGTAGGATTAAGGTTTTGGAGGCAGAGAGACTTCGGTTTAAATCCTCACTCCACTATTTCCTGTGTACTTTTGACAAAAAGAGCATTGCCCTTCCCTGTGCCTCAGGTTGCTCCCCTGTACCACTGAAGCAGAATGCCTTCCTCAGGGCTACACTTGCAGCTACTTAATGGAAACATTCACACAAAGTTATATTCACCAAGTGTCTAGCCCAGGGCCTCATAAAACAAGTGCTCAATAAGTGACAGTTATCATTAATCTTATTCTTAGTACCTGGGACTTTGGTGTCAGCCAGTAGCCAAGGCAGAGGAAGGGCATGGTGAGGAAGATGAGGAAGGTAGCAAAGAGCTTCCAGCTGGTGGTGCTTCCCCGCCAACCAGCCAGGTTCCCACACTAGATGGAGGACAGGACTTGCTGGCAGATGAGGTGTGCTACGAACTAAGCAGAGATGGGGCATAAGCAGAGTGGGAGGCCACCAGGCAAGGATGAGGATGGGGGAGCCAGTTGGGTACACAGCCCTTCCTTCCCTGCCACAGAGGTCGAACAATCCTTCTTTTCTCCCCACACCAGCCAACTCGCTTGTCAGATGACCGTGGTCAGACCCATCTCTCTCTAGGCCTCGGTCTATGGAGGGGAAACTGAACTCAAAGATTTTCCTGAACTCTCTGGACCCTACATTCTTGAGTCTAAGTTAATCAGTGGTGGGTAGAACTGGGGACCCAAGACCCAGAACCCCCAGGGTCCCCTGCCTTCTTAGAGGTGTGGGACATCAGCCTGGATGATCTTGAGGAGGGCAGAAGAGGGAAGCTGGGGTTTGCTGTACTGGGAGACAGGGCCAGGGGAGCCATTATGAAGGAAGGTTTTTGGTTAAGTTCCTGGTGGATGTTGAGGGTGGATGAGAGTGAGGAGCAAGGAGCTGGGGGAGGCTAAACAAGGAGCCTGTCTTTAGCTTAGAGGGGAGGATGTCTGAGGAGACAGGGAATAATAGAACCTTTTGGGGGATATTTAAGGCCTGAGAGATCTAGTCTTATCTTGCTTTATAGAGTGATGTACTGAAACTGAACAACAGAAAGACTGGATTGAAGTAACTCAGCAGGTCAGAGACAAAGCTGTCTAAGACCAGATGTCCTGGTCTGAAGGTGAGGTCTTGGTGGGTAATGGGTCTTCCAAGGGCTGGGGAGAGGTTAGGGGCTTAGATTGAATGTAAGAAGGGAGGGGACCCACAGGGTCAAGGGCTTAGACAGAAGGGTGCTCAGGACCAAGGCCTGAGAGGGTCTCGAGGGCAGGAAAAGGAGTTGCTTAGGGCTGGTCAGGGAGACCTAGAGGTGGCAGGGCAAGAGAAAAGGACAGGGAGGGGATATAGGTGGGGCCCAGCTGACCCGCTTCTGGTTGTAGTTGACAGCCAGTCGCAGCCTCACCAGGTTGGGGATGCCTTCCTCAAAGGCCAGGCCCAGGCCTTCAGCCTCGGGCTCAGTCTCGCTGTCCTCGGCCAGGTCGTTGAGCACTGCAGTGACCTCACTCTGGTTCCAGCACATGCCCAGCAGCTGAAAGCCATAGTCCTGGCTCAGTGACTCCAGAGCAATGTACTCAGGCTGTAGAGAAGCAGGTCCGTGTATGCCTACCACCCTGTGGATCCAACCCCATTAAATCAGCCCACTCCTTCCTACCCACACGCCCACCAGTAGTGGGCCTGGGCCACCTCTGTCCTGCCCCTGCACCATCAGTTCCTATGTCTGGTGTCACTAGGGCATTGATTTCTTTTTCCTTTGCCACCTCACCCATCCTTCTTTGTTTTTTTGTTTTTTTTGAGACGGAGTCTCGCTCTGTCGCCCAGGCTGGAGTGCAGTGCTGCAATCTCAGCTCACTGCAAACTCCGCCTCCCGGGTTCAAGCCATTCTCCTTGCCTCAGCCTCCTGAGTAGCTGGGACTACAGGTGCCCGCCACATGCCCGGCTAATTTTTTTGTATTTTTAGTAGAGACGGGTTTTCACCATGTTAGCCAGGATGGTCTCAATCTCCTGACCTCATGATCCGCCCGCCTCGGCCTCCCAAAGTGCTGGGATCACAAGCGTGAGCCACCGCACCCGGCCTCATCCTTCCTGCTCTAATGAGATACCTCCTGGGTCACTTCGCTTATCTAGTGCTATTGCTACCTCATCACTAAGTCACTTCAACCCAAACCCTTCTGTCATTTTTTCTGTCTCTTTTCCTTCCCCTTCTAATCTGTTTCTTGTCCCACTTTTACTTCTACTCCTTACACCCTTCATGTGCTCATTTAATTAATTTATTGGAACACCTACCTTATATGAGAACCTGCGTTGGCAATTTTAGGAGATGCAGAAATGAATAAGGCAGTTCTTATTAATTATTATTATTATTATTATTTGAGACGAGTTTCACTCTTGTCACCCAGGCTGGAGTGCAATTGCGCGATCTTGGCTCACTGCAACCTCCGCCTCCTGGGTTCAAGCGATTCTCCTGCCTCAGCCTCCTGAGTAGGGGAGATTAAAGGTGTGCGCCACCATGCTCAGCTAATAATTTTTTTGTATTATTAGTATAGATGGGGTTTCACCATGTTGGCCAGGCTAGGCTAGTCTGGAACTCCTGACCTTAGGTGATCCACCTGCCTCAGCCTCCCAAAGTACTGGGATTATAGGCGTGAGCCACCGCGCCCGGCCACTTATTTATTATTTTTAAAAAATAGCTGGGCATGGTGGCTCATGCCTGTAATCCCAGCACTTTGGGAGGCTGAGGCGGGCAGATCACCTAAGGTCAGGAGTTCAAGACCAGCCTGGCTAACATGGTGAAACCTTGTCTCTACTAATAACACAAAAATTAGCTGGGCGTGGTGGCAGGCATGTAATCCCAGCTACTCGGGAGGCTGAGGCAGGACAATCGTTTGAACCCAGGAGGTAGAGGTTGCAGTGAGCTGAGATGGCGCCACTGCACTCTAGCCTGGGTAACAAGAGTGAAACTCTGTCTCCAAAAAATTAAAAAAATAAATAAATAGAGATGAGATTTTGCTATGTTGCCCAGGCTGGTCTCGAACTCCTGGCCTCCTCATCCTCCTGTCTCAGCCTCCCAAAGTGCTGGGGTTAGAGGCGTGAGTCACTGTGCCTGGCCTAAGGCGGTCCTTGGCTCCAATTTATCCATCCTATCCTGGGTTTTACTTGAGGCCCTCACCCTAGAGAGCATCCAGGGACAGCTTTCAGGAGGTGAGGTCTGAGTCCCAGCACTGTCCTCAGGTGGTATCACATTGGGCAAGGTACTTCCCCTTCCCAGGCCTCAGCTTCTCTGCTGTAAAGTGGGGATGATACTTCCTGCTATGCCTGTCTCTTAGGCTGCTGTGAGAACGGAGGGAAAGTCCTTTGGAAAGGACTGCCCTTTCCTGCTAGCTGTGCAGTGGGGGCTTTTCATTCTCCTATCCTTCCACCACCATCAGTCACAACTTCCTTAGCCCTCCATTTTAACATCCATGTTGGTTTCCCCACCTAATGGTCATCTTGGGGATGGGGATCGAGTCTAGCTTGACACACAGGAGCCGTCAGGGGATGAGGGATGGACAAACTGGACTGGCGGCATTCCAGGACCCTCACTAGTACCTGCCTCCAGGTTCTGCTTCGTGCATTCTCAGTCCTTCCTGCGCAGTGTCTCCCCTTCACTCATCACCGTGTATACTTCCTGAGAGCCTTTGCGTGGACTGCAGTCCTACCTCAAATACCCTCCCTGCTCCTCTTCACTTGTATGAAACCACCCACTTCTGTAGCTCAGCTTAATGCTACGTCTTCCAAGGAGTCCTCCCTGAACACAACAGCTATGGCTTTCCTGACCTGTTTTCTGGGCTTTGGAAGCCCTGTTAGCACCATTCACAGCGGCACCGAATGAAGACAAGCGTCCTGGAAGCACCTTGTCCCCTCTTTCTGCCTTCTCTCTGCTCTGATCATACGCTTGAGAGCCGCAACACACAATGCTCCGGGTGGGAACACCTAATAGGTATTCAGACGTAATGTATTCTACTGAACGTCATCTCTAAGTCTGTCCAGCTGTTTTTCTAGTTGTTTCTGTTCTCTCTCCTCCCTCAGAGACACTCAGGGCTCCCCTGGAGTGGGGGTTGTGCCTCCCGCATAAGACTAGGCCCCTCTGGAGTGGCTGTTCTCTGCCATTAGAATGAAATCCCCTCAGGGGGGATTCTGTGACTCCCCATCAAACTAGAGGTTTCCTGAGAACAGAGACCAGGCCTTGTCCTCTTTCTGTGGCTTCCAAGCTTTCCAGAACACTGACCACAGGCCCAACCATGCTCCGGTGGAAGAACAGACATGGGGCACCAGGGGAAGAGAGAAGTATGAGAAACCAACCTTAAATTCAGGCTCCTTGCGTGCAAGGCGCCTGAGCTCACGGCTAAGCTGGAAGGCAGCCAGCATGGCATCCTCACTGGCCAGTGAGAGGTGGGCCCTGCTGGCGATGCCAAGGTAGGTGTTGATGCGGGACAGAGAGAGTTTCAGCAGGTCATAGCGGCGGGCGTTGCTGCACTCGAGGCAGGCACAGGAGACCGGGTGGGGCCGGGCAATGGTGTGGCCCTGTTCCATGAGCAGCTGTGCTATCTCATACAGGTCCTTCTGGCAGGCCTGGGGGAGGGGAGTCACACCAGGTGCAAAGCGGGAGCCATCAATTGATGAGTCAAAGAAAGCCAGTGAGAAAGACCTGGTGTCTACTTTGCGACCCTTCTCCCGTTCCAGCCGGGCCGGCAGGCGACGCACCACTGCTGCTGGTTTGTGTCCACTGCCACTAGCAGGGCCTCATGGATCTGGCGGAAGTCAAACTTGACACTGGCCAACAGCACATCGGTGAGGGCCTCATGGCCCAGGCGGATGGCCAGGTTGAGTGCCTCCCTCCAGCAGCGGTCCTCAGCCTCTTCCACATTCCACAGGGGCCAGCCTGGCCCACTGCTCGCTTGTGGCCTCAACCTCTGACTCCAGCAGCTGCTGCACAAAGCCCAGTCGGCCCTCCTGGATGGCATCCAGGAGTGGAGGTGGGAAGCTGAGCTTCCTGTTCACGATCTCAGTCCAGTTAGGCTGTTGGCGGACGAAGGAGTGGAGAGGCTAGGACCCTGAGTTTCAACTCCCTTTGTTTTGGGGCCTCTTTCACCCTTCCATGTTCTAGCACTTAACCCTCTATATCCAGCCACCATTATATTCTTCCTTGTCCCAAACACACACTGGCAAATATTGTCTCATTCACCATTTTATTGTGTAGATTCTCAGGTTAGGAAAATTGACACTGTACAGTGGGGGCTTTCTATTCTTCCCCCACTGGGTAGAGACTGGGGGCCCCTTCCTCAGGTGGGTCTGACCGGGGGCCCCTTCCTCAGCTTGACTTCTACCCTCACAGGAGCCCCCCAACAGCAGAGCTACCTGTGGGTACCTTGAGCAAGGGTAGGTTAAAGCAGGGGTGGGCTGCCCTGGCAGCCTAACCCCACATACGGGTGCACAGGATCTGTTCCGACCCAGCTCCCCTCTTGTTGACTTCATCTCCCAGCTGCTCTTCCCTCTTAAAGTCCTAGAGCCTCTCCCACAGGCAGGCCCGGACATGTCCACACAGGAGGGTTTTGTGTGGGCTTTTGCCAAGCCCCTCCGCTCTGACCAGGGCCCCAGCAGGATCCCAACATACTCTTTCTTCACCAATCCTCCCGCTTTGCCCTCCCCTGCTTTGGGGGGCATTTCTCCCCCTTGGCACTGCCTCATCCCTCTCTTCTACCAGGCCCGGCCCCATCCTCACTGCTCTTCTCTTCTGGGCCCAAGCTCAGGGTTCCAAGGGCTCTTCTCCCACCTACATAGTGATGTCAGCCATCTGCTTGGCAGCTAGGATGCCCCTGCAGTGCCTCTGGGCCAATCTTTTCTTTTATTCATGGGTAGAAATGGGAGCAGAATGGGAGAAGGTAGGGGAGCAGGCTTCTTACCGTGATGGGGTCCATGGCTGTGCCCACCTATGCTGGCACCTGTGCTGACAGGAACCGAAGGACTGAACTCCTGCTCAGTCTTCTCCCTGACTGTGCCTAGCACCCTCTTTTCTATCTATTCAAAACTCTGACCTGGGCCCTCTCTTTGCAGGACCAGCTGCTCCCCCTCTGCTCTGTACCCTGGGGACCAGGGGAACCGGTGTTAGTGCCACACAGTGAAATCTTCTGGGAAAGGGAAGAGAAGACATATTTGCTCAAAGAAGGTGGGAACAGAATTTGGAATATCACAGCTTGAGGGAATCTTTGACACCTTCTGGTCCAATCACCTCCTTGTGTAGATAAGGAATGGGATATGCCCAAGGTTCCACAGTCAAGCCTAGTAACTACTCCTTAGTCATTAACCCATCTGGTCCCTATCATAGCTCTGTGAGCGGGAGGATGGGAGATTTTTTTCTCTCAGTTAATTCTGGATGCTAAAATAAATAACTTGCTTAGTGTCACACACATCACCATTACCTGATTATGCCCAGGACAGGAGCCCACAAAGGAGACTGAGAGCTCGGTTCATGGGTTGCTGGATGTCAGCCTCGTGCTCAAAATCCACACGCACATTCCCAGCACACCACAGGATTTTATCTGTCAGGCAGCGTTTGCTCTTCACTGGGCCTCGGTTTTCCTTTCAGGAAAATGGGCATGAGAATGTGCACCACTCACAGAGGGAAAGACATTCTGGATGGTGTCCCAAGGCCCAAAAGTTCCAAGGAGACTTCCAAGGGGGAAAAGAACAGAGCTGGCCTTAGGAGAATCAGGTGCCATGGTCACAGAAGCCTTGACAACTGGGAATGGGGATCAGGCTAGGCACAGAGGTGCCCTCAGGCAGAGTCCTGAGGGAATGAGTGGAGAGGAGGAGAGAGGGAGCTTTGGCCTCAGCGGCTCTTCTCAGCTGTCAAGCGATTCAGTCCCAGTCTGTCACAGAGGGTGGGGCAAAACCACAGGACCTCATGGCTCACGCCTGAGGGAAGTCCCCACATATGCTGGCATGCTCTTCTACTTCTCTTGCTGAGAACCGCAACTGGCAGATAGGGCACGGAACCCAGGAGACAGGGGGTGAACTTTCTGGGGAGGACACCCACAGTACAGACTGGGACGAAGATGATGATGAGGAGGGAGAAGCTGGGTGAGGTGGGGAGGTCTCTCCACAAGTGGCAGCATGCTGGGGAAGAATCTCAATCCTGAAGGAACCTATGGGGGAGAGAAGGAGGTAAACAAAACGGCCTGCTCCCAGGCAGGATGTCACCCCAAGAAGTCTGTATAAGCTGTGAAGACAAATAACACTGATACACAGCAGACAGTGAGAAGTGCTAAGTCCAAGGGAATCAGATAATCCTGCAGAAGCTCAGTTGCGGGAGATGATCTGGGCAGATAAGAGAACACTTGGCAAAGTAGAACCGTTTGAACAGAGACTGAAAGAGGAACCAGCATTTGGACACGTAGGAAAAAGTTACGAAGGAAATTCTAGGCCCTCTCCGATCGTGTTTTACATTGCTTGGTTTCATTCTTCTCCTGAGGGCAGGGCCCATGTCCCTTCCTCAGCTTAGCTGGCACACTGTGCTCAGTACACACTTGTCTTGAATTACACTTGACTAAAAATACAGTTCCACACCTGAGAGCTGCAGAGATGACAGAAGCCAGCACTCCAAATTCAAATGTTTCTTGGCAGTACCCCCAGATCTCCTATTCCTCCCTCAAGGAATGCCTAGTTGTCATACAACAACTCCCTGTGCCCAAGCATCTTACCTGCACAAATCGGGCACTGTCCACTATCCTGGCCACCACTGCTTTGGGCCTGGGGTCGGTGCTGTTTTTTTTTTGCCATGCTCTTGCTGTCTCCCTCCTGTTTGGCCAAGAATTAGAGTTGGATAAAGGCCTGTGAGAAAGAACAGTTAAAGACCAGCTATTAGTAAGAGGCCATAAGGGCTGAAGGAGCCTGAAATCAGAGCAAAAATAATGTAGAAGAGTTAACATAGACCTAGAAACCCTGGGTTGGGGTCCTGGTTTTCCCACCTGATATACCAGACTTGAGGGAAGACATTTAACCTTTGAACATCTGAGAACAGAGATTCTATTACTGCCCTTGGGTTATTATTTTTTAATTGAAATATAGTACACATACCATAAAACTCACTCTTTAAAAATATAAATTCAAGACCAGGCATGGTGGCTCACACCTGTAATCCCAGCACTCTGGGAGGCCGAGGCAGGCAGATCACCTGAGGTCAGGAGTTCGAGACCAGCCTGGCCAACATTTACCTGTCTCTACTAAAAATACAAAAATTAGTTGGGCGTGGTGGCGGGCACCTGTAATCCCAGCTACTCAAGAGGCTGAGGCAGGAGAATTGCTTGAATCCAGGAGGCAGAGGTTGCGGTGAGCTGAGATTGTGCCATTGCATTCCAGTTTGGGCAACAAGAGCAAAACTCCATCTCAAAAAACAAACAAACAAAAACCAAAAATTAGCTGGGTGTGGTGATGCGCACCTGTAGACCCAGCTTGGGAGGCTGCAGCAGGAGAACAGCTTGAACCTGGGAGGCTGAGGTTGCAGTGAGCCGAGATCATGCCACTGCACTCCAGAATGGGTGAAAAGCACAACTCCGTCTCAAAAAAAAAAAAAAAAAAAAAAAAAAAATATATATATATATATATATATACACACACACACACATACATATTCAATTGTTTCAATTGTTTATATATATATAAATTCAATTCAAAACCCTGTATTGACAGAGTTGTGTAATCACAACCATGTAATTCCAGAACATTTTCATTACCCCCAAAAGAAACCCCAAACCCAGGCTGGGCGCAGTGCCTCACGCCTGTAATCCCAGAATTTTGGGAGGCCAAGGCAGGTGGATCACCTGAGGTCAGGAGTTCAAGACCACCCCGGCCAACATGGCAAAACCCCATCTCTACTGAAAACACAAAAATTACCTGGGTGTGGTGGCATACACCTGTAGTCCCAGCTACTTGGGTGGCTGAGGCAGGAGAATGGCTTGAACCAGGAGGTGGAGGTTGCAGTGAGCCGAGATTGTGCCACTGCACTCCAGCCTGGGCGACAGAGCGTGACACCGTCTCAAAAAAAAAAAAAAGAAAAAGAAAAAGAAAAAGAAAAGAAACCCCAAACCAGACTCTGGCAACTGCTAATCTACTTTAGTGGTTTGGAATTGCCTATTCTGGACATGAAATCATACAATATATGGTCTTTTGTGACTGAATTCTTACACTTAGTATGGTTACAAGGTTCATCCATGTTGGAGCAGGTATTAGTACTATATTCCTTTTTGATGGCTGAGTAATATTCCACAGTATAGCTACACCACATTTTATTTATCAGCTGATAGACATTTGGGTTGTTTCAATTTTTTGGCTATTATGAATAATGCTGCTTTGAACATTTGCCCGTTAAGTTTTCGTGTGAACACCTGTTATCAATTCTTTGGACATAAACACCTAGGAGCTGAACTGCTAGGTCATATGGTAACTCTATATAAACATTTTGAGAAACTGCCAAACTGTTTTCCAATCAGTTGCACTATTTTACATTCCCACTGGCAATATGTATGAGAGTTCCAATTTCTCCATATCTTCGCCAACACTTGTTACTGTCCATCTTTTTTATTACAGCCATCCTAGTCAGTGTGAAATAATCATTGTGGCTTTTGATTGGCATTTCTCTGATGGCTAATGATGTTGAGCATCTTCTATGTGCTTAATAGCCATTTATATATCTTCTTTGGAGAAAATTCTATTCAGATTCTTTGTCCATTCTAAAAATTAGGATATCTTTCTATTGTTGACTTGTAAAGGTTCTTTATGTATTTTAGATAAAAGAGCCTTACTGAATATATGATATGCAAATACTTTCTTCCATATTCTATGGGTTGTCTTTTACTTTCTTGACAGTGTCCTTTGAAGCAGAAAAGATTTAGATTTTTTTTTTTTTTTTTTTTTTTTGAGACAGAGTTTCACTCTTGTTGCCCAGGCTGGAGTACAATGGCGCGATCTCGGCTCACTGCAACCTCCGCCTCCTGGGTTCAAGTGATTCTCCTGCCTCAGCCTCCCTAGTAGCTGGGATTACAGTCGTGTGCCGACACACTCAACTAATTTTTGTATTTTTAGTAGAGACAAGGTTTTGCCTTGTTGGCCAGGCTGGTCTTGAACTCCCGACCTCAGGTGATCCGCCCACCTCGGCCTTCCAAAGTACTGGGATTACAGGCGTGAGCCACTGCGCCCGGCCAAAGATTTAGATTTTGATGAAGCCCGTGAAATACAGCACACTCATCTTCAGATTCTGGTTCACTACAGGACTGCCTGTTTGCCTAGTTCCAAACCTGACAACATGTGGACAAGGATATCTTTTCTTCACTGCCCTTAGGTCTAGACCCACAGGTTAAACCCAGACACAAGGATACTCTCTGACCTTTAATGAAACAAGATTGGGGGGAAGGACAGCTGCAAAAGGGCAATAAGGTTTGGGGAGGTGATTTGGGTCTTTCATATTGATCTACTTACCTTTGGTGCTGCACTTTCCTTCTTTTCATCCTGCGTGCGTCATTCTCAGAGTTTTGCTCCTCTGCTCTGGGATCTGTATTAGAAATGCTCGTTAAATACAGCTCTTTAACAAAGCAGTCTTCACATATGATGTTCCTTCCTCTAAGAATATTCTTTCTACCCTCTTTGCCTGGAGGCAAAGAGTGTGCCTTTCTCACTCTTCAAGTCTTAGATGAAATGCTAATTCCTATGAGGCACTTTTCCTGGATTCTCTAATCTAAATCTAGTCCTCCAATTATACTTTTCCTTGACAGTACTCATCACAGTTTGAAGATTTAAATTTATCTGTGTGACACTGACATGTGTTTCTCCACTAGGGAAGGAGCATTGCTATTTATTACGGTATCCCTAGCACAGAGCCTGGCACAAACGATGTTTAATAAATATCTGTCAAACGAGTGATAATAAAAACCATCAACCTCCATTTGTCTGGTTATTCTGAATTTATGAAACACTTTGTACAGCATTTAATATATTTTAAAGTGCTTTCATAGCTCCAGGGCCCAGCCTATAGTAGGTGCCCAAAAATTATGAGTTCCCTTCTAGTCTCTTTTTCTTAAAATAATAAACTACGTCTTTTCTTATGTGGTAGACAGCTGAGGCCCAAAGAGATAAGGATTCCTGATTCCTAGGCCAGTGCTTTTTCAATTACTGTACAATATTTGATTTGTCTTCTGGTAACAAGACACCAACAATTATCTGTTCTACCACATGAAGTCCCACTTGTGAGCCATCCCTGCAGAGCAATGGTAGATTCAGGGAGGAAGGGCACTGCTAGGGACAGGAAGGAACAGGTCGTGTGAACTCACCTGCCCTGTCTGGATGACTGGAACCTGGTTCTGCATGGTTGTTCTTTGGGCTTGCCACACTGACTGGAGGCACCCTGTGGGCAGCAGAAAGCACCATGTGGGCTGAACGCCCCAGAGTCCCTGGCTGCAACTGTGTTAGGATATTCCTGAGCTCTGAAATTTCCTTGGTGTCCCTGCAGGGAAACAGAGAGTACTTGGTTCCACTTGAAATATAGATCTTATTCTGCTTACTCAAGTCAATGGCATCTAAGCAAGAAAGCTAGTTTAATATACAGATAGGGTTAGGCCTAGAGTACGTGATTAATTTGGTGAACACAGGCTGGTCTTGTGTGCTTGTCAGTGACTTGATAGCATTTCTTTTCCAGGAGAAAGATCTCAGAGGTGGCTGGGAGACTTCCACTCTGTCAGGTACATACGTACGGGGATGTGGGAAGAATGTCCTCCGGCTGGAAGGATTAGCTAGCCAGGGGCTAGGACCAGACTCCTCAGCATCAGAAGAACCCTGAGGAAAAACGATGGAGAGATATGAAATACCAAGATTCACCACCAGGGGACACTGCTACCTAGTGCCAGGGCCTACTCAAACTATCAAACTACTCTTAAATGACTGAACTTTTTGGGGACATTTATTTCATTATTTCCTTCTAAATATTATCTAATAATATTGTTAAGTTTTTAGTATGATTTATTTTGTGAACAGTTTTGTTAACTTACAACTAAAAACCTACCAGTTTTAGCCACAGTTTCTAGCCATCTACAAAGAGGTGTGTGTATATATATACATATAGATATCGTGCAGAGAGAGCATTAGCCACCATATCTAACTATCACAGGCATTTTATAACCTCCTTGCTCCAGAAATGTCTATGTGCAATAATCTCCCAAGATAATTTCTGCATAGAGATTTTATTTATATCGTAGTATGCTGGCTTCTTAATTCTTTGTCAAAATTCAATTTATCTGTGATTATACCCCTACTTTTTAAAAAAGAGATGGGGTCTCACCCTGGGTACAGCGATTTGTGGCTGTAATCTCAGCACTTTAGGAGGCCAAGGTGGGAGGATTGCTAGAGCCCAGGAGTTTGAGACCAGCCTGAGCAACATAGTGAGAACCTGTCTATACAAAAACAAAAAAATTAGCCAGGCGTGGTAGTGCATGTCTGTGGTCCTAGCTACTTGGGAGGCTGAGGTGCTGAGGTGGGAGGACTGCTTGGGCTTCAGAAGCCAAGGCTGCATGCAGTGAGCTGCGACTGCACCACTGCACTCCAGCCAGGTGACCAGAGTGAGACCCTGTCTCAAATAAAAAGAAGAAAAAAAAATGGGGTCTTGCCCTACCCAGGCTGGGATGCAGTGGCAGGATCATGGCTCACTGTAGCCTTGAACTCTGGGGCTCAAGCAATCCTCTCACCTCAGCCTCTTGAGCAGCTGGGACCATAGGCTCACACCACCATGCCCAGCTAATTAAAAACAATTTTTTGTAGAGACAAGTTCTCACTATGTTGCACGGGCTGGTCTCAAACTCTTGGGCTCAAGCGATTGTCCCTCCTCGGCCTCCCAAACCACTGAGATTACAGGCATGTGCCATTGCATTGCACCCGGCCCCTAATTTTTTTTTTTTTGAGACACAGTCACACTCTGCCATCTAGAATGGAGTGCAGTGGCATGATCTCAGCTCACTACAACCTCCGCCTCTCAGGTTCAAGCGATTCTCGTGCCTCAGCCTCCTGAGTAGCTAGGATTACAGGCGTGCACCACCACAGCCAACTAATTTTTGTATTTTTAGTAGAGACAGGGTTTTGCCATGTTGGCCAGACTGGTCTTGAACTCCTGGCCTCAAGTCATCTGCCTGCTTCAGCCTCCCAAAGTGCTGGGATTACAGGCATGAGCTACTGCACCTGGCCCCCTAATTCCTTTTTCCTTTTTTATTTATTGAAATTTCCTTTTTCCCCTTATCTTAAAAAATTTTTGTCTTTAATTTTCAACTCTGATTCTTCTATCACAGGTTATTTTAAAGGTAAATGTCTTTCTTGTAAAGCATAACTTTGGCTTCATTCTACAAGCTTGAGTAGTATTTTTATTCTCATTAACTCTTTAATATTTTCTAATTACCATTACAATCTTTTCTTGGACCTAGCAATAATCCTGAAATCTTTTCTTTAATTTTCCAGGTTTTTCATTTTTCTTTACCTTGTCTCATGAATGTTACAGTGAATGCTACTAGAAAGGGTAACTAGATAGGTGTGTAGAGATAGTTTATTTTAACCTTAACTCTAAGTGAGATTATCAGGAAATTAATTATTAGGAAATGATTCATTATTAGCTTCTGAGCAACGGTTAGTTGGAATCAAGTGGCCTAGGTTCAAATCCGCTCCAAGACTTATTTGGCAGTGTGACCTGGGTCACCCCACTAAATTTCTCTGTGCTTTTCTTACTAGAAAACTGGTGATCATAATAACCCCATTTCACAGAGTTAAAAGCCCTATGTTTTGCTTTCACTATAACATACCAATTAGAATGACTCATTAGAAAAAAAGTCTATGACGTTTTAGGCACCCTAAATTATAAAACTGAGTGCCATCCATCTGTAATCCCAGCTTACATGTACCATCTGTCTCTTGCTGAAATGTTGCAGGACATTCCTTCGCTACAGTTTCACAAAGTACCTGCATGTATGTTTCACCCTGCTGTTGATGTTCAATACCCTTCTGATAAGACTCTGCAGTTGCTGTCTCCCTTTGACCTCCATCCCACCATGGTCCTAGAAGTGCAGAGTAATGTAGATGGCCAAAATGGAAAAGAACTCTGAGAAACTTTTATTTATCCTAAAACTGGGGTGAACGTAGGTACCGGTTTGCCTGGAACAGTCTTATCTGTTGTCTCAGTACAATAATAATAATAATAATAATAATAATAATAATAATAATAATAATAATTTTTTGAGACAGGGCCTCACTCTGTCACTCAGGCTGGAGTGTAGTGGTATGATCACGGCTCACTGCAACCTCGATCTCCTGGGCTCAAGTGATCCTCCTACCTCAGCCTCCTAAGTATCTAGGATGACAGGCACGGGCCACCATGCCTGGATAATTTTTTTTTTTTTCTTCAGACAGGATCTAGCTCTAGGCTGGAGTGCAATGGCACAATCACAGCTCACTGAAGCCTTGAACTCCCAGGCTCAAGTGATTCTATCACCTCAGCCTCCTGAGTAGCTGGGACTACGGGCGTACACCACTGTGCCTAATTTGTTATTTTTTGTAGAGATGGGGTTTTGCCATGTTGCCCAGTCTGGTCTCAAACTCCTGGGCTCAAGCGATCCATTCACCTTGGCCTCCCAAAGTGTTGGGATTACAGGCATGAGTTACTGCACCTAATTTTTAAATGTTTTGTAGAGGCTGGGTGTAGTGGTACACGCCTGTAATCCCAGCACATTGGGAGGCTGAGACAAGAGGACTGCTTGAGCCCAGGAGTTTGAGACCAGCCTGGGCAACATAGTGAGACCTTGGTCTCTATAAAAAACAGAGGTGGGAGGTTGCAGTGAGCCGAGATTGTGCCACTGTGCTCTAGCCTGGGCGACAGAGCGAGACTTTGTCTAAAAAAAAAAAAAAATTATTTGGGTCTGGTAGTATGCACTTGTAGTTCCAGCTACTGAGAGCTTGAGGCGGGAGGATCGTTTGAACCCAGGAGGTAGAGGTTGTAGTGAGTGATCACACCACTGCACTCCAGCCTGGATGACAGAGCAAGCCCTTGTCTCATAAATAAATAAATAATAAATAATAAAGTTTTTGGCTGGGCACGGTGGCTCATGCCTGTAATCCCAGCACTTTGGGAGGCCGAGGTGGGAAGATCACGAGGTCAGGAGATCAAGACCATCCTGGCTAACACGGTGAAACCCTGCCTCTACTAAAAATACAAAAAATTAGCCGGGCGTGGCGGCGTGCGCCTGTAGTCCCAGCTGCTGGGGAGGCTGATGCAGGAGAATGGCGTGAACCCGGAAAGAGGAGCTTGCAGTGAGCCGAGATCGCGCCACTGCACTCCAGCCTGGGCGACAGAGTGAGACGCTATGTAAAAAAAAAAAAAAAAAAAAAAAAAAAAAAAAAAAAGAATAATAATAGTAATAATAAATTTTTTGTGGAGACAGCATCTCGCTATGTTGCCCAGGCTGGTCCTGAATTTCTGGACTCAAATGATCCTCCCACTTTGGTCTCTGCAAGTGCTAGAATTAAAGGCATGAGCCACTGTGCCCGGCCTTAGTGTAATTATTAATAGCACTCTCCTTTGCCCTTAAAGTGTCCTGTTTTGGATGATAAGTTTTATGGTGGCTCTATCTACAACTCCCCTTTGAAAGGTCACTTATATAATGAACATTTACACTAAAAGGCTACTTTGCTCTGGGCAATGTTCTAGGTGCCAGGAATGCATTACAGAACGAGACAGACAGGTTCCTAATCTCACGGAGCTTCATTTTATAGACTGGGCAGGATCACAGAGATCGAGCTCCAGTCAGGTCAGCTCCTAGCACTGCCACAGTGGAACCTGGCACACTGGAACGTGGCACTGCCACAGTGGAACCTGGCACACTGGAACCTGGCACTGCCACAGTGGAACCTGGCACACTGGAACCTGGCACTGCCACAGTGGAACCTGGTAGGGCACACTGAACTGGCACCATCGGCCTTTTTACATTTTTTAGCCCTTTCCACAATGGAAGAATAGTCTCAGACCAAACTTGACTTTGTCTTAACTCTCTGGATCTCTCCTAAAACTGCACGACAAAAGGATCTACTCTTGTTCTTTCTGTTCTAACTTCATTTTCTCTTCCCAATGCTGCCTCTCTTTCCTCAGGAATCTCAAAAGGAGTGACTCTTGTGAAGTTCGCTCATGTGAACTGAGATTCTTTCAGTTTGAAACTTCTAAGAAATGTATAGTGTGCGCAAGAGGCAGAGTGTGTAGTGTAGGCAGAGTGTAGGGACAGGAGACCTAGTCCTTATGCTGTTCTGATTTGCTGTATGACTTTGAACATATAAAAGTTTTCCTATCTGAGATGGAAAATGAGATGGTGGGGGCTGGATGATCTCTAAAATTCCATGACTCTAGCTTTGTATGATAAAACACTCATTTTTTTATGAATGAAATACGATGGAGGGTGCTGGCTTAGAAAGATAAACAAGTGTAACAAGAAAGCAAGAAGAGAGGAGTCAGAATAGGCTTAAGAAAAAAACTAGAAGCCTGGTTGAGCAAATCGAAGTAAATTGATATAACCTCAGGGCTAGAAATCCATATATCTTATCTTAGGTGTACAGGCATACTTCATTTTATTGTGCTTCATAGATACTGTGTGCTTAAAAAAAAAGGAAGGTTTGTGACAACACTGCAAGTCTATCAGCACCATTTTGCCAACAGTATGTGCTCACTTCGGGTTGCTGCGTCACATTTTGGTAATTCTCACATTTCAAACCTTCTCATTATTATTGCATCTGTTACGGTGATCTGTGATCAGTGATCTTTAATGTTACTATTGTAACTGTTTTGGGGGTGCCACGAATTGTGCTCACATAAGATGGTAAACTTTTTTTGTTTTTGAGACAGACTATCGCTCTGTCACCCGGGCAGGAATGCAGCTGCACTAATCATAGCTCACTGCAGCCTCAAACTCCTGGGCTCAGGCAATCCTCCTGCCTCAGTCCCAAGTAGCTGGGACTACAGATGTGTGCCACCATGCCTGTTTAATTTTTTTTTTTTTTTTTCTAGAGACAAGGTCTTTTTTTTAGACACCTGACCTCAAGTGATTCTCCCATCTCAGCCTTACAGGTATGAGACACAGTGCCTAACCTAAGACGGCAAACTTAATTGATAAATGTTGTATGTGTGCTCTACTGACTGGTCATTCCCCTGTCTCTCTCCCTCTCTTCAGGCTTCTCGACTCCCTGAGATACAACAGCATCGAAATTAGACCATTTAATAACCCTACAATGGCCTCTAAGTATTCAAATGAAGTGAAGAGTGACATATCACTCACTTTGTGGTTGCAGGGAGCAGGGTGATGAAAGGTCTGTCTGGGGCCAGGAAGAATGGCCCACATCAATCTGCAGGAAAGCACAGCCACAGAGAGAAGGACAAGAGGGATGAGACGACTACTTTAGTAAGAAAGGCTTGGCAAAGGCTAAGGCAGGCTGAAAGCTAGGCCTCCTGTGGCAAATAGTTAGCCAAGTGGTAAATGCAGAGAAAAAATTCTTTTTTTTTTTTGAGACAGGGTCTCACTGTCACCCAGGCTGGGGTACAGTGGTGCAATCTCAGCTCACTGAAACCTCCACCTCCCAGGCTCAAGTGATCCTCCCACCTTGGCCTCCCAAGTAGCTGGGACTACAGGCACGTGCCACCACACCCAGATAATTTTATTTTTATTTTTTATTTTTTAATTTTTTTGAGACGGAGTCTTGCACTGTTGCCTAGGCTGGAGTGCAGTGGCACGATCTCGGCTCACTGCAAGCTCCGCCTCCTGGGTTCATACCATTCTCCTGCCTCAGCCTCCCAAGTAGCTGTGACTACAGGTGCCCGCCACCACGCCCGGCTAATTTTTTATACTTTTAGTAGAGACGGGGTTTCACCATGTCAGCCAGGATGGTCTCAATCTCCTGACCTCATGATCCACCCACCTTGGCCTCCCAAAGTGCTGGGATTACAGGTGTGAGCCACTGTGCCTGGCCAATTTTTTTTTTTTTTTTTGAGACAGAGTCTTGCTCTGTCACCCAAGTTGGAGTGCGGTGGTGCGATCTTGGCTCACTGCAACCTCTGCCTCCCGGGTTCAAGCAATTCTCCTGCCTCAGCCTCAGTACAGATTGCACCACTGTACTCCAGCCTGGGTGACAGTGAGACCCTGTCTCAAAGAAAAAAGAAATTTTTCTTTGCATTTACCACTTGGCTGTTTGCCATAGGAGACCTAGCTTTCAGCCTACCTTAGCCTTTGCCATGCCTTTCTAACTAAAAAGTAGAAAGTAAAGTAGCTGGGACAACAGGTGCATGCTGCCAAACTCAGCTAATTTTTCATATTTTAGTAGAGACAGGGTTTCACCATATTGCCCAGACTGATCTCGAACTCCTGAGCTCAGGCAATCCGCCTGCCTCGGCCTCCCAAAGTGCTAGGATTACAGGCATGAGCCACCGGGCCCGGCCAATTTTTGTATTTTATGTAGAGATGGGGTTTTTGCCATATTGCCCAGGCTAGTCTTGAACTCCTGAGCTCAAGGGATCACCTGCCTTGGCCTCACACAGTGCTAGGATTACAGGCGTGAGCCACCGCATCCAGCTGAAAAATTATTGAATAAAATTAAAAGTGCTACTCTAGTGAACACATGAATGATAAGAAAGCAAAACAGCCTTATTGCTGACATGGAGAAAGTTTTAACAGTATGGATAGATCAAATCAGCCATGATACACACTTATCCAAAGCCTAACCCAGAGCAAGGCCCTAACCCTCTTCAATTTTATGAAGGCTGAGAGAGGTGAAGAAGCTGCAGAAGAGAAGTCTGAAACTAGCAGAGGTTGGTTCATGAAGTTTCAGGAAAAAAATCCATCTTCTTAACATTAAAGTACAAGAAGCAGCCGCAAGTACTGATGGAGAAGCTACAGCAGGTTACCCAGAAGATCTAGCTAAGATCATTGATGAAGGTGGCTACACTAACAACAGATTTTCAATGTAGATGAAACTGCCTTCTATTGAAAGAAGATGCCGGGCAGGCACGGTGGCTCATGCCTGTAGCGGGGTGTACTCCCCCTGCGATATTGGGAGTAATGTCGTCCTCCCCAAACCTGGATGTTAGCGACGAGATCACAGAAAGGGTGTACACACCCTGCGACATTGGAAGTAATATGATCCTCTCCCCACCTGGATACTGGGAAAGATACCACAGCACGGGTATACGTTTCCTACGCTGTTGGGAGTAATATCATTCTCTTCCTTTCTGGATATTAGGGAGACTATCCCAGGGGTGCTGTACAATTACCTCGACATTGGGAGAAACATCATCCTCTATTTTCCTGGATATTGGGCACAAAAACACAAAAGGGTGTACAACCCCTGCGATATTGGGAGTAATAGCATACTCTCCTTCCCTGGATGTTAGAAAACAATATCATAAGGGCTGAACACCCCCCGCGATAATGGGAGTCATGTTTACTCTTTCACAGGCCATTTGGAACAATATCACAGGGGTGTTTACAAACAGGGGTGGTGTACACCTCCTGTGATATTGGGAGTAACATCATTCTCTCCACCTCCGGATATTAAGAACAATATCGGGGCGGGAGGTGGTACACCCCCAGTGATATTGTGAATAATGTCATCCTCTCCTTCCCTGGATATTAGGAACAATATCACAGGGGGGTGTACACCTTCTGTGATATGGGAAGCAATATCATCCTCTCCCCCGCTGGATATTAGAAAAAAATATCACTCACGGTGTACACCCACTGTGATATGAGGAGTAATATCTTCCTAGGGTATTACGAATAATTTCACAGTCTGTACACACATGGTGTACACTCACTGTGATATTAGGAGTAATATCTACCTAGTAGATAACAAATAACATCGCAGTGTGTACACCCACTTTGATATTACCTGTAATATTTTTCTAAGTTGTTACAAATAAGATCACAGAGTGTACAAACATGGTGTACACTCACTGTGATATCAGGAGTCGTATCTCTGTAATATATTATGAATAATATCACAGGGTGTACGCCCACTGTATTATTAGGAGTAATATCTCTGTAGGATATTACAATTAAGATCACAGGGTGTAGAGCGACCGTGATATTAGGAGCAATATCTTTCTAGGATATTACAAATAATATCACAGGGTGTACGCCCACTCTGCTGTCAGGAGCAATATCTCCCTAGGATATCAAAAATCCTATCACAGGGTGTCCAATGTCTGCCTTCCAGGTTCTAAGGGATTCTCCTGCTTCAGCCTCCCGAGTAGCTAGGGTTAGCCGCCACCATGCCCGGCTAATGTTTTTTTATTTTCACTGGAGACGGGGTTTCACCACGTTGGCCAGGCTGTTCTGGAACTCCTGACCTCAGGTGATCCATCAGCCTCGGCCGCCCAAAGTGCTGGGATTACAGGTGTGAGCCATGGTGCTGGGCCAAGAGTTATAGATTCAATTCATTTGGAAACACAGCTCCCATTTTTGAGTGTGCATGTACTTTTATGAAGAAATGATGTCAGAAAACCGAAGGATGATAATAAATATGAAAAATAACAGGCATGTGAAAAGGTCTTCCGATTGAGAACTATAAGGTTTGATTTCGTTTTCAGATAATGGGGTCCTAGCTCTTGTGTTGTCCTTTTACATGTTCTACATCAATGGAAGTTGTAGCACCGTGTCAGAATAAAGTAGAGTGTATTTCACGGCTTCTTAATTTCTTTCAGTTAGACTGAGATCTTTTTCTTAAAGAGAGAAGGACATTGTCATTGCATTGTATTTTTTCTGAAAAGAGTAGGCCGTATTTTACTGAGATCACGGATTTGTTATATATGACGTTTTGGTCTTCTAATATTCTTCAGTGGATTTTCTCTAAAGTAGTATGTACAGAAAGCCTTGTATAGCAAAAAAGTAAATCACGTAATAATTCTGAGATTTTTGGAATTGTCATAACTGAGAAACATTGCTGGCGGTGTATGGTCCACAAGTGTGAAGATGTTCCTTGTGAATTGCTTGCATCCAGCATTAAGGGCTGGTTTTTATCTTTTATTTTTCCAATCCTCTTTCCTTCTCAAGGTGTCCAAGACACACAGAGCCATGGAATCTCACAGATGTCTGAGAATTCCTCCTCCTGGGACTCTCAGAGGATCCAGAACTGCAGCCGGTCCTCGCTTTGCTCTCCCTGTCCCTGTCCATGTGTCTGGTCATGGTGCTGAGGAACCTGCTCAGCATCCTGGCTGTCAGCTCTGTCTCTCCCCTCCACACCCCCGTGTACTTCTTCCTCTCTAAACTGTGCTGGGCTGACATCGGTTTCACCTTGGCCACGGTTCCCAAGATGGTTGTGGACATGCAGTCGCATAGCAGAGTCATCTCTCATGCGGGCTGTCTGACGCAGATGTCTTTCTTCATCCTTTTTGCATGTATAGAAGGCATGCTCCTGACAGTGATGGCCTATGACTGCTTTGTAGCCATCTGTCGCCCTCTGCACTACCCAGTCATCGTGAATCCTCACCTCTGTGTCTCCTTCCTTTTGGTGTCCTTTTTCCTTAGCATGTTGGATTCCCAGCTGCACAGTTGAATTGTGTTACAATTCACAATCATCAAGAATGTGGAAATCTCTAATTTTGTCTGTGACCCCTCTCAACTTCTCAAACTTGCCTGTTCTGACAGCGTCATCAATAGCATATTCATATATTTCAATAGTACTATGTTTGGTTTTCTTCCCATTTCAGGGATCCTATGGTCTTACTGTAAAATCGTCCCCTCCATTCTAAGGATTTCATCATCAGATGGGAAGTATAAAGCCTTCTCCACATGTGGCTCTCACCTAGCAGTTGTTTGCTGATTTTATAGAACAGGCATTGGCATGTACCTGACTTCAGCTGTGTCACCACCCCCCAGGAATGGTGTGGTGGCGTCAGCGATGTTCTCTGTGGTCACCCCCATGCTGAACCTTTTCATCTACAGCCTGAGAAACAGGGACATACAAAGTGCCCTGCGGAGGCTGCTCAGCAGAACAGTCGAATCTTATGATCTGTTCCATCCTTTTTCTTGTGTGGGTGAGAAAGGGCAACCACATTAAATCTCTACATCTGCAAATCCTGCCCCTTAGTCACATTATTTTTGTGGCTTGATGGCTTTTATTCCTTTCCACTTTTCCTTTGTGAATATTGCTTTCTTCGTTATGCCTTTCACTGGAATGGGTGAGGATTCTGGGATCCTTTATTTAGCAGAAACCTCATGACAGGATCCTCTATACCTAGGCGGCTTCTTTTAGTTTCTGAGCAATAACCCTGTCATCCAGGTGGAATCACAACCATCTTTTTATATACACGAAGTCCTCACTTCGTTTTGGAATTCCCTGAAAACTGACTTTATGGAAACAATGTACAGGAGGTCCTCCAACACCATTGGTTGTTCAAAGTTGTGTAGTTATACTGTTGATGAAAAATAAGTGGTTTCACTATACATGATTTTGCTTCAAGGTGAAGTTTCCAAGAGACTTTCAAAGATGTTAAGTGAGGACATACTGTACATCAAATTCATATCCTCTTCCAGAGTTCATGTGGAATTTCTTTATAAACTGCTTCTAGAGAATCCATTTAGGCAGGTTATGTATAGAGATCCATGTTGCCGTTCCTCAATCTTGGTTTTGAGTCAAATCACCTGGGGAGCTTACAAATGATGAGGCCTGGGTCTCAATACCTGAGATTCTGGTTTCCTTGCACCTGTGTGAGTATGTGGATTTTTTTTTTTTTTTTTTCTTTTAAAGCACCAGAGGTGGTTCCAATGACGAAGTTTTTAGGGGCATCAAGCTCCAATGAGTAAGAACAGAAATTAATTGTAATATTTCTTCAAATATTATCTTCAAATGCATTGTCCATCAACACCATACAAATGTTTATTATGCTGTTTTTTCTTAACATTTCGCATTTTCTATTTCTTTCTTTTCCTTTTTTTTTTTTTTGAGTCAGAGTTTCACTCTTGTTTCCCAGGCTGGAGTTCAATGGCACGGTCTCGGCTCACTGCAACCTCTGCTTCCCATATTCAAGCAATTCTCCTGTCTCAGCCTTCCAATTACCTGGGATTACAGGCATGCGCTACCATGCCTGAATAATTTTTTTTTTTTTTTGTATTGTTAATAGAGACAGTGTTTCTCCATTTTGGTCAGGCTGGTCTTGAACTCCCGACCTCAGGTGATCCACCGCTTCCGCCCCCCAAAGTGCTGGGATTACAGGCTTGAGCGACCGCGCCCAGCCACCACTTAGCATTTACATTTTACATTTGTTGAAGTTATAGATTTATACACACATTGATTGCTGCTTTGTTATACACTTGCATATACATACGATGGGAAATAGAAAAGAATAAAATGGGCACAGTATCCCTGAAGTTTCACATTCTGAGACATTTTTAAAATATTTGCTCTTCAGAAATTTGTTTCAATGAAGAAACTGTGGTATACACACCCAGTGAAGTATTATTCAGCCTAAAAAGGAAGAAATTCCTCTCCGTTGCAGACAAAATTGATGAGATTGCAGGTCTGTATATTAAATGAAATAAGCCAGGCACAGAATGACAAATATTTCATGTCCTCGCTTCTATGTAGGAAGAAAAAAGGAAACCTTGGCCAGGTGTGGTGGCTCAGGCCTGTAATCCCAACACTCTGGGAGGCCGAGTCGCATGGATCACTTGAGTCCAGGAGTTCAAGATCCGCCTGGCCAACATGGTGAAACCCCGTCTCTACGGAAAACACAAACAATGAGCCGCGCGTGGTGACGCGTGCCTGTAGTCTCAGCTACTTGGAGGGCTGAGGCCCAAGAAGCGCTTGAACTCGGGAGGCGGAGCTTGCAGTGAGCCCGGACTGTGCCTGTGTACTCCAACCTGGGCAACAGAAAGAGACTCCATCACACACCTACACACAAAAGGAATCTCAGGAAGGTGGAAAGTATAAAGGTGATCAGCAGACGCTAGGAAGAAAAGGGTTGGGATAGGTAATGAAGACAAGTGGATAATTGGGTCCCAAAATACAGAAAGATGGAATAAGTGAGTTCTAGTGTTTGATAGTACAGTATGAAAATTTTAGTTCACAAGAATTGCTTGCATATTTCCAGAGGCTTTGGTAAGAAGCTTCCTAACTTTCTCATTGTGCTGGTTTTTAAGCTCTTCTCTTTCTGCTCTTGAAATCATGCTGGTTTTTGTTTTTTGTTTTGAGATGGAGTTTCACTCTTGTTGCCCAGGCTGGAGTGTCATGGTGCAATCTTGGCTCACCGCAACCTCTGCCTCCTGGGTTCAAGCGATTCTCCTGCCTCCACCTCCCGAGTAGCTGGGATTACAGGCATGCGCCAGCACGCCCAGCTAATGTTGTATTTCTAGTAGAGACGGGGGTTCCTCCCTGTCGGTCAGGCTGGTCTTCCACTCCTGACCTCAGGTGATCTGCCCGCCTCGGCCTCCCAAAGTGCTGGGATTAAAGGCGTGAGCGACCGCGCCCGGCCCATGCTGTATCTTTATCTGTTGTCAGTTGTTGTTTGTTTGTTTTGGAGCCCAGAAATAACTTCTCACCTATATGTTCAAATGATTTTTCACATGAGTGCTAAGAAAGCTCATTGGTGGAAAAGAAGCCTTTTCAAGAAATGGTGTTGGAGAAACTTGATTTCCACATGCAGAAGAATGAAGGTGGACCCTATGTCACACTAGGTGCAAAAATTAACACAAACTGGATCAAAGACCTCACCCCAAGCGCTAAAAGTATCGTACGCCTAAAAGAAAACATTGGCCACACTTTCATGACATCAGATTGGACAATGTTCTCTGGGATATGACACCAAAAGCATAGGCAACAAAAGAAAATTAGATTCCTTGGATTACATCTAAATGACAGACACTTTTGTGCAGCAAAAAACACTGTGAACTGAGTGAAAAGATAACCCATGGATTAGGAAAAATATTTGCAAAGCATATATCTGAAAAGAGGCTGATATCCATCATATATAAAGAACAGCTAGAACTAAACAACAAGAAACCCAAAGCATCCCATCAACAATGGTCAGAAGACTCGAGCAGATGTGTTCCTAAAGAAGATATCGCAATGGCCAATAAGCATATAAAATGATGTTCAAAATCACTCATCATAGGGAAGTGCAAATCAAACCAAGAATGTGATACCACACATTAGGATGGATATGATAAACAAACAAGCATTGGTGAGACTAGAGGGAAGTAGGAATGCTCGAATATGATCGGAGGGAATGTAAAACCATGAAGGAACGGGGAAAATAGTATGGCGTGTACTGGAAAAATTAGAAACAGAATGATCAGATATTCCCGCAGTTTCATTTGTGGGTACCTACCAAAAAGAATTAGAAGCCAGGAGTGGAAGACAAATTTGTGTACACCCATATTCATAGCAGCATTATTCACAACAGCCAAAATGTGGAAGCAACCCAAGGGTTCGTGGACAGATGAATTGAAAAGCACACTGCAGTTCCTTCATACAATGGAAGACTATTCAGCCTTCAAAAGGCAGGCACTTCTGGCCGGTGCGGTGGCTCATGCCTGTAATCGCAGCGTCTTGGAAGACCGAGGTGGGCGGATCACCTGAGGTCAGGAATTCAAGACCAGCCTGGCCATCTTGGTGAAACCCTGTCTCTACTGAAAATGCAAAAAATGAGACGAGCGTGCTGGCGTGTACCTATAGTCCCAAGTACTCGGGAGGCTGAGGCACAAGAATCGCTGGAACCTGGGAAGCGGAGGTTGCAGTGAGCCCAGATTGTGCCACTGCACTCCAGCCTGTGCGACAGAGTGAGACTCCATGGAAACACAAAACAAAACAAAGTCAAACGAACAAACAAATAAAAAACAAACAAACAAAAAAAACAGAGAGGCACTTCTGACGCAGGCCGCAACATGGATGAACCTTGCAAACATTATCGTCAGTGAAATAAATGAATCCCAAAAGGATAAACAAGCCCAGGCTCAGTGGCTCGCACCTGTAACCCCAGCACTTTGGGAGGCTGAGCCAGGCGGATCACTTAAGGTCAGGAGTTCGAGACCAGCCTGGCCAATATGGTCTCTATTTAAAATATAAAAATTAGCTGGGCTTGGTGGCGCACGCCTGTAATCCCAGCTACTCCGGAGACTGAGACAGATGAATCGCTTGAACCCATGATGTGGAGGTTGCAGTGAGCCGAGATCACGCCACTGCACTCCAGCCAGGGTGACAGAGAAAGACTCTGTCTCCAAAACAAGAAAATTAAACACGGCATGATTCCACTTATCTATCAGGTTTCCAGAGTAGTTAAACTCATAGAGTTGCAAACTAGAAAGGTGGCCCCCAGGGGCGGGCGAGAGAGAGGAGTGGAGAGCTTGGTGAATGGGTGCAATTTCCATTTTGAAAGATAAAACTGTTCCGGAGATGATGGCGGTGATGGTTGCTAAACAATGTGAACGTACTTAATGTCATGAAACTGTAAACTGAAAAAGTGTGGAAACTGTAAATGTTTATACTGGCCATTCTATGTGAACTAATATATATTTATAATTTTTCATATTTATACGTGGTATATTTTCCCATAATAAAAGATGAAAATTAAAGCAGTTGGATCTTTAAAAAGCAAAGAAAGAAGCGAATAATACACACCAGCTTTCTCCTGATTAGAGGAAGAGCCCCAAAGCTTCTATGGACACTCACTTTTCTCTTCTTCTTCTTGAATTTTTATAAGGAAATCCTTAGAGGTTGGGGAACTTGGGTGACTTTGGCTAATGAGGAGCTGTGTGCCTTGAGCCCCCAGGCCACAGAATAGTAAATAGTCAATCTGTGCCTCCAGCCCTGCAGTGTGAGGTTCCAGTCCTGTGGGCTCCAGAGACATCACCTGTATCAGGAGGCTCATGTCTTACCCTGTCTTCTTGCCAGCCTCGAGGACGGAGTCTGAGCCTCCATGGTGCACCACGCAGGGAGGACAGTGGACCTGTTCTCCGTGGTCATGACCCAGCAGAGGGGAAGGGCAGTTCAGTGAGTGTAGGCAAAAGAAAGAGGGATCAGACTCTTACTGTGTCTATGTAGAAAGGAAAGACATAAGAGACTCCATTTTGAAAAAGGCCTGTACTTTCAACAATTTCTTTGCTGAGATGTTGTTAATCTGTAGCTTTGCCCGTCACTTTGAACAAACCACTTTGACCCAAGCTGAAGCTCACAAAAGCTTGTGTTGTATGAAATCAAGGTTTAAGGGATCTAGGGCTGTGCAGGATGTGCCTTGTTAACAAGGTGTTTCCAAGCAGTATACTTGGTAAAAGTCATCGCCATTCTCTATTCTTAATCAACCAGGGGCACAATACACTGTGGAAAGCCTCAGGGAGCTCTGCCCTTGAAAGCGCCATATTGTCCAAGGTTTCTCCCCATGTGATAGTCTGAAAAGTGGCCTCGTGGGAGGAGAAAGACCTGACCGTCCCCGAGCTGGACACCAGCAAAGGGTCTGGCTGAGGTGGATTAGTCAAAGAGGAAAGCCTCTTGCAGTTGAGAGAGAGGAAGGCCACTGTCTCCTGCCTGCCCCTGGGAACTGAATGTCTCGGTATAAAACCCGATTGTACATTTGTTCAATTCTGAGATGGCGGAAAAACCGCCCTATGGTGGGAGGTGAGACATGTTTGCAGCAATGCTGCCTTGTTATTCTTTACTCCACTGAGATGTTTGGGTGGAGAGAAACATCAATCTGGCTGATGTGCATGTCCAGTCATAGTACCTTCCCTTGGACTTCCTTATGACTTAGATTGTATTGCTCACACGTTCATTGCTGACCTTCTCCTTATTATCTCTCTGCCCTCCTACTACATTCCTTTTTGCTAAAATAATAAAAATAATAATCAATAAAAACTGAGGGAACTCAGAGGCCTGTGCTGGTTCAGATCCTTGGTATGCTGAGTGCCGGTCCCCTAGGCCCACTGTTGTTTCTCCATACTTTGTCTCTGTGTCTTATTTCTTTTCTCAGTCTCTCATCCCACCTGACTAGAAATACCCACAGGTGTGGAGGGGCAGGCCACCCCTTCAAGTGAGTGCTGAGGGACGGTCTGGAGCCTTGTTTGTTTCCTCCTCCTCAGGACAAACAGGAGAATGCGCTGGGCAGATGTGAGGAGACCAATATGCAAACTCTGTGCTCAGCAGACTGTGGAGTTTCTGTTCTTGGTTGTGCTGGGGGTCTCAGAAATCTTATTCAAAATTTTTCTTTCCTCCCCCACTGGTTGTCCTTTTCATAGACATCTCACCCATGATAGCAGGGAATGAGTCCCTCTAAACTATTCCCTAAGAACAACAAAGAGATTATGAAGGTGATGATGAGGATAAAGAGGATGACGACAGACACCATGGCATCATGAACCCTTACTGAGGGCTTCCTAAAGGACAGGCTCTGAGCTCTGTTCTCTATGCAGCTTGTTTCATTTCATCTGCATAGTCTCCACATTATTAGTGCACATTTCATGATGATTTTACAGACTAGAAAAGGCGCAATGGGTTTTCATGTAGCTTGTACCAGATCACGAAGTCAAAGAGGGTGAAGTCCAATTTGAACCAGGCAGTCTAAGTCCAGACACATGGCATTTGGCCAGTCCTCTTCCTGCATCCAACCTGCCCTCTCAAATCCTCGTCACTCAGGCCGATGCCCCTGCTCACTGTGCCCTTCCCTTTGGGGGTTCCTTGTAGACCACAGCTAGACCAGTGGGTGCCACAATCACTGTGTCATGTATAGAAAGGGCAGCTGAGATCACATCGAGGATTCCAGAAAGAGTTGGCAAAGGATCATTCGGGACGCATCTCTCCCTTGCCCCTGTTCCTGGCTTTCGTTACAGCTCTCGACTTCCTGAAAGGAGTCATCAATTCGGAGTTTGGCTTCCATTCCTATTGAGGAAGCTGGAAAGTGTTTCAAAAATGCTCCTCCGATGTGCCTGTGGTTAAGACCTCTGAGCTCTGCTTAAAACTTTTGGAAGCTGGGCGCGGTGGCTCACGCCTGTAATCCCAGCCCTTTGGGAGGCTGAGGCAGGCGAATCACAAGGTCAGGAGTTCGAGACCAGCCTGGCCAACATGATGAAACCCTGTCTCTACTAAAAATACAAAAAAAAAAAAAAAAAAAATTAGCCAGGCATGGTGGCGTATGCCTGTAATCCCAGCTACTGGGGAGGCTGAGGCAGGAGACTCCTTTGAAGCCGGGAGACAGAGGTTGCAGTGAACCGAGATCACGCCACTGCACTCCAGCCTGGGCAACAGAGCAAGACTCTGTCTTAAAAATATAAATAAATAAAAATTACGAAAAAATGTGCTTGGATGGGCTTTGCAAACTTTAGCCATTAGCTCACGTACCACTTTGGAAGGGCATACCTTCAGTCACTTCACCCTTTAATCCCTTTGCTCAAGACTAGAGTTCTGAGAGGAAGTCTAATGGGCTGAGTTGTGTCCATGTGGGCAGTGCAGGAAAGGGTGCAGTGGGATGCGGCTCCAGGGATGTCTTTGGCTTCTATCATGGGGGAGCAGGGGCCTGGATTATCCACCCTAACAAATCTGGACAAAGGAAAACGAGGTTCTCTGAGGAAGGAGACATAGAGCCCAAGGAGCTAACCAAGAGACAAATAGTCATCCTGTCTTGTCATTTTCTTTTACACATGTGTGTACATTATCTTACACTTATCACTGTGTTTTCTTTCTCTCCTTTAATCGCACCCTGTTGCCAAAAGCTAAAATAAAATGAAAGTATTGAGATAGCTCAGTAACTGACTTTTGGTCAATTGCCTTTTCATATAGTCAACAGCTGCCCAGACCATTGTCTCTGTCACTGTGCAAATTTGCAAGCATTTGCATGATCACTCCCAATCCCCCAACACAGGGCTGTGTTACAGCACAATTTATTTCAGTGTTTTGCTCTCTGCAACAGGGAGGTTCTCATCCATTACAGGTTGCAGTAAAAACAGGGGTACCATAAGCAGCCACCTCTTTCCTCAACGATGAGATGAAAGCAAAAGCCAAGTAGCTCCATGTATCCAACTTAAAAATATAAAAAGTTACGCCCGTGGGCTGCAGTTGGAGCTATGGCGGCGGCAGCTGTCACTGGGCCTAGCCCGGGGTGTGGACCTTGGGACTCCCCAGAAGGGCCCGATGTGGAGGCTCACGGAGCGTCGGCGGAAGGCGCACAGGATGCTAAAGCTTTACAATGGCCTCTCGAAAGGGGAGGCGGTGGGACTCCCCGCGGGGCCCGACCCCCTGGACTCCACTGATCTGAACGGGGCGCACTTCGACCCGGAACTTTACCTAGACAAGCTGCCTAGAGAGTGCCCTCTGGCCCAGCTGATAGACAGTGAGACGGACATGGTGCCGCAGATCCGGGCTCTAGACAGCGACATGCAAACCCTGGTCTATGAGAACTATGATAAGTTCATCCCAGCCACAGAAATTGACAAACAGTGTAAAACTGTATGAGGAATTGCAGGAGACCCAGAATTTCCCAAATAACCTTGTAAAAGAAGAACAAAGTTGGAAGACTCACACAAAAAAATACATATGTATTTATATATATATATGTATATATATATATATGAAGTTGTGTTTTCGTTCAATTGTAAATGTTTAGTAATTTCTATTGTGATTTTTCATTTAACTCATGAAAGGATATTTTTAATTTTCCTAATGTATGCTTGTGTTTAGCTATCTTCTTGCTGTTGACTTCTAATTTTGTTGCATTATGGTCAGGAAAATGTGGTCTGGACAATGTCAATCGTATAGTGGATTTTGTTGAGACTTCTTTATGGCCTAATATGTGGCCAGTTTTTTGTTTTTTTTTTTTTTGCAAATTTGCCACATGTTGTTAAAAGGAATATGGATTATTTGTTTTTTTTTTGGGAGAGTTTTTATTTTTAAATAGATAAGTTTCTCAGTGTAATTGAAATCTAGCTTCAATTAACAATATGCTGGATCTCTCAAACCTTAGAATGTTAGTCAGTGTAACAATAGACTGCTGCTGAGACGAATAAACCCTGAACTCTCAGTGGGTTGGCACCCATAGCATAGTCTGGTGCAGGGCAGGGGTTCTCCTTAGGGGCCCTTGTCCAACAGTGATTCAGAGATTCTGGAGGTTTCCGTCTTTTAATTCTGCCATCTCAGAGTTTTTCACTGGTAGCCATATGGATAAGAAGAGAGGGAACATAGCTCACACTTGCCTTTGATAACCTTGGCCCGAAGGGATTTCTTACATTCCTATTGGTGGAAATGCAGTCACATGGTTCCAAACTAACTGCAAGTAAGGCTGGGAAATGTAGTCTTTCTGCATGTCCAGGAAGAGGAATGGTGTGAACACAGCATTGTCTTTGACACTCTAAGCATGTGCTGAAGAGTTCTTACTCTTATAGGAGGCTTGTCTGTCCTGTGTCACTTTCTCAGTTTTTGCTTAGATAGTTTCAGGCAATGTTGTTTGGTGCATTCAGCTTGATGATTATTATGTCCTCTTGGCAAAGTAGTCAAGATTTCCATCAGTTTGAATGAAAGTGTTTTACAGATAGGTCAGGAAATGTTAATACTTTAAAAGGCCCTTCTATTCCTCCACTCTACAGATAAGAATAACAGAGTCCTAGAGAGAGGAGGTCATGGGTCTCACTCATGAGTGGCAGAATTGAAACCAACATGGCAGTAACTTTGCCTTTCCCCCATCATGTTTTTCTCCCTCTATCTTCACTCTGCTGATTTCTTCACTTGCTCCATACAGACCTCCCAGTGCCAAGTGTATAAGTGTGTCCAGAATTGGTGGGTTCTTGGTCTCACTGACTTCAAGAATGAAGCTGCGGACCCTCCTGGTGAGTGTTACAGTTCTTAAAGGTGGCGTGTCTGGAGTTTGTTCCTTCTGATGTTCGGATGTGTTCAAAGCTTCTTCCTTCTGGTGGGGTTCGTGGTCTCGCTGGCTCAGGAGTGAAGCTGCAGACCTTCACGGTGAGTGTTACAGCTCTTAAGGCTGCACGTCTGGAGTTGTTCATTTCTCCCGGTGGGTTCATGGTCTTGCTGGCTTCAGGAGTGAAGCTGCAGACATTCTCAGTGAGTGTTACAGCTTATAAAGGCAGTGTGGACCCAAACAGTGAGCAGCAACAAGATTTATTGCAAAGAGCGAAAGAACAAAGCTTCCACAGTGTGGAAGGGGACCCCAGCGGGTTGCCACTGCTGGCTCGGGCAGCCTGCTTTTATTCTCTTACCTGGCCCCACCCACATCCTGCTGATTGGTCCATTTTACAGAGAGCCTGAGTTGTCTGTTTTGACAGGGCACTGATTGGTGCGTTTACAATCCCTGAGCTAGACACAAAGGCTCCCCAAGTCCCCACTAGATTAGCTAGATACAGAGTGTCCACACAAAGGTTCTCCAAGTCCCCACCATAGTAGCTAGATACAGAGTGTCGATTGGTACATTCACAAACCCTGAGCTAGACACAGGGTGCTGATTGGTGTGTTTACAAACCTTGAGCTAGATACAGAGTGCCGACTGGTGTATTTACAATCCCTTAGCTAGACATAAAGGTTCTACAAGTCCCCACCAGACTCAGGAGCCCAGCTGGCTTCATCCAGTGGATCCCGCACAAGAGCTGCAGGTGGAGCTGCCTGCCAGTCCCTCTCCATGTGCCCACACTCCTCAGCCCTTGGGTGGTTGATGGGACTGGGCACCGTGGAGCAGGGGGCGGTGCTTGTCAGAGAGGCTCGGGCTGCGCAGGAGCCCACAGAGGGGGGAGGCTAAGGAATGGCAGGCTGCAGGTCCCAAGCCCTGCCCCACAGGGAGGCAGCTAAGGCCCGGCAAGAAGTCGAGCACAGCAGCTGCTGGCCCAGGTGTTAAACCCCTCACTGCCCGGGCCAGCAAGGCCTGCCGGCAGCTCCTAGTGCGGGGCCACCAAGCCCACGCCCACCCAGAACTCCAGCTGGCAAGCAAGCAGCACACGTAGCCCCGGTTCTGGCTCATGCCTCTTCCTCCACACCTCCCTGCAAGCTGAGGGAGCCAGCTCCAACCTTGGCCAGCCCAGAAAGGGGCTCCCACCATGCAGCCACGGGCTGAAGGGCCCCTCAAGTGCCACCAAAGTGGGAGCCCAGGCAAAGGAGGCACCGAGAGTGAGCGAGGGCTGTGAGGGCTGCCAGCGCGCTGTCACCTCTCATAAGGAGTGATTAATCTGAGCTTCTCCAGAAAGTCCATTCCTGGTAGGCACTGGGAATAAGAAATCTCAGAGTATAAAAAACATCAAGTGGTAGCACTTTTGTGAATGGCTCCCAAATTAGATCCTTTACCTTTTTTTTTCCATGAAGCACAGCTGCACAAAACACGCTTAGCCTGAGATGAAGCACATATTAGAGAAAAGTTCTCTCTATAGCATTATGTATTACTCAAATGAGCATTAAAAAGAGGAGATGGGACATGCTCTCTCTAGCTATTATTACCTCCACTATACAGTTGACATACACAAGCTCATTATTGCATTATGCTTTATTCAACAAAATAACTTTAATGTTGAAGCTTAAATTGAATTCGTTAAAACATCTTTGTCTCCAGCATAATGTGCCTCAAGTGTCTTCTTGGTGCCTGAATTTTCTCCACAATTATAGTGCTGAAGCTATGGAAATGGTGAAATTATATGCAATCTGCAAAACAATGTGGCTATAACATGGTAATTGGACTTCCACATAATTAAATGAACATTTCCTCATCAGAGCTGTTCCATCAGAGACCCAAAGGCTATCGTACAAATCACCCACTTAGGAAAACCTTTATTCCCAGTAGCCTATAAAAATCTGGTTATGCAAACAGATTTGCTTACTCAGTAACATGAATGGCTTCTCATAGTTAAAAAGTCATCAATGTGATTGACCTATAATCTGTTTCCTCTGTGACCAAGTGTCATTTTTATTTTGACAGTTAGGAGCCTTTTGACTCTTTCACAGCTGGCATGAAGGCACAGGGAGGGAAATCTCAAAAACCAACAACCTGTGTATTCCCAGCCTATTAATCAATAGAAAATCACTTCAACTGGATTAGGGTCTTGTACCTGGCAGAAAGGCTCTTATGGACATTGGAATTGGATTTTTACACTTGATATGACACCTCCTTGAGTCAGATGAGATTCGTGTTTGATAGACTCTTGCCAAAACATTGCTCCAGGGTCTGTGCAGCAGCTAAAGCCTTTTTGTTGTTGTTGTTGTTTTAAAAGCAGCATTAAATGTTTTCATGAAGACCTTCCCAGCAGTGATGTTATTGAGAATATGGTCTTTAGCTCTGGTCCTGAATAACTCACACTGAGGAAACCTCTAACAAGTGTTGTATTGGAAGATGTCTGATGGATGGTTGGTTTTAATAACAAATCTCTTCCCTTTTTCTGTCCCCTGTGTTCTATTCTCCTTTCTCTACACATTATTCTGGGAGGATTCACCTATTCCCAAAGTCCTTTCCTCTTTATTTCCATTCCAGAGCTCTCTGTATAACTCTAGGCTGATGAATCCAACTGCCCAGTTGTTATCTCCACTTGGCTGTCTTTCTTGCATTGACCTCATCTTACCTTTCCTCTCCTGATTTCCTCTTCTGCCTGGGCTCACCACATCAGATTCACACCACCATCCACCCAGCTTCCAAAACACCTGGGCCTCATCCTTCATTCCTCCCTCTTTCTCAGTCAAGTTAGTCTACTGTCTCCTCTCCATCCTCACTGCCACAGCCTTGGTCCAGCCAACCATCTTGTCTCACTTGGTGTATTGCAACCTCCTACCTGGTCTACTCACCTCCCACTCTCCTCCAGCCAGACTGCTCTTTTTATAGCACAAAGTGGATCATTACTCCTCTGCCTAAAACCATCTACTGTCTCCCTTTGTCTACAAGATAAACATGACAAAGAGCCTTTAAGATTTGGCTCCAACTTACCTCTACATTAGTCACTTTTTACAATTATATGAACATCTCTCAGCTTCTCACCCTCTCATGTCTCGATTCTTGCACATGCTCTTCCCTCTGCTGGGAATGATCTTCCACACCTCTCCTATTGACCTGGCTGATTCCTACCATTTTCTAGTCTTCAACTGAGGAGTCCTGTGGTGGAGAAGGATTTCTGACCACCTGATAGAGATTGCATGCCCACCCATCTCCTGGCTTTTTTTTTTTGACGGAGTCTCGCTCTGGCCATCCAGCCTGGAGTGCAGTGGCGCGATCTTGGCTCACTGCAATCTCCACCTCCCGGGTTCAAGCAATTCTCCCACCTCAGCCTTCTGAGTATCTGGAATTACAGGTGCCCACCACCACACCCGGCTAATGTTTTTGTATTTTTAGTAAAGACAGGATTTCACCATGTTGGCCAGGCTGTTTTCGAACTCCTGGCCTCAAGTGATCCACCCACCTTGGCCTCCCAAAGTGCTGGGATTACAGGCATGAACAACTGCACCTGGCCAATTGGGTGCCCCTTCTTTGTGCTCCCATTGCCCCAGGCATACTGTCACCATGACTCCTACCATTGTGAGTTGAAAATGATTTTTTTTTTGCTTTTTATTTCTCTCATTAAATGCAAAGCTCATTGAAAAGAGGATGGTGGTTGTTCACTGTTGTACTCCTAACCTTTGATTCAGTGTCCTGAGGTTGGCTCTAGAGCTGTGCACACATGTTCAGACATTGGAGCACATCTTGTCTAGCACCTCTTTTGAGGTGGCTTGGAGAAAAGTCAGTAGGTACTTCCCCAAGGATGAAACAGAAGCTTCACCTAAATCAGGAGTTCTTCAACTTCAGCCTGCATTACAATCCTCTGAGAGCTTGTTAAAAATACTGTCTCCTAGAGCCCACTCTTCAAGAGTCAGTGAGTTGCTTCATCATCAAAATATATACAGAATCCAGCCGGTCTTCAGCGCCAGCCTGGTCTGAGCCACTGTGGACTCCCACCTGCAGAATCTCCCTGCTGGTCTCCTTTCTTCTGCTCTTACCTTCTTATCATCCATTCAAGTAGCCAGGGTGATCCTTTTAAAAAATTTTTTTAAAATTTTTTGAGATGAAGTCTCAGTCTATTACCCAGGCTGGAGTGCAGTGTTGCTATCTTGGTTCTCTGCAGCCTCTACCTCCTGGGCTCAAGCCATCCTCCCACCTCAGCCTCCTGGGTAGCTGGGACCACAGGCATACACCACCACACCTGGCTGATTTTTGTATTTTTTGTAAAGACAGGGTCTTGGTATGTTGCCCAGGCTAGTCTTGAACTTCTGTGTGCGCCCACCTCAGCCTCCTGCATTTTTAGGAAGCCCCTATTGTAGGGATTTTGATGCAGAGGCCTGGGTGCCTCATGTCTCCTCCCATCTCTTTCTATCTTTCTGTCTCTGTCTCTGTCTATCTCTCTCCCTTTCTCTTTGTCTTATAGCTGCCCTGGGGACTAGACTCTGCCTTAGGCATCCCTCTGACTCCTGTTTGCTTTTACACTGAGGCTGCTTTAAGTCGCACCTTGATCTGAAGCCTTGGGCTTCTGTTCCTATTGCTTGCTTTTGTTGGGAGGGCTGTGCAGCTTCTTGACAAATTGCAAAGGTGCCCACGAGTTTCCAAGTCCCCAACAACAAAACCAGATGACAAACAAGGATGCAGCCCACGGCTGGGGAGACAGATTTCATGTCCACACAGATATTCCAAGATGCTGAACTGAAATCCACCCCGAAACCTGTTTTCTCTCTCATTTAAGTTCAGTGTTACCTGGGGGCTTGCAGGGCAGGGCTGGTGACCATTCCCAGGGCAAAGATGCTTTGAAATGTCAACTGAGAATGGTGTGGTGGTTGACAGATGGCACGTCAGGGCATAGATTAACATGGAAAGAGAAACTCACCCCTTCGGGGGAGTGTGTGAGGCTGGCAGCCACACAGAGGGCTTTTCCTGCGAGCTCTCGCACAGATGCAAACAGCCAGGAGGTTTTGCTTTCTGAGCCTGAGTGGAAGAATGTTCCTCCCTGAACATTGCCGCTCTGCAGCAAATGTTTATTCCTGTTGCTTTGATTAAAAGTGCTTACCAGGCCGGGCGCGGTGGCTCAAGCCTGTAATCCCAGCACTATGGGAGGCCAAGGCAGGCAGATCACAAGGTCAGGAAATTGAGGCCATCCTGGCTAACACGGTGAAACCCCGTCTCTACTAAAAATACAAAAAATTAGCCAGGCGTGGTGGCGGGCGCCTGTAGTCCCAGCTACTTGGGAGGCTGAGGCAGGAGAATGGCATGAACCTGGGAGGCGGAGCTTGCAGTGAGCCAAGATTGCGCCACTGCACTCCAGCCTGGATGACAGAGGAAGACTCCATCTCAAAAAAAAAAAAAAATAAAATAAGGAATGTGCTTACTGAAAGGGTTTGAGGGGAGTGGTGACAGTGTGAGTTATGGCTCTGCGGGCTGCCAGTGGAGCCAGCCGCTCTGCACAGCTGTGCAAGGGTGTTTTGAAAAGTGGTTCAGCCAGCCAGGAGTGACTGGGTGTAAGTGTTGCTGCCACAACATCTTGTAGCCTGATTGGGGCCGTATTTGCAGAACCGCTAAACCACTATACTTGTTCAGGCTTAAAAATAAGATTGCTTTTTTGTTTGTTTGTTTGTTTTGGTTTGTTTTATGAGATGGAGTCTCGTTCTGTCACCGGGTTGGAATGCAGTGGCATGATCTCGGCCCACTGCAACCTCTGCCTCCTGGGTTCAAGTGATTCTCCTGCCTCAGGCTCCCGAGTAGCTGGGACTACAGGCGTGTGCCATCATGGCCCGCTCATTTTTGAATTTTTAGTAGAGACGGGGCTTCACCATGTTGGCCAGGATGATCCGATCTCTTGACCTCGTGATCTGCCCACCTCGGCCTCCCAAAGTCCTGGGTTTACAGGTGTGAGCCACCGTGCCTGGCCAAACATAAACTTACTTTCTTATCTCTTTTGCTGAACTCTATTTTCTTCTTTTCCCAAATGTCTTTATCCGGAAGAGCTTTTAGCAACAAAGTTACCCAATGCCCTTCCCTAGTCTCTCCTTGCAACTGGCTCTCAGCAGGGGGTGGGAGGAAATCCTTGACAGAACCAATTTACATGACTGTTTGGAGGACTCTGGCTAGCCCCAGGAGGTGTTTGCATTTTTAAATGGTTACTAGTGTCAGAATGTTTCATGAGTAAGAGCACAGCCTCTATGTTGGATGCCCTGAATTTGAATCTCAGCATTGCCACTTTGTATATAACCAGAGGATGGATTTGGGGACCCAATGGATCTACCATGACATGAAGTTGTACCAACATTCACCTGACCTCCAAAATGCCTATTCTGACTGGTAGACCCTAGTCTCAGCCTAGTGCCAGTTCAGAGCCTGTGTCCAGTGATCCTGCACAGGTCTCATTAGTTCCTTTTCTCCTGTTCAGTCATCCTGGTAAAAGGCTGTGTATTCCCTTGGGGGCAGGCTGGGAGAAAGATTGACAGTATAAATTTTTGGCAGTGGAGCAGAGTCCTTTCTGGAGGGGACCTGGCTTCCCATTCAGACAAGGGACTCCGGGTCTGTGAACTGGCTTATGTCTGGGAATTGACTGGGGACTGTGACTCTGTTTTTATGATTCAGATTAGACTTCTGCTCACCTGACCTAGAACTCTTCTGCAAACACAGATCCAGTAAAAATGTGGCAGGCTTCTTATCTATTTCACTTCTAGGAATGCCACGATCAGCAGGCACCATAGGTCTCTGCGAGTCAGGCAATTCTGGTTGCAGCTTTGACTCTGCTGTCTTTTATGGTAACTGCGTCCACCTTGCCTTTGGGGATTGAGTGCTCTGATCACTTGGCCCCAGCCCCTGTAGTGTGCCTATTTCAATTACCCTCTTTATACCTCGGTCTCTTCCTCTGTAAAATGGGCATCCTCATTGCACCCACCCCCAGGGCTGCTGTGAGGTATAGATGGATTAGCATATGGCAAGTAATAGAAGAGTGTCTCAAAGTCCATGTGTCGTTATCAGAATTATTTCATGACAGGGGAGAGCTGGAGGAGAGAAGAAGGTGCTGAGCACACCCATGTGCTCTCCCACCAGTGTTTCCTGAGCACCTACTATGTGCTGCCCACTGTGAGAGCTGTTAGGGTTGAAATAGGGAGCACAGCAGGGTAGGGGCCGCCATCAGGAGCTTAGTGGGGAGACCATTGTGCAACATGTTTCCAGCGCTTGGGGTGGGGAAGCTCAGGGAGTAGAGGGGCCTAGGATCCTGGGCAGAATCATGGAAAGGACACAGCCTCCCCAGCCTCTCCTGCCTCCACTGCCTCCCTGGCCTCCTCTGCTTCCCTGGCCTCTCCTGCCTTCCTGGCTTCCCCTTCCACGCCAGCCTTCCCAGTCTCCCCTGTCTCTCCTGCTTTTGAGGTAGGCCAGGAGCTGCTGGTGCTCACTTAGCCTGTCCTGGACTCTGGGTGTAGCACCTCAATGTCCAGAAAATACCCCCGAGTTCAGCTCATCACACAGCCAGGGAAGGAGCTCCACACTGACACTAAGGGTGCATCCTAGGCTCATTCATCAGGGCATGCCTCCAAAATATTTCTCCACGTCTCCTCCCTTTGCCCACCTGCATTGTCTCTGTGCTTCAGCCCCGGCTGGGGGTCTGCAAGGATCCCCTATCTCCTCTGCCCCTGCACGGCTGGGTCCCAGGCAATCTGTGTGCCCACCACACCTCTCTCCCCTCGCCCTCCATGCTCCAGCCCCACAGTCCTCTTTCTGCTTCTTTCCCAGCCCCTGGGCTTTTGCACACGCTGTTCCCTCTGCCTGAACACCCTCCACTGGGCTGAGAACAACTCTTTGAGACCTCTCTCAACTTTTACTTCCTTTGGAACAGCCGCTGCTGCTGTCCCTCTCCCAGCTCCAAGACCTGCTGAGCCTCCTGTCTTTTTCAGTTCCCATGCACCCAACACTTCTTCGTGGCCTCCTTTTGCCCAATTGACAATGTCCATTCTCAATGCCTTCTCACCCAGCGCTGAGCCCCACTGGGTGAAGGCAATGCCTGTCATGTTCACCACAATATCCCCTCCCCCATCACCACGCCTGGTCCACAGTGATGCTCAAAAAAGATCTGTTGGTAGCAAAGAGAAGGTGCATTCGTGTCATCCTGCAGGCGGAATTCTCCACGAGTTTGGAGCAGCCTCGGTTTTCCCACCACCTCCAAATCATGGAAGACACAGGGTAAGAGCAAAGACAAGGTGGCTGTGGCCGATGTCCACCCTCTCGGGGCTTCCCTTCTCTTCTCTCCTCCTTGGGGAGGGAGACCATCGGGGTGCAACCTGGCTGCAGCGGGGAGGAGGGGCAGGGCCTGGTCAGAGCGGGTATGGCCACAGGCAGGGGACAGCGACCGCTTGGGCCGGGGCAGGTGAGCGCAGCGCAGGCCAGGGCCCGGCGTGTCCGCGGTGCGCGCGAGCGGCCAGCAGAGGGCGCCAGAGAGCCAGGAGCGGCCCGCGGAGGAGCCAGCGCCCGCCCCGATGCCCAGCTCCGCGCCGCGCGGACCCACCGAGCCCGCGCTCAGACGCCCCAGCTCCGCCGAGAGGCCGCTCGCGCCGGGTCCTTCCTCTTCCCCAGGTGCAGGCAGAACCCCCGGAGCCATGGCCAGCCCTTCCGGCAGCTCCGAAGCCACTGGCAAGCCCCGAGGCAGGGATGGCCGGCCCAGGAGGGAGGAGGACGACGTCCCTCCCGAGGAGAAGAGGCTGCGGCTGTTGCTGGAGGGGGGAAGCGCACAGCCCGAGGACGGGGAGGACGCGCCGCGGCCGGGCAGGAAGGAGACCGGCACCCAGACAGGTGGCGACGGCAGAGGAGTAAGTGACGCGGGCGCTGGGGTCCGGGGGTCCCGGGGGCGCAGGGTAGGGGCGGCGGGAGGCTCCGTGGCCGGCCCCGGGTTGAAGTTGGTAATTGAGCGGCAACTCAGGCGGGCGCGGAGTGACAGCTCGTGACGGCCTCCGAGACGCCAGCTGCCCCTTCTCGGCTGTGTGGCTTCGACTTCCTGATTCTCCCACGACGTCCCTGGCCGGGAGACGCGCTGGACTCTGCGGCTGGCCAAAAGGGGAGGGGGAGCCCCGCGTCCTGGGGGCCCCTAGCAGGGGAAGGGGCGGGGGTTGCGCCGGGCATCCTGTCTGGGGCATCTGTCTGGGACTCTGCCGGTGCCTCTCACCTGGCGAGGGGCCTGTGGTGGGGGTAGGGGGGAAGTCCCTGGCGCCAGGCTTGGCCAAGCCCTGCTCTGCTGGACTGCGGGCTGGCGGCGCTCACCCAGCTCCTCACCTGTCCCGCATCTTCCTGTTTTTCTTCCCTTTCTGGTTGGGCAGCGAGAGTTGAGAGGAGGCAGATGGCTTCCATCCCAGAAATCGCTCTCCTCTTTCCATCCCTACAGAGAGGGACAGAGAGGCAAAGTTCCTTGCATCCCCCGGGGCGCTGTCCCTGTGAGCTCCCGGTGTCGTGCACACGTGAGCCCCTGAGTCACCGGGCTTGTGTGTGTGCGATGGGGCTCCGTGGCCAGCCTGGCCTCCTGGGGTTCACTTTCTGCTTTCCTACCCCAGCTCTTCCTGTGTGGCTTTGCTGGCCTTCCACTGAGGAGGCACATGGGTTTGGAGGGCAGATGAGAGCCCACTGGAGAGCTGTACCCCTCAGTGAGGGCCGCCACCTTGATGGTTTTTGATGGATATTGGGGTTGACCTGTTTGTTCCTTCCACATGTTTTTTTGTTTGACCATTTGCTCAGCTGAGCTTGTCTTAATAATTGGATTCGTGGTTAATGAGCCCCACATGGGCGAGAGAGCGGCCTTCATTCTGAACCCATTTAGGCAGCACGGGCAGCCCTCCTCGCCGTGGGCGGCATTAGAGCCCACCCTGCCCAGTCTTGGGGTTGCTCCTTGATGCTGTCTGGGAGGCTTGCTCATGGTGACATCCTTATCTCTCCGTGCACGTTACCGCATTCAGAGCTTGGGTCACGTGGACACTGAACTCAGGCGAATTTTCTCTGAGATCCCGGGAGAAGGAGGACAGTTCTTTGGAAGGTTTTCCAGGGCTGATCACGGAAAGGATGAGAAGGGAGAGGTCCTGGTCGGGGACACAATTACGATGGCAGTGTAACGCCGGGAAACTTTATTGCATGAAGTCCCTCTCACTCCCTCTACCTCCTTCTTTTACGTGGACTCTGCCAAAGACCAGGATACCAGAATGCAGTGGAGTGACCAAGTGTAGTGGGACCTTGGGAACCCGAGTCTGGAGCCAGGCAGCTGGGGTTTGCATCCTGGTTCTGCCCCTCCTTAGCTGGCTGACATGGCACAAGCCACTTACCCTCTCTGAGCCTTACTGTCTTCGGTGGCAAATGGATCTGTCAACAGGCCCCATTGCCTGGGGTTGTTACTGCTGAGATTAAGGGAAGCTCATCCATAGAAGCACTTAGCGTTGTGCCTGGCACATAGTGTATGGTGGATAAATGGGAATTAGGACTGAAACTCATGCCTTGGTGTGTTTTTGCAGTGATGTTTTGTTCTGGGGTGCATCACAAGAGACAAAGTTCTTGGCTGGGCATGGTGGCTTAAGCCAATAATCCCAGCACTTTGAGAGGCCGAAAGGGGAGGATCGCTTCAGCCCAGGAGTTTAAGACCAGCTGGGCAACATAGTGAAGCCTCATATCTACAAAAAAAAAAAAAAAAAACAGCCAGTTATGGTGGTGTGTGCCTGTAGTCCCAAGTACTTGGGAGGCTGAGGTG
This sequence comes from Homo sapiens, assembly GCF_000001405.40. Classification (NCBI taxonomy): domain Eukaryota; kingdom Metazoa; phylum Chordata; class Mammalia; order Primates; family Hominidae; genus Homo; species Homo sapiens. Next base: position 3,579,013 of record NC_000011.10, on the reverse strand, counting down.
GTAGGATTGCGAGAGCCTGGAAGGTCGGGCTGCAGTGAGCTGTGATCATGCCACTGCACTCCAGCCTAGGTGACAAAGTGAGACCGTTTCAAGGAAAAGAGAGAGAGAGAGAGAGACAGACCCACAAGAGTCTTAAGCCAGAGTCTCCATGTTAAAATGCTTTCTGGAGGCTAAAAGGATGATATGTTGATAATGAAATATTTAAAAGGCAGAAACCCCACTGAATTGTTTGGTCCACAGAGGGAAATGGGAATCACATGACCTGAAGGATGATGGAGGAACTGAACAGAAACCATCCTTGTTTCCTGAATCTGAACATGGCACCCTCTTTTCATGGTGCCTGTATCTGCTCAGTCTGGCGGCCCCTTGAAAAGAGGGAATCTTGATTTTCAAACTTAAAATTTGGCCCAAAGCCCACTGCTGCCCACAATGCCCACCAGACCCATTCCTCTTCCCTTTTAGTTTCTATGGGAATACTCTCTTTGAAGAACCCATGAAGCAGTGTCAGGCTGGTGTGAGGATCAGCAGCGATTTCTTTGAGGAGGAGAGCCCGTTTCTTCACTCACAGGCCATGTCTGAGTGGATCAAGAAGAACAGAGTGCCCTTTTAGAGATTTTGTCTGCGTAGACCATTAGCTTGGTAAAAATGTCAAAACCATCCTCGCTCTTTAATAGCAGATTATTTTGGACTTTTCTCTGCAAGAAACAGCATGGGCATTCAGATGCTTTTAAGGATAAAATGTTCTTTCTCATCACCAGGCCTGGTGCTCTGGATGGCTGAGGTTTTAATGTGACTTGGTGTTCCTTGGAGTGGCTCCCAGGCTGTGCTCTTGTGGTTGGGTGGCAAGGGGTTGCTTTATTCGGTGGTGGCTAGAGGATGTTTTAGCAGGTAAATCGGGACCCCAGGAGCCCCTGAGTGCCAAGTCCTGCTGCAGGGCATGTGTTTATGGTGGGGAGGCGGGGGGGGGGGGGGTGGAGGGTGAGGGGCATTGACTTCCTGCGAATATCAGAAGTTTCACAGGCTTCTTGTGTATCCATAAACACCCACCCCATTGAGAAGGCCTAGAAAACCTGGCCCTCCCCAAGCCTTTATTGACCACTTGTGAATGATCCCAGGGTGTCTGACCAACAGCTCTTCCTGGAGGGAGAGAAAAGTCTCTCCTAGGTATTTGGTTATCAACCTCAACCATTTGCTGAGCCTTCCCCAAGACCAGGCACCTCGGCAGAAATTTCGGGGTTGTCAGGCAGAACCGAGCATTCAAGGGTGAAAACTCACTGGAGTTCCTGAAATCCCTGATGGACGCACCAGGTGAAAGCATCCAGGGTTGAAACCAGATGAGGAAGGTTATTGTGAGCCTGGGGCTCCTGTAGAGGTGCATCTGCGTTGCAGGGGTTTTCCTTCTTGCTGAGGAGAAACCTGGGTTTCTCAGCTTTGGCACAGTCACAACACTTGGGGTGAGACCATTCGTGGTGGTGGTGGGGGGGCGTCCTGTGTATTGTAGGATGGTTAGCAGCACCTCTGGTCTCCATCCTCTAGGTGCCATTCTCCCCTCCCAGCTATGGCTACCCCAGATGTCTCCAGACGGTTTCAAATGCCATGGAGCAAGGGAGTGGTATGTGAGCAAAACCACCCCAGTTGAGAGCCATTGGTCTACACTTGTGGAAATGTTTAAGGGTGAGAGTGTCGAGCTTGGGTCCCTGCTGTACCCTTGGTGAGCAATGCGGTCTTGGAAAATTAATACTACTCCAGGGGCCTCAGTTTTCTCATCTATAAAATGGAGATAAATGAGACACACTTTCATAGGAAGGTTATATGGGATTTACTGAGATAATAAGACAGTACATGGAAAATGCTGGGCATAGAATTTATTCATTTTATTTTTTTTTAAGATGGAGTCTTACTCTGTTGCCCAGGCTGGAGTGCAGTGGCATGATCTCCACTCACTGCAATCTCCACCTCCTGGGCTCAAGTGATTCTCCTGCCTGAGCCTCCCGAGTAGCTGGGATTACAGGTGCCAACCACCACACCAGGCTAATTTTTGTATTTTTAGTAGAGATGGGGTTTCACCACATTGGCCAGGCTGGTCTCAAACTCCTGACCTAAGGTGATCTGCCTGCCTCAGCCTCCCAAGGTGCTGAGATCACAGGTGTGAGCCACCACGCTGGACTGGGCATAGCATTGTAACACAGAGAAAGCACAAAATACTTGGGCAATATCTTTTTACATTTGGCTCGTCTAGACTCCATCCTCCATCCCCTCATGCGCTGGTGCAGTGCAGACCAGAATATCACCCACCTAGACTGCAGAGTGGATTTGGGTGGCATCTTGTCTTTCTGCACAAGACTTGCCTGTTCCCCACCACATCCCCCTGGTTCTCAGGGTCCAGGATTCCAGGAGGCAGGGATGTGGGCAGGCAGGGCAGGTGGCCCACCCAGTTCACTCCCACGCTGGTGACCTGCAGAGCCAGCTCTTCAAGACAGGGTGTTTTGACCAGCATCCGGGTTTCTGGATTTCCATTTGAGCACGGCTGGACTACACAGGCTGAAGCTCTCCCTGCTGAGATATAGATATTTCCCTGGCGATGATCTTTCAAGCTGACATGAAGACATGACCACCCGCTGGAACGTGGTGTGTCTGCCGTGGCGCTCTTGTAATTTGTGAGGCAGGCTCCTGAGGAATGCAGTGCATAAGTGGGAAATGGTGGGAAGTTCTCCCATCCCCCACTGGCTGAAAGTGCTGCCTACACAGGTTGGTGGACGGTCCTTTGAGCAGGAAGAAGACACGGAGTACATTCCTGTTAGCTACGACAGAGAGGGGCAGGGTACACACTGGACATTTCAAACCCCTGCAGAGAAGGAAGTCTTACTGTGCTGGGAATACTTGTGGAGTGGGGGCTGTGTTGCCCTGGGCTTTAAATATTTCAGGAACATTTAACCGCAGGGCTGGCAGGCTGGATCTTGATATGTGTTTCTCAGTTGGAAAGACTTTGGACCATAGGGAAATGTCTTCTCAATTCTTTTAATTTCATTAAGGTGGTCATTTTTCTTCTTGTGGCCTCTGGAATGTGACACAGAACTCAAGGGACAGGAAGGAGATGAGTTGGAGGCTGGGACAGGGGTCCCTGCCAGGGATGCTGGTGACTCACATGACGGAGTTGATGTGTGGAGTCCGGTGCCTGGTTTGGGGAATGTTTGTGGAATATGTTACAGAGCACTGATGGACCTATCAGGTACTGGAGGTGAATGGTCAAGTCTGATCTCAGGGCTGGCAGTGTCAGGCAGGACAGGAAGTTGATGTTGGACTCATTGGCTGAGGTTGCTTGGGACCCAGGGGGCAATGTGTGCCAGGACAGATGAGTCTGGGGCTAGGAAGGCAGGTTTGGGCTGGAGACTCGGGCTTGGGAGGCATCCCAGGTTGACAGTGGTTGAGGCTGTGGAAATGACTGCGATTGCCTGGGATGAGAGTGGAGACAGACAAGATGGGGGTTTTGCTCTAAGCCTGGGGAACCCACCTCCCAGGTTCAAGGGATTCTCCTCCCTCAGCCTCCCAAGTAGCTGGGAATGCAGGTGCATGCCACCATACCTGACTAACTTTTGTACTTTTAGTAGAGATGAGGTTTGGCCAGGCTGGTCTCAAACTCCTGACCTCAAGTGATCGACCCACCTTGGCCTCCAAAGTGCGGGATTATAGGCAAAAGCCACCATGCCTGACCATTTTTAAATATGAATTTTTATGGAATATTTTCACACACATTTTACTATATGTTGGAAAAGTCAATCATGATTTGAAAACTTTATCAAAATCCAATCAAATGTCAATTAACCATTTAATTGTGGATGGGTAAGGAGACTATTTTGACCAAAACATGTTAGAACAATTACCACTTATAGAAATAATCTATGTTTTAATGTTTTAGTTGAATTAAAGAATCTTTTATATTCTGTCCAGGCGTAGTGGCTCACACCTGTAATCCCAGCACTTTGGGAGGCTGAGGCTGGCGGATCACCTAAGGTCAGGAGTTCGAGACCAGCCTGGCCAACATGGTGAAACTGTCTACCAAAAATACAGAAATTAGCCAGGTGTGATTGCACACACCTGTAATCCCAGCTACTTGGGAGGCTGAGGCAGGAGAATCATTTGAACCTGGGAGACAGAGGTTGCAGTCAGCCGAGATCGCACCACTGCACTTCAGCCGGCCTGGGTGACAGAGCGAGACTCTGTTTCAAAAATAAATAAATGAAGAAAATAGAATTCTGAATTTTATTTTTAATAATTATTTTTGTAAAGAGAATGTCTTGTTTTTTGGAGATGTTGAATTTATTGAATTGACAAAAATTATGTACAAGAGGGTATACAACATGATGTGATTGAAGTATGTATACATTACGAAATGGCTAAATCAAGCTAAATAACATACCACCTCCCAGACTTATTTTTTTTTGTGGTGAGCACACTTAAAAATCTACTCTCTTAGTGATTTCCAAGTGTATGATATGTTGTTTTTAACTATAGGTACCATGTTGTCCCATGGATATCCTGAACTTATTCTTCTTCTCTAAAAATGACATTCTGTGTCCTTTGGCATCTGCCTACTTCCCCACCCTGGCAACCATCATTCTACTCTGCTTCTGTGAATTCAACTTTTTTCTTTTCTTTTTCTTTCTTTTTTTTTCTTGAGACAATCTCATTCTATTGCCCAGGCTGTAGTGCAGGGTTGTGATCTTGGCTTACCGCAGCCTTGACCTCCCAAGCTCAGTCAATCCTCCCAACTCGGCCTCCTGAGTATCTGGGAGTACAGGCATGCACCACCACGCTCCAGTAATTTTTGTATTTTTTTGTAGAGTTGGGGTCTTTCTATGTTATGCAGGCTGGTCTCGAACTCCTGGGCTCAAGCAATCTGCCAGCCTCAGCCTCCCAAAATGCTGGGATTACAGGCATGAGCCACCATGCCTGGCCGAGTTTAACTTTTTTAGATTCCACATATAAGTGAGATCATGTGGTATTTGTCGTTCTGTGCTTGGCTTATTTCACTTAAGATAATATCCTCCAGGCTCATCCATGTTGTCTCAAATGGCAGCATTTCCTTCTTTTTGAAGGCTGAATAGTATTCCATCGTGTACATACACCACAATGTTGCTGGAAGTGTAATGGAGGCCAGCTGGGGGAGGAGGGAGAAAAGATTCACTCTAAGTCTAGATGCTCCAGCACCCACCCAGGGTGTGTGCAAGGAAGTGCAGGTTGCTCCTGGTCTTGCAAACTGTGGTTTGTGGGACTCCAAAGCCCCTATCCTTCCACAGTGCTTTCTGTCCTGTTATCACATTTCGTTGGAGGAGAACCGAGCCTTGGTGGAGAGCCCTGCTCTGGCTTTGTCCCTCGGCATGAGATGGCAAAGGATGGTGCTGCTGGGAGACCCTCACGTCTGCACACTGGGGGCTGCTTGCCTTCTCCATTCCTCCTTCAAGTATCTGAGCAGCTCCTGTGTGGCAGCTGCTGGTCTATGAGATGGATGGGTCCTTGGAGATCACGCTGTAGCAGAGGAGGCAGGCTGTAGCCCACAGGCCAGAACCAGCCCCTTGCCTTTTCATACAAATAAAGTTTTATTGGAACACAGCCACACCCATTTCAGTGCATATTGTCTTGTGGCTGCTTTCCTGCTACAATGGAGAGTTGAATAGTTGGGACAGAGACCTATGGCCTGCAAAGCTGAGCTATTTACCATCTGGCCCTCAAGAAAAAGGAAAAAAAAATGCTGATCCTTGTACCCCGACAGTCTTAGGTTAAGAGGACTTTGTACCACCCTGACGTCCCAGGCGGCCATGAGTCCAGCCACCCTTGAAATGTACACAGATCTGGGCTAGTGTGCTTTCTGATTTTTGTATGGGGAAGAGAAAGGAGGGAGGAAATGATAACTTGTTGCCCTGTTCTAACATTTTCCTAAGAAGGGTCTCCAGGCAAGGGCTTGGGATCTCACCTTGCACAGCGTACAAAACCCAGTGAGGCCAGCTGTCTTGGTGCTGACACTCTGAGGGATGGAGCCCACAAATGACTAGGAAGAGAGATAAAAGAATAGTTTTTGCGAGTACAAGAACTGGCGTTATTGAAATTAACATTTCCCCCAAGTTTTATAATGTCTAGGCATGCATATTTCAGTGTTTGCCTCAAAAGCTCATCCTAATAACCAGATGGTGCATTTAATTTCCTTTTTTTGTTCTCTAAGCAACATGCAGCGTCCTGCACAGCCCTCCTTGCAGGCAAGTGCGCTGAGGTGGCAGTCCTCCTGACTGCCAGCACAGATCCCCAGGGCCTCTGAGAGCCCTGTATTCTGGGGGCAGCCTTTCCCCCTTCTATTCAGCCCCAGCTGGAAGGGGACAGGTTACCCACAGCCCAGCACAGGGCTCCTGCCTTAGCTTAGCTTAGCTCCTGCCTAAGCACAGGGCTCCTGCCTCAGCTGCTCTAGGGAGTCTGGCTCCCTCTGACCCTCTAGACCTCACCAGCTGAGGATCAGAGCCCCAGGGCAGGAGCCAGGGCCAGGGGGCATTGGGGGGTGGTTTGAGAGTGCAGCTCTGGAAGGGGGAATTGCGGGCCCAGGAAAAGCTGCTCGAGGGAGACTGCAAAGAGGTGGCAGAGTTAGTACAAGAGGGCCGGGCATGGTGGCTCACACCTGTAATCCCAGCACTTTGGGAGGCCGAGGTGGGCGGATCACCTGAGGCCAGGAGTTTGAGACCAGACTGGCCAACATGGTGAAAACCTGTCTCTACTAAAAATACAATAATTAGCCAGACGTGGTGACACCTATAATCCCAGCTACTTGGGAAGCTGAGCCATGAGAATTGCTTGAACCCGGAAGGTGGAGGTTGCAGTGAGCTGAGATTGTGCCACTGTACTCCAGCCTGGGCAACAGGGCAAGATTCCATCTCAAGAAAAAAAAAAAAAAAAAAGAGTCAGGACAGGAGGAGGAGGGAAGAGAGGGAGCTGTGGGGCAGCAGCCAGGGCCTTAAAGGCACAGGAGAAGAAGCTTGGATTTCCAGTTCCAAAGGACATGAAGACAAAGTCACACACCTTTATTTAACCTGCTCCAGGTGAGGCTGGGCTTTGTGTATTTTCCTTGTTTTCCTTTTCCTTGTGTTCAGGCTGTTGTAGAAACAGGTACGCAGGGGCTCTGTGTGGCGCCCTGTCCTGGTGGCCTTCAGGAAGCATGGGGTGCCCTGGTTTCCTTGGCTTTGTGTCCCCCTTTCCTCCTGCCACCCCTGACTGTGCTCCCCACCTTGTCCCTCAGACCATCCTCCTGGAGGGGCCTGGCTAGGGCTTGTGTCCTTGCTAGTCTCTGGGAAGGAAGACTCTGTGACTTGAAAGCCTGTCGGCTTAAGTTGCAAGGTGTAGGTGCCTGGGAGGGCACTTGCACGGCCCTCTTGACTGATCCATTCATGTTTTTCTTTTTTGACTCTGTTCTATGTTGTCCTGATGGAGGGGTAAGCCCCTGCCTTCTGCCTTTCCTGCCTTGGACTCTTGCAATTGGGCCAGATGAGAGGGTCCATGTGGTCTGAGAATTCAAGCAATGCAGGCCAGGCGTGGTGGCTCACACCTGTAATCCCAGCACTTTTGGAGGCCAAGGCGGGCAGGCCAGGAGTTCGAGACCAGGTGGCCAAAATAGTGAAACCTTGTCTCTACAAAAAATATGAAAGTTAGCCAGGCTTGGTGGTGCGTGCCTGTAATCCTAGTTATTTGGGAGGATGAGGCAAGAGAATAACTTGAACCCAGAAGGAGCAGGTTGCAGTGAGGAGGAGGTTGCAGTGAAGAGGTGGTTGCAGTGAGGAGGAGGTTGCAGTGAGGAGGAGGTTGCAGTGAGCCGAGAATGTGTCCCTGGACTCCAGCCTGTGCAATAGAGCGAGACTATGTTTCCAAAAAAAATAAAAAAATAAATAAAAAATTTATATAGAAAACAAAACATAAAACTTCCTCTTGATTTGATTTTCTTGACCTTGCTTCTCAGAGGTAACACTGGGAAGGGTTGGGGTATACGTCTCCACACCTTTTTCTTTGATTTCTTTTTATTTTTTATTCTACATTCTGAGATACATGTGCTGAATGTGCAGGTTTGTTACACAGGTGTACATGTGCCATGGTGGTTTAGTGCACCTATCAACCCATCATCTAGGTTTTAAGCCCCGCATGCATTAGGTATTTGTCCTAATGCTCTCCCTCCCCTTGTCCCCCACCCCCGATGGGCCCTGGTGTGTGATATTCCCCTCCCTGTGTCCACGTGTTCTCATTGTTCAACTCCCACTTATGAGGGAGAACACGCAGAGTTTGGTTTTCTGTTCCTGTCCATACCTTTTCCCTCTGTGCACGCAAGCACATGTATTTGCACATAAGTGTTTATTGTAAACTTTTTAAAAAAATAAAAATGGAATAATGCTCTATTTATTCTTTGGAAAGCCTGCTTTTCAGGCAGCGTGTCTTTGACATTGTCTCACGTTGGAACCTGGGAACCACCTTCTTCTCCCAGCAGTTATTCTGACGTGTGGATGCACCACGCTTCGTTTAACCAGCCCTGCACCGATACGTCTGTGGATGGTTTCCGCCTTTTCCCAATCACAGACGGTGTTCTGATGAATTTCCTCGCACACATCACTTGGTGCTCTGTGCCTGCATTTCTGTGAGATGTTCCTGGAGGTGGGCTGTCTAGGTCAGAGGGGGATCTGTGCTTAATTTGCATCCTGTGCAAAATCCATCCAGTCATCCGGCTCCCCAAGGGCTCACATGGTACTGTCCTCTGTAGACATCATCTTCTGCAGATGATGGCACGACCACCTCTCTTTCTTTTACTCACACCAGTCTGCACCCTGGTGTCCTGAGGGGGTCCAGCCCCTACCCGCTTGTCTGCCCCCAGTCCCCCCAGTCCCTGCTAATAGGGAATCTGGCCTCTAAGCTTTGGCAGACTGCTTCACTCTGGAGAAGTTTGCTTTCTCAAACATTCCTGGCAATGTTACTGCAAATCCCGAGGCCCGTATTTGCCTTCTTCAGCCCTCAGTTTTCTCATAAGTAAAATGGGGATAATGTGATGCTACTGTCTGCATCCTAGAGCTGCCATGAGGGTTCAGTGAGATCACTGTTGAGAGCACGTTCACAGCGCCGGCCTTGTGCGCAGTCAGCACGTGTGGAGCAGGGCTGTTGCTGATACGTGGTTGACTGTCATTGCTAGAGTGTGGCTTTACCAGGGGCGATGTCTTTAGTGCCAAGCCCAGAGCCACCCCTAGTACCTGCTGTGTTCATAGAGTGATTGAGTGGCAGGGTCAGAGACTGGGGCAATGGCAGCAGAAACAGAGGGAAGAAGTGGGGCTTCTAATAGGTCCTGGACCAGTGGTCCTTGAGATGAAGCCTTCTTGCCAAGGTCTGGGGCTGTGCTGTGTGTTCTAGGCCCGAGACTGGAAGCTAGGCCTGGCTGCAGCCCCCGCTGAGCTGGGGAAGTGCAGGTCAGCATCCTGCTTCATTAGGACACCTCCAAGCCCAGCTTAGACGTGGATGCCACGTGACCTCCTGTTCACTCTGAGCCCAGACAGAGGACAGGGAAGTGTGCAAGGGTGGGGACCCCCTCATCACAGCCCTTGACTCTGTAAGGCATATGGGTTTGTGCATGTGTGTGAGCACGGCCGTGGCTTCTCTGAGTTTCAAGCTCGAGGTTGTGTTTATGCAGGGTTAGGCTTGCCAGGTAAAATACAGGAGGTCCAACTAAACCTGAGTTTCTCATTAACCCTTTTTTTTTTTTTGGTGCAAATATATCCCATGCAATATTTGGGACCTGCTTACCCTAAAAAATGATTTGTTGTTTATCTGAAATTCAAGTTAAACTGGCATCCTGTCTTTTCACTTGCTACGTGTGAGAGTTCCGTGTGGGGGTTATCAGTGTGCATTTGTGAGTTCCCATGTGAAGGACTCTCTCCAAGTGTCTGTAGGTGCCAGGATGGAGATGGACAGAGAAGATCCTCTTGGGCTGCTTTAGTGGTACCTAGAGGCTGTGGGGTTTGACACTTCAGCCCGAGGGGCCTGGGCAGCACTGTCCAGCACCTGCCTGCTCCTGTCTTCTTCACGGGGGCTGACTTCCCTGCCATCTCTCTCCAAATATGGTAGCAAGAGCTATCCCATCTGCCCCCATCTGGAGCTCAGCTGCCCAGCCAGACAAGATGACAAACAGTGTGCAGAGGGCTGCAAAGCTTTCCTCAGCTCCTTCTGCAAGGGGCCTGCAGATGAAATGGAAGCCCTCATCCTCACTGCCTCCCCCTTCCAGAAAACCCAGGCAACAGCCACCTCTGAATGCTGCTTTAGAAGCTTCTCCCTCCTGGTGATTAAACCACCCCAAACAAATAAAGCACTGCATTTCCACCATGGGCTTGTTCACATGCACGCAGCCAGTTGTCTTGGATCCGCCTGTGTGTCTGATGCATCAGGGTTAGGGGTTCTCCTCTGAGGTGCTTGCAAAGATCTGCTTAATTTTCATCTGGAAGACTCTCTGTAGAGATCAGGCCCAGCTTTGGAAGAAAGCCCTTTCTCCCCCTTTAGCAAATTCTGTGTCATTCTTTTTTTTTTTCTTTCTTTTTTGAGACAGAGTTTCACTTTTGTTGCCCAGGCTGGAGTGCAATGGTGCAATCTCAGTTCACTGCAGTCTCTGCCTCCCGGGTTCAAGCGATTCTCCTGCGTCAGCCTCCTGAGTAGCTGGGACTACAGGCACCCACAACCATACCCGGCTAATTTTTTTATATTTTTAGTAGAGAGGGAGTTTCACCATGTTGGCCAGGCTGGTCTCGAACTCCTGACCTCAGGTGATCCACCTCGGCCTCCCAAAGTGCTGGGATTACAGGTGTGAGCCACCAAGCCTGGCTGGGATTCTGTGTCATTCTGGATACTTATCATGACTTCAAGCATCCAGGACTCTGTCCTGGGTATCCTGAGCCTGAGTGTGTATGTGTGTCCAGCTGGCTTGGAGGTTGTCTACAGGCAGGTTGAACTTGGCCTCTGAGTCCATGGCAGCCTTACATGGGAAATACCACCAAGGAGCCTCATCCTGTGCTTTTAGGAGATAGTTTCTATTTAGTCATTGCTGAATCTGTTACAGACAGGGTCTCAATTTCTTGCAAGTCCTGTATGAGGTGGGTGCTGTGATTATCCACATGTTCACTTGTTCTCTCTAGCCTCTTTCAGGCTCTTACACTTCCTTTGCTCTTTTCCTGCCTCAAGGCCTTTGCACATCCTGCTCTTTCTGCCTGGAAAGATTTTCCATCTCCCTGCCTCTTCACCTGGTCACAGTCTCATCTGACAGTGGAGTCACTACATCCTCAGGGACGCCTGGCCACACTGACTCAGTCACAGCAACCCCCTGTTATCTGCTTTCATGACACCAGGTGCCTCTCTGTGGTAGACACTAGCTCAGCTATGGATTCCTATTTCTGTGCATGTCATCCTTCCCCTTCAAGACTGGTCACCATGAGGACCAGGGCCATGCCTGTTCCTGATTCTCATTTGTGTCTCTGGTGTTTAGTATATGCTCACCTAGAGTTTGATGAATGAATGACGGCATACCCATTTTACAGATGAGAAAGTTGAGGCTCAGGAACATTATGTAACTTGCTCAGTAGTAGGTAGTGATGGTTTGAAGCCATCTGGCTGGTCGCTGGGTGCACACTCTTAACGAATTCACTATGGTTCTTCTCTCTTGGTAGCTCTCCAACAGCAGGAGTGAGAGACAACTTTAGGACAGGTGTAACCAGAATCCCAGGGGTTATCCTAGAAGGTGATGTCAGGAACATGCTTGCCTATGGGCCTTCTTACTGTATTGCATAAAATACCCCGTTTTTCTGACTTGCCTTTAGTAAAGACCTTAGCAATATTTGAAGCACAGTTCTCAGTAGGAAATGGTGGGTGTTTATACTTTTTTAAAAAGGAGTCTATATCATATTTATCTTGTGGTCTGCCATGCCCCCTGCTCTTCTTCAGCTTCAGTTATGCAAAATTCACACTTCTTCTCTTGACTGCCTCTCTCTTACCTGTTCAGTTTCTTTTCTGTGTTCGAGATTGCTTAGAATTTTTCCCCATTACTACAGCCTGCTTCCCACCTGTATCCCCCAGCCAGCTTGTTCTGGATTTTGTCAACAACAGTTACAGCGTTTAGTGAGGGCTGGACTGAAGGAAAGCCTTGGAAAAGGCTGTGTGATGAAAGTTGAAGACACCTAATGGGCAGGCAGTCATCAGGGTTAATTCAAAGGCTGGAAGAAGGGCTGACCTGCAGGACTGGAAATGTCTTTGAGCTGAAGGTCATGTGCAGGTGGAACGAAGAGGGTGAGCCTTTTGGGGTGAACTGCAAGTATTTGATAAGATCCCTGTCCCCATGGTTGGGGAAGTCTTGATAAGCATCCTCAATGTGATGGAGGGATTAGGGAACCCATGGCTCTACCTGTCCAGCATGACAGCAACATGACACAGCCAAGTTATTGATTATTGGTTGCCCAGCTGTCATCACTCAACATCTTCTGTTAGTTATAGCTGTAATTTGCATTAGTTGTCAATGCCAGTTTTGACTTTCCTAGTCAATAAAGTGGTCTGAGAGTGGTAACTAAGGCTGAGCACTACCCGTAATCATGAGTATTACAGAGGCAAGCCCTTTTGCCCACCCACCTGCAGGTGATGAGACACCTTTGGAAATCACTCAATTCTGTGGAGGACCCCGAATAAATGCTCAAGTCCATCTGTTCATCTGTCCATCCATCCGTCCACCCCTCCTTCCATCCATCCATCCATCCATCCATCCAGACATGCATACATCCATCCACCCACCTACCCATCTATCCACCCACCCACCCATCTATCTATCCAACCCACTCTCTTATGCACCCAACTGTCATCCACCTACCCACCCACCAACCCATCTATCCATCCACTCACCCATGCATCTATCCACCCATTCACTCATCTACCCATCTATCCACCCACCCGTCCATCCATTTATCCCGCCACCCCCTCACCCACTCATCCATTTCTCCACCCACTCAGCCATCCCTTCACCGACTCAACCATCCATTCATTCATCCACCTGCCTGCCCACCCATCTTTCCATCCACCCATCTATCCACCCACCCACCTATGTATCCATCCATCTGCTTGCCCTTCTGTTCATTTATTCCACAAAGACTCGTTAACCACCTGCTAGATTCTGGGGAGGTACCTGCTCTAGTAATTGAGAACACGGTCTCTAGAATATGATTCCCTGGGCTCCAACTGAGCTGCCTCCTAGCTAGCTACCTGGGTAAGTTATAGAAACTGTGCTTTGATTTTCTTATCTGAAAATTGGCTATTAATAGCTTCTACTCTTGCAGATATAGTGAGGATTAAATAAGATGTCACGTTAAAAGTGCATCATCGACACTCAATAGATTAGGTTTTACCATTCATTATTATTCTTGGCAGATGCTGCAGATAACGTGGAGAGCATACGAAAGGCACATGTTTGAACCAATAGTGACATACGGGTGCTAAGTTCTGCAGTAGGGAAAGGGCAGAGAGCCATGGAGAGAGCCTGGCCCAATCCTGGAGCCTCAGAAAAAAAGTTCCTTATTAAATTGCTGTTTTAGCTAAGACTTGTGGGATCGGTAGTAGTTGGAGATCCCAGAGAGGATGTGACCGAGTCAGCCAGGGAAAAATTTGGTCCTGGCACCCATGGCAGAGTTGAGTGATCCAATCCTTCTGTCTCCTCTGGCTGGAAGTCCACCAGATCTGGGAATGTCAAGTTGGGGAAGGGGGCTGACAATGATCATGACCTTCGCCTGTCCTCACATGTCCTCTGTGTATCTGCAAAGCCTCTGCCTCAGTCTCCTCTTCTGGAAAGTGGGATTGGAAACCACATCTGCTTCTCTCCCAGGACTGCTAGGAAGACAAGATTAGATGGCAGGTGAGAGCTCTTTGAAAATGAAAACATTCTGCTATTTGAATGCAAAGTGTTCTTCTTTGCCTGTGATGTTTCCTAATCTGTGAACTCATACTGGACCTCGAAGCTGTCTATTAACAAAAAATGGCAAAGTGGCTGGGCATGGTGGCTCATGCCTGTAGTCCTAGCACTTTGAGAGGCTGAAGGGGGCGGATCACTTGAGACCAGGAGTTCGATGCCAGCCTGGCCAATATGTGAAACTCCATCTCTACTAATAATACAAAAATTAGCCAGGTGTGGTGGCATCTGCTTGTAGTCCCAGCTACTCAGGAGGCTGAGGCACAAGAATCATTTGAGCTCAGGAGGCAGAGGTTGCAGTGAGCTGAGATGGCACCACTGCACTCCAGCCTGGGTGACAGAGGGAGGCTCTGTCTGAAAACAGAAAAAAAAAAAAAAAAAAAAAAAAGCAGCAAAGTTAACACTTCCTCCATCTCTCCCCTAGGGGAGGCAATTTGTCAAAGATCGTTGTTGGATTTTACACACAGGGAAATCTAATGAAGGTGTGGAAACCAGACCAGGACTCCAGACTCTGGTCTCCCTGTTTACAGGGTCTTAAATGGGGAGCCACTTGGGGTTCTTTCCACAAGATTGCTTTGTAAAAAAACCAAGAAACAAACAAACAAAAAACTCAAAAAAACAGCCCTGACCTAAATATTCACAAGGGACCTTAGGCAATATCTGCAAACAAAAGTGAGTGATGAGTGGAATCTGTCATCTTTACAACTAAGACAGCTCCAGAGTTGAAGCAAGTGGAAATATCTCTAGAGACAGAGATTTGGGCAGGTTTTGCCAGTTACAATCTACGAGAACCTGGGCAGGTTTACCTCTCTGAGCTTCTGTGACCTTGTAAAATAGGCTGCATTGCGCTAAATGTGCAGGAGGAATCCCAGCATCCTCCTGTGCACAAGGCTGGTTTCTTCCCATCCTTTTCCTTGTTCTGCCTCTCTCCTCCTCTCCAAGAGATGAATACATTTGAACCCAGTAGGGGCCTATGTTTGCAAAAGCTTGCAGGTGATTCTCATGCTGCCAGTCTGGCTCTGGCGCTGAGTTCTTGGACACTTTTGGAGGCACATTTACTAGTGAGGAAGGTCACTGTGTGCTGAAGGCATGATTCATCTTCCATTCCTTTCTTCCATGAAGCAAGGTGCATGGGTCGACTGAGCTGGGAGAGTCCACAGTGTCAGCCTCCCCCACACTTCCCCCCCTCCTTATTCCTTGTGTGCTATACTTTGTCTTGATTTCCTGTACTCTGCACCAAGCCAGGAGATGGTAAGATCTCAAAAAAATCATTTTTTTGGGAAATGGGATCAAGAGGGTTTTTGTTTGCTTGTTTGTTTGTTTGAGACAGGTTCTGTCACCCAGGCTGGAGTGCAGTGGCATGACCTTGGCTCACTGCAGCCTTGACCTTCTGGGCTCAGGTGATCCTCCCACCTCAGCCTCCTGAGTAGCTGGGACTGCAGGTGCACACCACCATGCCTGACTAATTTGTCTATTTTTTGTAGAGATGAGGTTTCACCAGGTTGCCTAGGCTGGTCTCAAACTCCTGGGCTCAAGCAGTCCTCCATCCACCTCGGCCTCCCAAAGTGCCAGAATTACAGGCATGAGCTGCTGTGCCTGGCCAAGGTTTTTATTATTATTATTATTATGAAAAATTTTCAATATACATAAAAGTAGAGAGACTAGTTTAATAAGCTATCATATACCCATCACATAGGTTTAAAAACGATTAACGTTTGCAATATTGACTCCATTTGTTTTTCTGAAGTATTTAAAAAATAGTTTACAGTAGTTATGTAATTGCATCCTGATATTCACCCCTACATAATTTACTTTCCCTCTAAAAACATGAGGGCATTTTTTATATGATCATTGTCATACCTAATCAAATTACCAGTAATTCCTTAATATCCTCTAAGGTCAAGTTTACATTCAGATGTCTTGTCCTCAAAATGTCAATTCTGATTTTTTTTTCTTTGAGCAAAGATAATAAGATCTCAAGATTTAATGACAGAGATTCCATGTTAGCCCTGATGTCTAAGCTCTGTGGTCCATTGTGGCTGTACTTGAAAGTCTCAGGCTAGGCGTGGTGGCTCACACCTGTAATCCCAGTACTTTGGGAAGCCAAGGTAGGTGGATCATGAGGTCAAGAGATCAAGACCATCCTGACCAACATGGTGAAACCCTGTCTCTATTAAAAATACAAAAATTAGCCAGGCGTGGTGGCAGGCGCCTATAGTCGCAGCTACTCGGGAGGCTGAGGCATGAGAATTGCTTGAACCCGGGAGGCGGAAGTTGCAGTGAGCTGAGATTGTACCACTGCAAGCCAGCCTGGGTGGCAAGAACGAGACTCTGGAAAAAAAAAAAAGAGTCTCACTGTGGTCTCATAATAAAAGGACACTCCATTTCCCATCTGGCCCCTGCTCCTTAATGTTAGCCCCCTCCTGTGGGGAGGAGGGGGTGACCTTCAGTGCAGGTTCAAGCATTCCCAGGGCTGGTTCTGTTCCCGATAAAACCTATCGTCACGAATGAATGCTTCCCTTGCAGGTTATTCTAAGTATTGTAAATAGTGGACGTGGAGCATCCTCATGATGACTGGGATGGCAGTGAATATTTATAGGTTTCTTTTAGTGCCTTTTTTTAGTGTTTTCCATAGTTCCATGTTTCTACAACCCATAGGAACATCAGAATCATGTGTGTGTGTGGATGCTTATTAAATACACCAATTCCTGGAGCTCACTCCCAGTGACTCCCAGTCTGATGATTAGGGTCTCAGCTAGGACCTATGTTTGCAAAAGCTCCCAGCTGATCTCATGCAGCCAGCCTGGCTCTGGCTCTGGCTCTGGCTCTGGCTCTGGGAGCTGGATTGGGAACTAGTCTTTGGTGCTATTCTCCTGAAACTTCAAGTTGGGCTCTTTGACTCCGTCTTGTATTGTCACCACTTGTATTCAGGTCTGTTCTTCCCCTGGATTGTAAACTCCTTGATGTCGGGGTCATCTCAGCTCATGAGCTGAGCTTTCAGTGGGTGCTCAGTGGAACAGGTGCTGAATGGAGTCAGGCTGTAGGGAGGCCAGCGTGTGTTGGTAAGTGAGAGACAAAATCATTTTAAAAAGAATCTTTTTGCCCTTCAGTTGTGTTCGCCATGAGTTAATGTGATTTACTCTAGTGGAAGCCAGTGCAGCTAAAGTGGAGGTCTTGCCCTGAAATGGAGCCAGGTTATGGATCAGCAGAGCTGCCAAAAGCATTTTGGGGGAAATGTTTCTGTGTCACCCTCAGTTGATTGAACTCAAGTTTTCACTCCCGTTTAACACCACGTGGGGGCCATTCTGACTTCTGCAGAGTGGGTATGATCAGATCTTCTGTAAAAGTGTGAGTGAGGAGGCTGGGCACGGTGGCTCACATCTTAGCACTTGGGAGGCTGAGGTGGTCAGATCACTTGAGGCCAGGAGTTTGAGACCAGCCTGGCCAACGTGGTGAAACCCTGTCTGTACTAAAAATACAAAAATTAGCCAGGCATGATGGCGCATGCCTGTAATCCCAGCTACTCAGGAGGCTGAGGCAGGAGAATCGCTTGAACCTGGGAGGTGGAGGTTGCAGTGAGCTGAGGTTGCACCACTGCACTGCACTCCAGCCTGGGTGACAGAGCGTGACTCTGTCTCAAAAAAAAAAAAAGTGTATGTGAGGAAACTGGGATAGAGCTTGGGGATGTTGGGGGATGGAGGTACTTCATCTACTGAACAAAAACCATGGGATACCAATGCTGGAGGAAGAAGCATCATCCTCAGTTTCTACTAACTCAACAATGCATGAGATGGGGACTTGGTGTCCAAGAGAAGAGCCTGTTTTTAGGTCTTCAGCCTTGATCAAACCATTTCTGTATTTCTCATACACATATAATCAGGTGCTATGAGTGGTACTGATCGGATAATCTTTCTGTCGTTTCCTGTGCTAGGAAGGAAAATAAATGTACAGCCAACTTCCTTGAGGGTTTGTTCTTTTGCATCAGGGTGTCTCAAACTCCTGCCCTTAAAACACCTGTAAGAGAATCATCCAGGCAGCTTGCTCGCTCTGCATGCAGACCCTTTAGAATCAAAGTCAGAATCCCTGGGGCTGGAGCCACAAAATGAAATGACATTTCAACAAGTTTGTCATCATGTAAGAGAGAATGGGTGAGTATTTGGATACCTATAATACAAAGTAGATTCAAAAAGAATGACTTGATTATTTTAAATGCTGTGTTTTAAAAAATTTAATACAGAAAAGGCTGGGCACGGTGGCTCACTCCTGTAATCCTAGCACTTTGGGAGCCCAAGGTGGGTGGATCATTTGAAGTCAGGAGTTCAAGACCAGCCTGGCCAACAAGGTGAAACCCCATCTCTACTAAAAATATAAAAATTAGCCAGGGGGTAGTGGTACGTGCCTGTAATCCCAGCTACAGGGGAGGCTGAGGCAGGAGAATCACTTAAGCCTGGGAGGCAGAGGTTTGGTGAGCTGAGATCATGCCACTGCACTCCAATGTTGGTGACAATTGTTTAAGCACCTCCAAAATGGGTTCTGAGTCCAAATATTAATATGAAGAACATTGGTGACATTGTCTCAAAAAAATTAATGAATACAGAAAAGTACAAAAAGGGAGAGAAATCACCCTAAATCTCACAACCCCAAGAAATAAACCTCCTAATATTAAGTGAACAGCATTCCTTGCTATGCACAAAGATGGCTAGAGACATGAACAGACACTTCTGATCACACAAAATGAGATTTTAAAAACAAGAAGTAGCAAATTGAATGCTATGTAAATTCATCAGAAGAAAAAGAAATAGAAGTGAAACTGAAGGAACTGGTCAACTCAGATAAGCGTAGTTTTTCCTCACTAAAAATCAGTTTCTAGAACATCTAAGAAATCAAAGATGATGAAAAATATTAAGATGTTTTCTATATATGTAGAAGTCTTTACAGTTGACTGATCATCTCATGAAAAAATTGTACAGTCACTGAAAATAAAGTCATTGCAAAATCTTTACTCCTTTTGCTTTTTGCCAGCACTGACATTGGCCTTTGCAGTCTCTTGACTTCATTCTGCCCTTGCATTCCTTTGCTGTTTTCTTGAGGTCATCTTCTTCTCATGCTAGCCGTGTCTTGCAAGTCTATGTTTGATTTCATTGTTCTTTGCATAATTCAAAGAACCAGATAGCATGCCAAAGCCCATTGTTTAACCACCACCAGAATGGGTTCTGAGTCCAACTATTAATATGAAGATGACATCCATTGTGGTCTTGTACATTTTGTTGCCTTTCCGGGGTGAAGGACATTGGTGACCATGTGTTTCCTCTGGAGTGGTCGATTGGTCATGAACTTCCTGGTCCAGATAGTTACTGTGTCATTCATCATGGTGGTTGATCCTCAGGTAGTTAGGGAGGAAAATAAACAAGAAGTTATATATTTAAAACCACGTTTCAATTTTAGACCTGATTAATTGATTTAATAAAGGGCATTAGCACTTCTGCTTCCTACAGTCACTCCCTTTACCTCTGGAAACTAGTTATTTCTAGGTTGTTTTATGTTGTTAAGGTTGACCACCTTTTCTTTCTGTTCTGCAATCATAGTCCTATTTTTAAATGGATTCACCTCTCATCACTAGCCTTTTGTCATGGTCATTCAATTCACAAGTTGCTTATTTTTTAATTTCTTGGCTGACTAAATTTTATTATGAAGACTTTTTTTTTTAAAGAGCTCAGAAATACTGTATTCTTTAAGTTCTTGAACACGCGATAGTGTCTTTTGCCTATTTTGATTGGGAAATAATTTAGCTGGCTATAAAATTCTTGGATTATACTCTATTTCCCTTAGAAATTATAGGCACCCATCCACAGGCATTTCATTGTGCTTTCTTTTTTTTTTTGGAGATGGAGTCTTGCTCCGTCACCCAGGCTTGAGTGCAATGGTGCGATCTCGGCTCACTGCAAGCTCTGCCTCCAGGGTTCACATTATTCTTCTGCCTCAGCCTCCCGAGTAGCAGGGACTACAGGTGCCCGCCTCCATGCCTGGCTAACTTTTTTGTATTTTTAGTAGAGACGGGGTTTCACCGTGTTATCAAGGATGGTCTCGATCTCCTGACCTCGTGATCCGCTGGCCTTGGCCTCTCAAAATGCTGGGATTACAGGTGTGAGCCACTGTATGAGCCCAGCCTCATTGTGCTTTGTACTAACCCCCTTTCCCTGGCCTCTTCCAGCTTGTCTTCTTCTCTCCCAGTAGTTTCTTCATGAAGAGGCCATGTGCTATATTCCATGAGATATTTCACACTCAAAGAAGACTTCTTTTATACTCTTTTGATAATTTGTCTGGGAATCACTGTCTTGATTTATAAGGGAGTTTGTAATAAATACAGTAAAAGAGAAACACGCAACGTATTTTGAGACATCAGAGAAGGGAGAAACCAATTCTATTAATATTTGGGGTTAGCAGGGAAGGCTTAGTTAAGAGGTAACATTTGAACTAAGCCTTGAAATAAGGGAAGGATTTGGCCATGCAGTAATGGCGAGAGAGTAGAAGCAAGACATGATGGTTAGTGTTATGTATGAATTTGACTGGGTTGTGGGGTGCCCAGATATTTGGCTACACATTATTCTGGGTGTGTCTCTGAGGTATTCTGGATGAGGATAACATTTAATTGGTAGACTCAATAAAGCAGATTGTCCTCCCCAATGTGGGTGAGCCTCATCCAATCCACTGAAGGCCTGAACAAAACAAAAAGGTAGAGACACAGAGAATTTGCTCTTTTTACCTGATTATATTTGAGCTGGGACATCAATCTTGTCCTGACTTTAGATGTGGACTTGAGTTGGAACTATATCATTGGCTGTCCTGGGTCCCCAGCTTGCTGGCTGCAGACTCCAGGACTCCTTAGCCTCCATAACCATGTGAGCCATCCCTTACAACTAATCAATCTGTCTCTGTCTATGTGTATAGCTCTACCTCTATCTCTCTGCTCTTTCTCTGGATAACCTAGAATAATACACAAGGTTGTATTAGAGAAGAGGATGACCCAAGGGAAAGCATGGAGGCAGAAAAATGCAAAGAGGGTTTGGGAAGACTGGGGTCCTGATGGGGAGTTTGGATTTCACTGTGTGTAGCATGGAGAATCCTTGAAAATATTCAAGAGGTGAAAATTGTATTTGTGGAAGAACACCAAGAGTATGTAAAAAGAAAAACACTCACTCCATTTTAACTCCACTGAAGGGGGCATCAAAGGGATGCACTGGGGACATGGGTTGGAGGGTAGTTGAGGCCGTATCTGGAGGATCTTTACTTCTAGGCTGAGTCTGAAGTTATCTTTCTGGGGAGTGGGAGAGTACAAATCTTTGAGCTCCACTCAAGAGATGGTTTTGCTAACAATGGCAGGGCGACGGTGGTGGTGGTGGTCGTGGTGGGAAACTGGTAGCATGAATTCTAATTGGGCTTCTGTTATTGTAGCCGAGAAAGTTGGGGAATGGACTTTCAGTAGAATAATACAGACCTGGGAATCAACTGCATGGAGGAGGTAGTTATAGGTGATGAGATGGCTCAGGGACAAAGTTTGGTAGAAGGAGAAAAGATACTAGGCCGGTACAAAAATAATTGCTGTTTTTGCCATTACTTTCAATGGCAAAATCCGCAATTACTTTTGCACCAACCTAATAGGATGCAAACTTCGGAGCCCTCTGCATCAGAGGGATTGATGAAGATCAGCAAAGTTTGGGAACACAGGAAAGGAGCGGGGAGGGTAATGACTTGAGGGCATAGCAGGGATAATCAAGGTTTTTCTTGTTAGCATGTGGAGACTTAAGCATGATTATATGTTAAACGCCTGGCACATACATGGTGCAAAATATTTATGAGTGAAATGACAAGTGAAGGTGGTGAGTCATGGGAGTTCCAAGGGAAGGGGTGATAAAGGGAGGTCTCAAATGAGGCACAAGTGGAGAAGGCAGCTTTGGAAAGGAGAAGGATGCTTCTCCTTATAAGATGGGAAAGGCAGAGGAAGAGGGTCAAGGTACAGTGATCTAGGGGTGAAATAGAAGTGAGTTGAGAGAACTCAACTCTGGGCTCTGAAACCCCTAGGGATGGGTTTGGGGGGCTTTGGGATATGGAAGAGGTTTAAAGTTAATTGTTATAGCAAATATGGTTTGGAATTTATTTGTGATGCTTAAAAATATTGCTGAACAGAAGTGAAGTCTACCCTAGAGTTGGATGGTGAGATTATTTAGTGGAACTACCAGATCCATGATGTGATTCTTTCCAGTATCATTCAGCAGCCCTTGGGCAATTGCGAGGCAAGTCATCAATGGGGTATGGAGATTTTCCAGGTGGGTGTGGTTGGAGGCAGGGAAGAACGAGTTTAGGAGCACATTACAAGAAGAAGGTGACTGTAAGGTCCAGGCTGAGCAGGAAGGTAAAGCAAGAAGGAAACAGGAGGTTGTGAAGAGAAGTTTAGAGGGATGAGGAGGCAGGAGAGGTGAACAGTTGCAGGATGTAGCTAGAGTGGCGATGTTAGATCTTGGGGCCAGAGAGCTTTACAATGATTATGAAGATCAAAGGGCATTAGAATCAAGCTATAAAGAGCCACTGTTTGATGTTGGGATGTGAGGATGCTGCAGGTGGATGTCTGCACATTGATGGTGAGAGTATGGTCACCCTGGCCCTGCTGGGTCTTTGCTAAAGAGACTGTGCTCTGTTCTTGGGGCCGTTTTCATCACCTGATTAGAGCAGTGGTCCCCAAATGGTGTTCTTTGGACCATCTGTATAAAATGTTCATAGGTCAAGGATAAAATGGAAAAACAGAGAAAATGTCACAGAAATGTGCCCATTGGTGAAAGACCACCAGCTGTCCTTTTTGGAGGATTGTTCTTTATTCTAAAAATGTATATATTCTATTCTATTAAAACATTTTTGTATTTGCATTTTTTTCTCTTTTATGAAATGCCATAGGGTAGAAATTTGTAATGTATCCAGTTCTCCTGTCTTCATGCATTGCCCTGTGGTGGGGGAGGGGATGTGTCTAGTACTGGCCAAAAGGCTGGGGGCAGAGGTGCAGTGTGAGACTTCTAGCCTGGAGCGTTTAATTCTTAGTACAAGGATCTCTAGCATTCTTCTCCTGCTGTTCCTTGCTTGGTGATACTCGAGGTAATGCGGCCCCCATTAGCCTTAGTCTTAGGGCAAGTTTGATGGAAAACAGAGCAACCCACACCTCCCTGCAGATGTAGCATGAGTGAGAAAAACAACTACTGATGTTTGAAGTTACCAAGATTTAGGAGTTGTTTGTTATTGCAGCAAAACCTCACCTATTCTGACCAATCATGGTTGAATTTCTGTGTGTGTGTGTGTGTGTGTGTGTGTGTGTGTGTGTGTGTGTGTGTGTGTGAAACTGGTAGTTTAAAAAAGTTCCTTCTTACCAAAAAGAAAAAAAAAGTAGCAACCTTATGTTGGTTCTCCAATTAATAAAATATTTTTACTGGTTTATAAAATAGAAAAATCTGAGAATCTGTAGCTTACAGAACAACAGTGTGGGATGTCTATAAAGATCAGGTTATTTTATCAGCTCCTAACACCCCTTAATAGAAGCTTAGCCAAGACTTGGACTATTTCAGTCTTTCCCATTCCACATTCCATGGACTCTTGAAGAGACATTGATGAAATGATGCAGCCATGAATCACCCTCACTCAATCATAGTGGCAGAATCCCCCTTTTACTGCAGAATGAGCTTCTTGCTACAGTGATACTTGAACCCCTTAGATATATCCTGTACTAATTATATTAAAACACGACCAATGCTTTTGCTTTGTTGTCCCCCAAATTAAACACCTTAATCATGAGAACCCAGAGAATTGGATTTAGTGTGACTGATTCCAAACTGTCAGTAAGAACACAATTAGGTTATATTTTTCTCCAGTTCAAATAAAAGAAAACTGACAATAAAATGCTGATCAATATGTGTAGCTCAGGAAGTAGAGCCTGCTTTGAGATGCAGAAGTGTTTGTTTTTTTTAGATCTATATTCTTGAGTAAAGAAAAAATCCATCTCTCTTTCCTAGAGGGGAAGACTTTCAAAGCTGGGCTTGGCAACAGCCTATCAGAGGCTGAATTAAACAAATAGGTACCTCCCTTGAGTGAATGGTGCGTTTCTCCTGTTCGGGGAACCGTGCTTTTATGGTGGAGTTTGCTTTCTGTCTTGGTCTCCGGATGTGGGTATCTGTGGGTGGATGTCTGCATGTAAACGGCAGTGTATACCTGTGTGGGTGTGTACAAAATTCCCATGTGAATCTCAGCTTTGTGGGGATCTCCGGGTCTTGAGCCCAGCAGATGCCAGTTGAAGAAAAATCACTTGAAAATGAGACAGAAAGAATGGAAACTAAATCCTAGCTCTAAAGGCACCAGGCTGATTAAAAACAAAACTCTGGATCTTCTTTGTTTTGGACTCTACCTACCTCCAAATGACACTTCTGTTTCCTATGAAATGATTAGAATGACAGAGATCCTGAGCACGAAAGAGCAGATACTGTGTGATTCTGTGTATGTCAGGGTGTCAGCTGTGACGCTGCTGACATTTCGGCTCAGCAATTTCTCTGTTGTATGTGTGGGGGTTCCCTGTGCATTTTAGGATCCCTGGATCCCTGGACTCACTGGATGCAGTAACACAACTCCCCCCAAGTACAGACAACCCCCAGTGTCTCCAGATATTGCCTAATGTCCCCAGGGGGCAAAATAGCCCCATCTGAGAACTGCTGCTTTCATAAAGTACAATGTCAGGTGAAATAAGTGGAGGCTGTTTGTAGTCAGGGGTTAGTAGAAATGGAATAGACCCCAGGAATATCCTGGAAGGGGCTGTAATGTTCTGTTTCTTGAATTGGGTGTTGGTAATATGGAGATGTTCAGTTTCTTTTTTTTTTTTTTTTGGCAGGATCTTACTCTGTCACTCAGGCTGGAGCACAGTGGCACCGTCATGGCTCACTGCAGCCTCTGCCTCCTGGGCTCAAGCAGCCCTCCCACCTCAGCCCTCCTGAGTAGCTGGAACTACAGGCATGTGCCATCACTGTTGCCTAATTTTTGTATTTATTTATTTTTTGTAGAGAAGGGGGTCTCACTATGTTGCCCAGGCTGGTCTCGAGCTCCTGGGCTCAAGCAATCTGCTCACCTCGGCCTCCCAAAGTGCTGGGATGGCAGGCATGAGCCACTGCGCCTGGCCAGTATGTTCAGTTTGTAAGAAAAGTACTGTGTTGACCTCTTCTATGTGCACATTTCTTTAAGTAGTAATTCAATAAAGCATTTAGAAAAATTGGTCATAATAGGAGTGATTTGTAGAGTGATTGGCATGAAAGCTGATCACCTTAATTTGAAATACTCTGAAATGAGCACCAGGGGCCACCAAGAGGAACGTTTCAAGGTGTCATAGCCAAGGACAGGAGTGTGTTGTGTACATCTCTGCATAAAGGATTTGCTGGGTACATGGAAGGATGAAGCCTCCTTCTGAGGACACAGGCAGCAAGGCAAGTGGAAGCCCAAAGCATTGAGCTTTCTAAATGGACTTTGCTAAAATCTTGTGGATGACTCATGCTCTTAACATACACCCATGTACATACTGTCCACATAAACATTAATTCTATAACAAGGCCCACACATAAGGGTATTTTTTTCTTTTGAGACAGTCTTGCTTTATTGCCCAGGCTAGAGTACAGTGGCATAATCGTGACTTACTGCAACCTCCACCTCCTGGGTTCAAGCAATGCTTGTGCCTCAGCCCCCCGAGTAGCTGGGAGTACAGGTGCACACCACCATGCCTGGCTAATTTTTGCATTTTTAGTAGAGACAGGGTTTCACCATGTTGGCCAGGCTGGTCTCAAACTCCTGGCCTCTAGTGATCTGCCCACCTCAGCCTCCTAAAGTGTTGGGATTACAGGTGTGAGCCACTGTGTCTGGGCCCACACGTAAGGTTTGAGTTGAGATAGAGAAACTCTGGCAGGACTGAGGAATTTGGCCACAGTCTCTGGGAAATATGCACAATTTCTGGAATCTTCTCTACTTCCAGAGTTCCCACTTTCTATCTGTCTCTTATTTATTCAAAAAACTTGTATGGAACCGCAGTGGGTCTAGAACTTGCCAGGCGTGGAGGATAAAAGATGACTGAGGTTGAGCATGGTGGCTCATGCCTGTAATCCCAGCACTTTGGGAGGCCAAGGCAGGCTGATCACTTGAGGCCAGGAGTTTGAGCACAGGCTGGCCAACATGATGAAACGTCTCTACTAAAAATACAAAAATTAGCCAGGCATGGTGGCACGCACATGTAGCCCCAGCTACTTGGGAAGCTGAGGCAGGAGAATCGCTTGAACCCAGGAGGCAGATGTTGCAGTGAGCTGAGATCACACCGCTGCATTCCAGCCTGGGAGACAGAGCGAGATTCCATGTCAAAAAAAAAGATGACTGAGATACAGACTCCATCAGAGTTGACTCTAACACAAATTTGATAAGAGCCCAAGGTCTGGCTGGGCAAGCACCTTGATCGGCTTCATCCTGCAGCCTCTACTAGAATGAAGAGCACTTTTTTCTTTACTCATGAAAATGTTTTGTGCTTCGTACCTACAAGTACAATGTGTGTTAATTCTGCAAAATTTGCCGCATAACTCTGCCTGTATTCTTAGCATTTTTCCTTTGAGAGATTTCTCAACACATCATCTTTGGACTATTGGAATTGGAAATTTACTTAGAGTCAAAAACAAGTACAGGAAAGTCAGTTCTTAGTCAAGAGTTAGGTTTTCAAAGACAGTGGATAAAATAAAAAATCTAGTACAGTCAAGATTATACATGCAAATCCCCTCATCATTCATAAAGTTTAACAGTCAGTCTTACCGTGGCTCACCAGGTCCAATCCATACTTCTTCCTCCACGATTGGAGCAGAGGGTGATTTTTTTTATGAGCAACTGATGAAGTCATTTAGAGACCATTTGTGGTAGGAGCCCTGTGTACTAGAGACCAATCAATGTGCCCTCATGGCACCATTTCTGCCTCTCTCCCTCTTTGTTCTTGCTAAGTACCCATAGTTCAATTTCCGTAGATTAAAAGAGCCCATGTTGGGCCTATACCTAGGAGTACAATTACTGGGTCATTTGGTAACTCTGTGTAGAATTGTTTGGGAAGTTGTTAAAGTGTTTCTCACAGTGGCTGCACCATTTTAATTCCTACCAGCAGTGTATGAAAGTTCTAGTTTCTCTGCATCCTCACCAACACTTGTTATTTTCTGTATTTTTTTTTTTTTTGAGACAAAGTCTTGCTCTGTCGCCCAGGCAGGAGTGCAGTGGCACAATCTCAGCTCACTGCAACCTCTGCCTCCCAGATTCAAGTTACTCTCCTGCCTCAGCCTCCCGAGTAGCTGGTATTATAGTCACCTGCCACCATGCTTGGCTAATTTTTGTATTTTTTTAGTAGAGACAGGGTTTCACCATGTTGGCCAGGCTGGTCTCAAACTCCTGGCCTCAGGTGATCCACCTGCCTCAGTCTCCCAAAGTGCTGGGATTACAGGCATTAGCCACCACACCAGGCCAATTTTCTGTATCTTCGATTCTAGCCATCCTTATGGCTATGAAGTGGTATCACATTGTGGTTTTGATTTCTGTTTCCCTGATGATGAATTTCATTGAGCATCTTTTCATGTGCCTATTGGCCACTTGTATGTCTTCCTTGGAGATGTGCCATATTTTCATATTCAAAAATGAAAGCACAGGTCCACACAAAAACTTGTGCATGAATAATTACAATAGCATCACTCCTAAAAACCCACAGAGGGAATTAATCCAAATGCCCATCACCAGATGAAGAGATATACCGATCGTTGTCTACCCACATGGTGGAATATTATTTGATCAAAAAGGGAGGAAAGTACATACGCTACAGCGTGGATGAACCTTCAAAACAGATGAAAGATCACATTCTACATGATTTCATTCAGATGGAAATCCATAGAAATAGGAAGTCGATTAGTGGTTGCTTAGGGCTGGTAGGGGCATGGGAGGATAGGGGGTGTTAGCTAAAGGGTATGAGGTTTCTTTTTGAGGTCATGAAATGTTCTAAAATTGACTGGTAATGTTTGCGTATATCTCTGAATATATTAAAAACCATTGAAATGTAAAAAATGCAAAGAAAAAACAGCCCAAGTTGCAATTTTTTTCAACACTTGATTGGCTTTAAAAATGGATCCAGGCTGGGCATGGTGGCTCACACCTGAAATCCCAGTGCTTTGGGAGGCTGTGGTGGGAGGATTGCTTGAGGCCAGGAGTTCCAGGCCAGCCTTGGCAACATGGCAAGGCCCTGTCTGTACAAAAAAAGAAAAAATAAATATCAGCTAGGTGCAGTGGCTCACACCTGTAATCCCAGCACTTTGGGAGGCTGAGGCGGGCAGATCACCTGACATCAGTTCAAGACCAGCTTGGCCAACATGGTGAAACCCCTTCTCTACCAAAAATATAAAATTTAGCCTTTTGGTACTCTAAGCAGCACCATGGCTGTTGTTAAGAACAAGTGCCTTATGAAAGGTGGCAAAAAGGGAGTTAAGAAGAAAGTAGTTGATCCATTCTCTAAGAAAGATCAGTATGATGTGAAAGCACCTGCTATGTTCAATATAAGAAATATTGGAAAGACTTGGTCACCAGGACCCAAGGAACCCAAATTGCGTCTGATGGTCTCAAGGGTCTTGTGTTTGAAATGAGTCTTGCTGATTTGCGGAATGATGAAGTTGCATTTAGAAAATTCAAGCTGATTACTGAAGATGTTCAGGGCAAACACTGCCTGACTAACTTCTATGGCATGGGTCTTACCTGTGACAAAATATGTTCCAAGGTTGAAAAATGTTCAACAATGATTGACGCTCATGTTGATGTCAAGACTACCGATGGTTACTTCTTTCTTCTGTTTTGTGTTGGTTTTACTAAAAAACACAACAATCTGATACTGAAGACCTCTTATGCTCAGCACCAACAGTCTGCCAAATCCAGAAGAAGATGATGGAAATCATGACCTGAGAGGTGCAGACAAATGACTTGAAATAAGTGGTTAATAAATTGATTCCAGACAACATTGGAAAAGATGTAGAAAAGTCTTGCCAATTTATCCTCTCCATGATGTCTTCATTAGAAAAGTAAAAGTGCTGGAGAACCCTGGGTTTGAAAAGCATGGAGCTTCGTGGTGAAGGTAGTAGTTCTTGAAAACCCACTAGGGATGAGACGCATGCTAAAGTTGAATGAGCTGATGGATATGAACCACCAATCCAAGAATCTGTTTAAAGTTCAGACTTAAAACATTGGCAAATAAGAAGTCCTATTTGTGAAAAACAAACAAGAAACAACAATGAAAAAAGCAAAATTAGCCTGGTGTGGTGGTGCACGCCTGTAATCCTAGCTACTCAGGAGGCTGAGGCACGAGAATCACTTGAACCCAGGAGACAGAGGTTGCAGTGAGCCAAGATTGCACTATTGCACTCCAGCCTGTGCAACAGAGTGAGACTCTCTCCAAAAAGAAAGAGGAAAAAAAAAGTATCCAGGCTTGGTGGCATGCGCCTGTAGTCTCAGCTACTCTGAAGGCTGAGGTGGGAGGATAGCTTGAGGCCAGGAGTAATTTGAGGCTGCAGTGAACTATGATTGTGACACTGCACTCCAGCCTGGACTGCAGAGCAAGACCCTGTCTCTTATACATACATACATACATACATGCATGCATACATACATACACACACGCGCACATACATACATACCCAGGCTCTACCTCTGGTGATTCTGACTCAGTAGGGTGGGGTATCCCCTAGGGATCTTGCTGTTCAGCCTGGTCTGGGATCCACTTTTCATTGGGAACTGAGACACTGGCTGTGAGCCTTTCTGTCCTGTGATGTAGAGGTCATGGCGACGCAGGTTCAAGCTTAAGGAGACCTGACTGTGCGTTAGGTATTGTGCTGAACATCATCTTTTACTCTCACAGCAACATCCTTAGAAGGTTAATGATGTGTCCCCGCTCTACAGATGAGGAACTGAGCCTTCAGAGGAGTTTAGCTTGTTCAAAACTGATTCTTCCTATTGGAAACTTTGTACCCTTTGACCAGTGTCTCCTATCCCCTACCTTTCCTCCACCCCAGCCCCTGATAACCACTGTCCTACTCTCTATTTCTGTGAGTTCAACTTCTTTAGATTCCACGTATAAGTAAAATCATGCAGTATTTGTCTTTCTGTGCCTGGCTTATTTCACTTAACACAATGTCTTTCAAGTTCATCTATGTTGTTGAAAATGACAGGATTTCTTTCTTTTTTAAGGGTTAATAGTATTCCGTTGTGTGTATGTAGTACATTTTCTTTATCCTTTCATCCACTGATGGACACTTAGGTAGATTCTGTATCATGGGTATTGTGAATAGTGCTACAGTGAACATAGGAACGTAGGGATCCCTTCGACATATTGATTTCGATTTTTTTTGGTCTATATCCAGAAGTTGGGTGGCTGGATTATATGCTTTGAAATCTATAGCACAGCAGCGTGACTATAGTCAATAATAATGTATCTTTCAAAATAACTAAGAGGGTACATTTCAAATGTCTCATCATAAAAATTGTCAGTAAATTAGGGGATGGACATGTTAATTAGTTTGATCTAATCATCCCACATTGTATACACATATCAAAACATCACATGAATGTGTACAATTATGATTTGTCAATTAAAAAAACGTTAAAAAAATAAGTAACTTGTTCGAAGCCCCAGTTGGGATAGATGGAGCTGGGACATGC
Source organism: Homo sapiens (assembly GCF_000001405.40). Lineage (NCBI taxonomy): Eukaryota > Metazoa > Chordata > Mammalia > Primates > Hominidae > Homo > Homo sapiens. The sequence goes on along the minus strand of NC_000011.10, from coordinate 3,548,250 downwards.
ACCAAGGCTGTTGCTCTCAGGCCCTCAGAGTCCTTGGTCCACGAATGTTGAAGCCCTACCTGAGATTTCTACTGAGATCAGTGTAGGGATTCAATGTCTCAGAATCATCCCATCCTCCAGGGCCCACAAGTCCATGACCGCTGCCTCTACCCCCGACCCTACTGCCCTGAAATGTGGCCCCTGCTTTCGTTTCCGGGAGCATACAACACTTACACCAAGCATTGATGGGTTTTGTTGAGTTCCTTTGAGATGTGGGGCCATGGAGAGGGTCCCATGATCCTTGCTTAGTGTTGGCCAACTCATTGACTTCTCTCCTTTGACATCACCCTTCCCTTTTCTACTCACCTCCTCTGTCATGGATTGCTCTGGGAATTCTGAGCCCTGGTTCCTTTATTTTGCAGATAACCTTCACTCTTCTCTGCAACGAATCCCAAAAGTATGTAGTTGAGCTGACTGCAAGGTGCTTGAGAGGCAAGAGACTCCACAAATGGGATTCGGCCTCTGGAAAGTGGTGGTAGTTCCAGATTTATGTGGATGTTACTTTGTTTTTCCCTATAAAATCTATTCTTTAAACTATCAAGCTCTTGGCTCCTGGATGCAGTCCTTTGCTGGTGGCAGTGGGCTGGGTACTGCCACCGGGGAGAAATGCTGCCCACTTAGAGAAAGAGAAACTGATTCTCTTTAAGAGGCAGAGGGAGGTTTCCAGTGCCAGTTTGTTTAGAGGCAAAATGGCTGTTGTATTAAAATTGCCCAAACTTGGGCTGGTGCCTTGTGTGTTTAGAGCTCAAAGCCACGATTGTTTTCTTATTTTTTTATTTTATTTTATTTTTTGGTGGTTGGTTTTCCATCCTTTTGCTTGGCAGGTTTCTGCTAATAGCTTCAACCTCAAGAATCCCATTATACAGACACTAATAGCACCTACTCTGTGTCAGTCTGTAGTGCCTACTACGTGCCAGGCATTGGAGATAATACAATGATGAACAAGATAAACATGGCACTTGGAAAAGAGAATCTAGTTCCCACTCTCAGCCCACCCCAAAGAGAGGTCAGAAATGGGCTTCCAGAGATCTCAGATGCCCTTGCATCACCTCCCTGAAGAGGGCGGGTGAAGCTTTGGTGTCTGAAGAGAATTTGGCTGGACAATCCCCAAGTTTTGGAATGATGGGAAGGAGCCGCCATCTGTGTTTAAGGTGAGAAGTGGGGGAGTGGTTGGATATCAGAGGAAGCCAAGATGAAGAGAAGGTCTTTGTGAGTCCCTATGCATAGTGGAGACTCGTTCTAGTGAGGGTCCCTGGGGCTGAGCCTGTGGGTGAGTGGAATGACGCTGTGAGGAGGGTCTGGTTGTAGCAGGTGGCCCAAAAAAGGCTGATGGATCATGAGCAGCTGGAAGAATGGAGAGTTCGGGGGATGTAGTTGCTACCTGGCTTTCCAACAGCATGTAAGCCCAGAATTCTTACATAAGCCCATGGAGAAGGGAAAGGAATGCTGGTAACGACAAGATTGAATTCTCCACCTGCCAGGCATCCAGGGACTCAGAGCAGATTTAACTGAAGTTACAGAAACAGGAATGTGACATTTCCTACATCCGGGTGTGCTGGAGCAAATGTATTCCCTCTCTGGTTTGTGGGGAAGGAGAATTCTAAGAGACAAGACTCCAGGTTTTCGCTCTTAAACCTGGTGCCTAGAAATGCATTTTCTACTGGATGCAGACAGAAGCTCCATATAGACATATCCATCGCTGCATCTCTCATGCCTTGTGTTCTCCCTAATTTTCCCTTTTTAACCCACAGAGGAAGAAAGTTCCAGCATCACTTCTGGCCTCTCAAGAGTGAGTTAGGTGGCCAGGCGGGGTTATTCATGCCTGTAATCTCATAATGAAGGGGTGGCCTGCCCCTCCACACCTGTGGGTATTTCTAGTCAGGTGGGATGAGAGACAGAAAAGAAATAAGACACAGAGACAAAGTATAGAGAAACAACAGTGGGCCCAGGGGACCGGCGCTCAGCATACCAAGGACCTGCACTGGCACCGGTCTCTGAGTTCCCTCAGTTTTTATTGATTATTATCTTCATTATTTCAGCAAAAAGGAATGTAGTGGGAGGGCAGGGTGATAATAAGAAGGTCAGCAACGAACATGTGAGCAATAGAATCTATGTCATAATGAAGTTCAAGGGAAGGTACTGTGACTGGATGTGCACGTAAGCCAGATTTATGTTTCTCTCCACCCAAACATCTCAGTGGAGTAAAGAATAACAAGGCAGCATTGCTGCAAACATGTCTCACCTCCCACCATAGGGCAGTTTTTCTCCCATCTCAGAATTGAACAAATATACAATCGGGTTTTATACCGAGACATTCAGTTCCCAGTGGCAGGCAGGAGACAGTGGCCTTCCTCCATCTCAACTGCAAGCGGCTTTCCTCTTTCACTAATCCACCTCAGCACAGACCGTTTATGGGTGTCAGGCTGGGGGACCATCAGGTCTTTCTCATCCCACGAGGCCATATTTCAGACAATCACATGGGGAGAAACCTTGGACAATACGCCGCTTTCAAGGGCAGGGCTCCCTGCGGCTTTCCACGGTGCATTGTGCCCCTGGTTTATTGAGACTAGAGAATGGTGATGACTTTTACCAAGTATACTGCTTGCAAATATTTTGTTAACAAGGCACGTCCTGCACAGCCCTACATCCCTTAAACCTTGATTTCATACACACATGTTTTTGTGAGCTCCAGGTTGGGTCAAAGTGGTTGGGGCAAGGTGGCTGGGGCAAAGCTACAGATTAACAACATCTCAGCAAAGCAATTGTTGAAAGTACAGGTCTTTTTCAAAATGGAGTCTCTTATGTCTTCCCTTTCTATGTAGACACAGTAACAGTCTGCTCTCTCTTTCTTTTCCCTACATATCCCCCTTTTCGTTTTCACAAAACCACCACCATCATCATGGCCTCTTCTCGCTGGTGGCTGTCTCTCTGGAGCTGCTGGATACACCTGTAGACTAACAATAGAAAGGACAGACATACAAGGATTAATACAAAATTTGCAATAGTGGAGTTTCCGGTGGTTTTAACCCAAGTGACGGGGGCAAGAGGACGGTGTGGGTGCTGCGGCACCCGGGCAGTCTCCCACTTCCTTTGTGTCTTAGTTGCTGTTTCTCATCGTTTTCAGTCTTTCTCCTCACCTGCTCACTCGCACCTTTTATCTCTTTGTCTCCCTTCTCTTACGGTCTCTCTCTCTCTCTCTTACACTATCTCTCTCCCCAGTCTCACTTTCTGTGTCTCTCTCTGATCTCTGTCTCTTTTTCTTTCTCTTTCTCTCCCTGGCTCTCCACGTGTGCCGTTTTCTTGGTGGATGGTAACTTCATCTGTTCTTCTGATATCACCATTCTGTTCACCCTGCGAGTCGATGATGCTCGATTGCAGGTTTTCTGTCTCTGCGGAGGCACTTTCATTTGCATCTCTGATGGGTTCATTGTAGAACTTCAAATGTCTAGTGGGTATCCAAACAGGAAGCTGATTTTCTCCTGCTGAAACACAAGCAAAACCTCTCCCCCATGTTATCACCTTCCCTATTTCCCATGTTTTGTTTTTGTTGTCTTTCCACCAAATCCGTTTTCCCTCATGTGGGCTGTTCTTTTTACCAGTAAAATGTTCTGCAGAAGTAGTGGTCTGATTTCTATGTATGTTTAGAAAATTTAAAGTATAGAGTGTTAGACTAAGTTGCTTCTGGGGAGTGTTATACTCCTTACTGTCTTTTTCCTTTTTTTGTTTAACCAATTGAGTGTTTTAAGCAGGACAGGTAAGATCTGCGTCTGGCACAGTCAGCCAGGTCTCCTTACCCTGTGCTTCCCTTTCTGCCTGTGACTGAATGGGTATGTCAGGGTCTAGTAGGGGATCCAGGAGGAGGAAGCCTCATTAACTTCTATTCTGCAGCAATTGATGGCCACCCAACTTGAACAGTGGGGGCTTATCACCTCATGTACTAGGACCAGAGATAGCTGATGCCAAGGTTGGCTAAATTAGTAGCTTGAGATGCTAGGTTTTTCATTTGAGGTTTCTATGCTGCTATTGTCTTCTGCTCTTGGTCACAGAGGCTGCCACAATCTGCATGTCAAGTCCTCATGTGACAATATCCAGAGACAGCAAGGAAGAGGTACAGTGTATTCCTGCATGTTTCTTAAAAAAATGTTTTTTTATATAAAAAACACATTTCTACCATATATATATATATGGTGTATGTATATATATATATATATATATATATATATATACCATAGAATACTACTTAGTGTTAAAAAGGAATAAAATAATGGCATTCATAGCAACCTGGATGGAGTTGGAGACCATTATTCTAAATGAAGTAACTCAGGAATGGAAAACCAAACATTGCATGTTCTCACTCGTAAGTGGGAGCTAAGCTATGATGATGCAAAGGCACAAGAATGAAACAGTGGACTTTGGGGGCTCAGGGGGAAGGTGGGAGGGGGTGAGAGATAAAAGACTATACATTGGGTAAACTGCTTTGATGATGGGTACGCCAAAATGTCAGAGATCACCACTAAGGAACTTATCCATGTAACAAAATACCACCTGTTCCCTAAAAACTATTGAAATTAAATATATATATATATACAACAAATTGTTGTAGTCACTTTCTGTGATAATGAACACTAGATCTTATTCCTTCTATTATATATTTTTATACCCATTAATCAACTTCTTTTCAAACCCCTCCTATTCCCAGCCTCTGGTAACTATCATTCTACTCTTTATCTCCATGATATCAATTTTCTATAGCTCCAGGGCACACAAGTCCATAACTGCGGTCTCTATCCCTGACTCTACTGACCTGAAACATGGCCCCGCTTTGATTTCCAGGAGCATAAACTGCTCATATAAGTGAGAACATGCAATAGTTTTCTTTCTGTGCATGGCCTAGTTCACCTGACATTATGACCTTTAGTTCCATCCAGTTAGCTGAAAATGACAGGATTTCATTCTTCTTTATGGCTGAGTACTATTCTCTTGTGCGTATATTCCCATTTTCTTTATCCATTCATCCATTGATTGACACTTAGATTGATTCCGTATCTTGGCTATTGTAAATAGTGCTGCAGTAAATATGGGGGTACAGATATCCCGTTGATACACTGATATCCTTTTTTTTGGATATATACCCAGGAGTGGGATTGCTGGATCATATGGTAGATCTGTTCTTAGTTTTTTGAGAAATCTCTGTACTTTTTTTCATAATGGCTGTACTAATTTACATTCCCACCAACAATATACGATAATTTTCTTCTCTTCACATTCTTGCCAGCATTTGTTGTGCTTTGTCTTTTTAATAATAGCCATTCTAACAAGTGTGATGATATCTCATTGTGGTTTTGATTTGCATTTCCGTGATGATTAGTGATGTTGAATATTTTTTCATAAACTTGATGATTTGTATATCCTCTTTTGAGAAATGTCTGTTTATTTTTTGATAGTTTCTTTTGCTGTGCAGAAGCTCTTTCATTTAATTAGATCCCATTTGTCAATTTTTGCTTTTGTGGCAATTGCGTTTGGCATCTTCACCATGAACTCTTAGCCCATCGCTATGTACCGGAGGTCATTGTCTAGGTTGTCTTCCAGGGTTTTTATAGTTATGGGTTTTACATTTAAGTCTGTAGGCCATCTTGAGTTAATTTTTCTGTATGGTGTAAGGGAGGGGTGTTGTCTTTTCACTCTGTTGATTGTTTTCTGTGACATGCAGAAGGTATTTAATTTAATATAATCCCATTTGGCTGTTTTTGTTGCTTGTACTTTTTAAGTGTTAGCCATACAATCTTTGTTCTCAAGCATTTCTCCTGTGTTTACTTCTAGTAGTTTTATAGTTGTGGCTGTTACATTTAAGTCTTTAATCGATTTCGAGTTTATTTTTGTAAGTGATGAGAGATAAGGGTCTAGTTTTATTCTTCTGTGTTTGGATATCTGGATATCTAGTTTTCCTGGCACCATTTAATGAAGAGGGTGTCTTTTATTCAAGGTATGTTCTTGACACCTTTCTTGAAAATCAGCTGTAAATATGTGGATTCATTTCTGGGTTCTTTAGTCTGTTTCCTTTGTTTTTGTGTCTGTTTTAATACAAATATATGCTGTTTTGGTTACTATAGCTTTGCAGTATGTGTATATATATATTTTGTTTGTTTGTTTGTTTGTTTGAGACAGAGTCTTGCCTTGTCACTCAGGCTGGAGTGCAGTGATACAATCTCGGCTCATTGCAAGCTCTGCCTCCCGGGTTCACGCCATTCTCCTGCCTCAGCCTCAGCTAATTTTTTTTGTTTTTTTTTTTTTTTTTAGTAGAGACGGGGTTTCACCGTGTTAGCCAGGATGGTCTCGATCTCCTGACCTCATGATCCACCCGCGTTGGCCTCCCCAAGTGCTGGGATTACAGGTGTGAGCCACCACGCCCAGCTGCTTTGCAGTATACTTTTAAATCAGGTAGTGTGAGGCTTCTAGCTTTGTTCTTTTTGCTCAGTTTTGCTTTGGCTATTTGGGGTCTTCTGTGGTTCCATATGAATTTCAGGGTTTTGTTTTTTTTCCTGTTTCTGTGAAGAATATAATTGATAGGGATTATATTGAATCTCTAGATTGCTTCGGGTAGTATGGTCATTTTAACAGTATTACTAATTCCAACCCATGAGCATGAGATGCTTTTCCATTTGTTTGTGTCTTCTCAATTTATTTTATCAGTGTTTTGTGGTTTTCATTGCAGAGGTTTTTTTTTTTTTTTCCCCATCCTTGGTTAAGTTTATTCCTAGGCATTTTATTTTTGTAGCTATTGTAAATAGAATTTCTTCCTTGGTTTCTTTTTTAGCTAGTTTGTTACTGGTATATAGAAACATTACTGATTTTTGTATGTTGATTTTGTGTCCTGAAGCTTTACTGACTTATACATCTGTTTTTTTAAAATTTTTTTGTTTTTTATTTTTTGAGATAGAGTCTCACTCTGTTGCCCAGGCTGGAGTGCAGTGATGCAATCTTGGCTCACTGCAACCTCCGCTTCTGGGTTTCAAGCGATTCTCCTGCTTCAGCCTCCCAAGTAGCTGGGATTACAGGCACCTACCACCATGCCTGGTTAATTGTATTTTTAATAGAGACAGGATTTCACCATGTTGGCTAGGCTGGTCTCAAACTCCCAACCTCAGGTGATCCGCCCACCTTGGCCTCCCAAAGTGCTGGGATAACAGGCATGAGCTACCATGCCCAGCCTAATTTATCCATTTTAAGAGTTTTTTGGTGGAGTCTTTAGGTTTTTCTGTTTACAAGTATAAGATTATGTCATCTGCAAAGTGAGACAATTTGACTTCCTCTTGTCTAGTTTTGATGCCTTTTATTTCTTTATCTTGTCTGATCACTCTGGCTTGGATGTCCCATACTGTGTTGAATAAGAGTGGTGAAAGTAGGCATCCTTGTCTTGTTCCAGTTCTTAGAGGAAAAGCTTTTCAATTTTTCCCAGTGAGTAGGATGTTAGCTGTAGATTAGTCATATATGCCTTTTCTTATGATGAAGTGTTCCTTCTATGCCTAATTTGTTGAGAGTTTTCATCATGAAGGAATGGTAAGTTTTACCGAGTGATTTTTCTGCATCTGCTGAGATGATCAGATAGTTTTTGCCTTTCATCTTGTTGATGTGATGTATCACATGCATTGATTTTGTGTATGTTGAGCCATCTTTGCATTCCTGGGATAAATCCCACTTGATCATGGTATATTATCTTTTACATTCATCATTAGATTTGGCTTGGTAGTATTATGCTGAGAATTTTTCCATCTGTGTTCATTAGGAATATTGGCCTGTAGTTTTCTCTTTCTGTTGTGTCCTTGTCTTGATTGGATATCAGGGTAATGCTGGCCTTACACAATGAGTTAGGAAGAATTCCCTCCTCTTCAATTTTTGGGAATAGTTTGAGAAGAATTGATGTTTGTTTTTCTTTATAAACTGGGTAGAAATCAGCATAAAAGCCTAGTCTAGGGCTTTCCTCTTTGGGGAGACTTTTTGTTACTGATTCAAACCTGCTATTCATTTTGAGTCAGTTCAGGTTTTCTGTTTCTTCCTAGTTCAATCTTGGTAGGCTGTGTATGTCTGGGAATTTATCCCTTTCCTCTAAGTTTTCCAATTTGTTAGGATATGGTTGTTCATAATAGCCTCTAATCATCCTTTTTATTTCTTTGGTAACAGTTGTAATGTCTCCTTTTTCATTTCTGATTGTATTTATTTGGGTCTCCTTTTTTTTTTTTTTTTTTTTTTTTTTTTTTTTTTTTTTTTTTTTGGTTAGCCTCACTAGTGGTTTATCAATTTTGTTTAACTTTTCAAAAAAAAAACTTTTATCTTGTTGATTCTTTGCATTTCTTTTTTGTCTCTGTTGCATTTGGTTCTGCTGTTATTTTTTTTTTCTTTCTACTAATTGTGTGTTTGGTTTGTTCTTGCTTTTTGAGTTCCTTGAGGTGCATCATTAGGTTGTTTATTTGAGATCTTTCTACTTTTTTGGTGTAGGCATTTATTGCTATAAACTTTCCTCCTAGTACTGCTTTTGCTGTATCCCATAGGTTTTGCATGATGTGTTTCCATTTTCTGTTTAAAAAAATTTTTTGATTTCCATCTTAATTTCTTCATTGCCCTATTCATTCAATAGCACATTTAATGTTCATGTATTTTTACAGTTTCCAAATTTCTTCTTGTTATTGATTTCAAGTTTTATTCCATTGTGGTCTGAGAAGATACTTGATATGATTTTAATGTTTAAAATTTTGTTGAGCCTTGTTTTGTGTCCTAACATATGGTCTATCCTGGAGAATGTTCCATGTGTTGATGAGATGATTGTGTATTCTGCTGCTGCTGGATGAAATATTCTGAAAATATCTGTTAGGTCCATTTGGTCTAAAGTGCAGCTTAAATCTAATGTTTCTGTGTTGATTTTATGTCTAGATGAACTGTCCAATGCTGACAGTAGGATATTGAAATTCTCAACTATCATTGTATTGGACTCTATCTCTCCCTGTAGATTTAATAATATTTGCTATGTGTGTCTGGATGCACTTGTGTTGGTGCATGCACATTTAGAATTGTTATATTTTGTTGCTTAATTTATCCCTTTATTACCATATAATGACCTTCTTTGTCCTTTTTACAGTTTTTGACTTAAAGTCTGTTTTAGCTGATGTGAGTTTAGCTACTCCTGATTACTTTTTATTTCTGTTTGTGTGGCATGTCTTTTTCAATCTCTTCACTTTCAGTCTGTGTGTGTCTTTACAAGTGAAGTGAGTTTCTTGTAGACGTTGTTGGGTCATTTTTTATCCATTAAACCTGTCTCTATCTTTTAGGTAGGTAATTTAACACATATTCGAAGTTATTATTGATAGGTAAGGACTTATTCCTGTCATTTTTTTCATTGTTTTCTGGTTATTTTGTATATCCTTTTGATTTGGTTTGGCTGTGTCCCCACTCAGATCTCATCTTGAATTCCCATGTGTTGTGGGAGGGACCCAGTGGGAAGTAGTTGAATCATGGGGGCAGGTATTTTCCATGCTATTCTTTTGATAGTGAGTAAGTCTCATGAGATCTGATGGTTTTAAAGGAGGAGTTTCCCTGCTCAAGCTCTCTCTTTACCTGCTGCCATCCCTGTAAGATGTGACTTGTCTCTCCTTGACTTCCGCAATGATTTTGAAGCCTCCCCAGCAACATAGAACTGTAAGTCCATTAAACCTCTTTCTTTTGTAAATTTCCCAGTCTTGTATGTGTCTTTATCAGCTGTGTGAGAATGAACTAATACAGTAAATTGGTACCAGAAGTGGGGTGTTCCTAAAAGATACCTGAATATGTGGAAGTGACTTTGGAACTGGGAAACAGGCAGAGGTTGGAGGGGTCAGAAGGAGACAGGAAAATGTGGGAAATTTTGGAAGAGATTTCCTAGAGACTTGCCCAAAATGCTGATGGTTATATGGACAATAAAGTCTAGGCTGAGGTGGTCTCAGATGGAAATGAGGAACTTGCTGGGAACTGGCACAAAAGTGATTCCTGTTATGTTTTAGCAAAGAGACTGGTGGCATTTTGCCCCTGCTTTAGAGATTTGTGGAATTTTGAACTTGAGAGAGAGGATTTAGGGTATCTGGTAGAAGAAATTTCTAAGCAGCAAGGCATTCAAGAGATGACTTGGGTGCTGTTAAAGGCCCTCAGTTTTATAAGGGAAGCAGAGCATGAAAGTTTGGAAGATTAGCAGTCTGACAATGCAATAGAAAAGAAAATCCCATTTTCTCAAGAAAAATTCAATCTGGCTGCAGAAGTTTGTTTAAGTAACGAGGAGTCAAATGTGAATCTCCAAGACAATGGGGAAAATGTCTCCAGGGCATGTCACAGAGCTTCATGGCAGCCCCTCCCATCAAAGGCCCAGAGGCCTAGGAAGAAAAGATAGTTTTGTGGACTGGACCCAGGGCCCCCCTGCTGTGAGCAGCCTCGGGTGCCTGAGTCTTAGCCACTCCAGCTGCAGCTAAAAGGAGCCAAGGTACAATGTGGGCTGTGGCTTGAGAGGGTGCAAGCCCCAAACCTTAGCAGCTTCCACATAGTGTTGAGCCTATGGGTGCACAGAAGTCAAAAATCGAGGTTTGGGAACTGCTGCCTAGACTTCAGAAGGTGAATGGAAATGCCTAGTTGTCCAGGCAGGAGTTTGCTGCAGGGGCAGGGCACTCATGGAGAACCTCTACTAGGGCAGTGCAGAAGGGAAATGTGGGGTCGGAGCCCCCACATAGAGTTCCTACTGCAGCACCACCTAGTGGAGCTGTGAGAAGATGACCACCATCCTCCAGACCCCAGAATGGTGGATTCACTGACAGCTTGCACTGTGTGCCTGGAAAAGCTGCAGACACTCAATGCCAACCCGTGAAAGGAGCCAGGAGGGGGTTTATACCCACAAAGCCACAAGAGTGGAGCTGTGGCCTTTTTTCTCCCAAAGCCGTGGGAGCCCACCTCTTACATCAGCATGACCTGCATGTGAGACATGGAGTCAAAGGAGATCATTTTGGAGCTTTGAGATTTGACTGCCCCACTGGATTTTGGGCTTGCATGGGGCCTGTAGCCCCTTTGTTTTGGCAATTTTGTCTCATTTGGAATGACTGTGTTTACCCAATGCCTATACCCCCATTGTATCTAGGAAGTAACTGACTTGTTTTTGATTTTACATGCTCATAGGCGGAAGGGATTTGCCTTGTCTCACATGAGACTTTGGACTGTGGACTTTTGAGTTAATGCTGAACTTAGTTAAGACTTTGGGGGAGTGTTGGGAAGGCATAATTTGTTTTGAAATGAGATTTGGCAAGGGCCAGGGGCAGAATGATATGCTTTGGTTGTGTGCCCACCCAAATCTCATCTTGAATTCCCACATGTTGTAGGAGGGACCCGGTGGGAAGTAATTGAGTCATGGGGGTAGGTCTTTCCCATGCTGTTCTCATGACAGTGAATACGTCTCACAAGTTCTGATGGTTTTAAAAAGGGTAGTTTCCCTGCAGAAGCTCTCTCTTTGCCTGCTTCCATCCAGGTGAGACATGACTTGCTTTTTCTTGCCTTCCAACATGATTGTGAGGCTTCCTCAGCTACGTGGAAATGTAACTCCATTAAACCTCTTTCTTTTGTAAATTGCCCAGTCTCAGTCAGGTATGTCTTTATCAGCAGTGTGAAAACAGACTAATACACCTTTGTTCCTTTTTTCTCTCATTATTTATTGCTGCAATTTGGTGGTTTTCTTTAGTGGTGACGTTTGCATCCTTTCTCCTTTGTGTGTCTGCACTACCATGAGTTTTATACTTTCATGTATTTTCATGATGGTAGATACTGTTCTTTTGCTTCCCAGTGTAGGACTCCCTTAAGCATTTTTTGTAGGACCACAACAAACAAGACACAAACAAACAGTCTTTTGCTTATCTGGGAAATATTTTTTCTCTTTTTTAAGGAATGGAGTCTCACTCTGTCACCCAGGCTGGAGTACAGTGGCATGATCATAGCTCACTGCAGCCTTGAACTCCTGGGCTCAAATGATCCTCCTGCCTCAGCCTTCTGAGTCTCTGGAATTGCAGATGTGAGCCACTGTGCCAATCTTCATCATTTGTGAAGGATAGCTTTGCTGGGTATAGCATTTTTGCCTTACTTTTTTTTTTTTTTTAACTTGTAGTATACATCCCCTTTTCTCCTAGCCTGTAAGGTTTCTGCTGAGAAATCCCTTGTTAGCCTGGTGGAGATTCTCTTATAAGTGACTTGATGCTTTTCTCTTGCTGTTTTTAGCATTTTCTCTTTGTCTTTTGACAATTTTACCATAGTGTCCTTGGAGAAGACCTTTTTGAGTTGTATTAATTTGGTAATCTTTGAGCTTCCTGTATTTGGAAGCTTTCAGGAAGTTTTCAGTTATTATTTTATTAAATAGGTTTTCTATGCCTTTACCCATCTCATCTCCATCCAGAACTCCCAGAATTTCAGTTTTTGGTCACATATGTGTCCCATATGTCATGTAGCCTTGCTTCATTCTTTTTTCTTTCTTTTTGTCTGATTGGATTATTTTAAAAGACTAGTCTTCAGGTTCAGAAATTCTTTGTTTTGCTTGATCTAGTCTATTGTTAAAACTGTCAGTTGTCTTTTGTATTTCTTTCAATGATTTCATCTCTTCCAGGATTTGTGTTTTGTTCTTTGTTATGCTGTCTATCCCTGTTGAATTTCTCATTCAGATCATGAATTGTTTTCCTGATTTTTTTGTATTCATTATCTGTGCTCTCTTATATCTCCCTGAGTTTCTTTAATATCATTATTCTGAATTTTTTTCAGGCATTTCATAGATTTTCTTTTCATTGGAATCTGTTGCTGGAGAATTATTGTGCTTCTTTGGAGATGTTATGTTTCCTTTTTCATATTTCTTGCGTCCTTATGTGACTATCTGTGCCTCTGACATAGCAGTCACTTCTTCCAATTTTCTGGGTTGGCTTTTATATGGGAAAGACCTTTTCTTATAGCTGTATCTACAGTGTTCATTGGATATCACACTTTGGCTTTGATTCTGGGTGGGTACAGTGGTATAATCTGCATATGATTTCTTCAGTTGTAATTGGCATGAGTGGTGTCTGTGAGTTATTCAGTGGCTTAGACTGCAGTTTTTTTTGTTTGTGTGTTTGTGATTGAGATGGAGTCTAGCTCTGTCACCAGGCTGGAGTGCAGTGACACAATCTAAGCTCACTGCAACCTCTGCCTCCCAGGTTCAAGCGATTCTCCTGTCTCAGCCTCCTGAGTAGCTGGGACTACAGGCACGTGCCACCACGCCCAGCTAATTTTTGTATTTTTAGTAGAGACGGGGTTTCACCACGTTGGCCAGGCTGGTCTCGAACTCCTGACCTCGTGATCTACCTGCCTCAGCCTCTCAAAGTGCTGGGATTACAGGTGTGAGCCACCGCGCCCAGCCAGACTGCAGTTGTTATTGGAGGCTGTGGTGAGGCTTTGCTGAGGATGGGGATGCCTGGAAGTCTTGTCCTTCAGCATCAGTGGTAGTGGTGGTAGACCAGGTGTGTCAATACTAGGGACCATGGGCAGTGTATGTGGGCACTGATGATAGCCTGTCTGCATGGGCCAATCCCTGGGCCTCCAGGTGGCTTCTTTGGTTGCTGGCAGTGGCAGCACTGGGCCAGGTGGGCAGGAGCGCCACTGGGCTCCTGGGTGGTGTGTGTGGCAGGCTCATCTCTAGTTCTCCAGGTGACGTGTGCAGGTTCTGGTGGTGGGTTCGGCAGGTGTTTCTTCAGGCCTCTCAGTAGTAAGTGTGAGCACTAGCTCTGGAGGCAGTGTGAGTCAATCTCCAGGCCCCCAGATGGTACATTCAGGCACCAGCATATTCCTATGCATTTCTAGATAAAAGTATTTTTCAGAAAACCTGAGCATATGTCCTATTAATACAACTTACCCTCATCAGCTCTGCATGAGAAGAAGGGGGATTTCCCTCAGTAGAATAGTCAGAATGGAATCACAGACTTGTTTTGAGCCAGTCACTGGTAAGTGGGGGTAGGCTAAAATGTTAAGCTCAGAATCTAAACCTTAGACTGGGGAATGGCTAACTTTTTCCATAAAGAAGCAAACGGTAATATCTTAGGCTTTTGGTCTAGATAACCTCTGTTGCAGTGACGCAGTGGTGCCATCATAGCCTAAAAGCATATGTAGACAATGCATAAATGAATGGACCTGGTTTTATTCCAGTAAAACTTAATTTATACAAACAGTCAGAGGGCCAGATTTGGCCCTTGGTCTATAGTTTGCCAACCCTGTTTAGACCAGTCACAATTTATTCCCTGGGGCTGGGCCAATTTTTTCTAAAAAAAAAAAAAAAAAAAAAAGAAGAAAGCAACCCGCTGTCAGAATAAAATAGGGTTTCTATTTAAAAAAGAAGAAGAGGCTGGGTGTGGTGGCTCATGCCTATAATCCTAGCACTTTGGGAGGGTGAGGAAGGAGGACTGCTTGAGGCCAGGAGTTTGAAACCAACTTGGGCAATATAGTGAGATCCTGTCTCTGCAAAGAATAAAAAAATTAGCCAGGCATGGTGGCACATGTCTGTAGTCTTAGCTACATAGGAGGTTGAAGGGGAAGATCAGGGGAGCCCAGGATTTTGAGATTACAGTGAGCTCTGACTGTGCCACTTGTACTCTAGCCTAGGCAAAGAGTAAGACTCCGTTTCAAAAAAAAAAAAAAAATGGTTGGTTGGGGTGGGTTGGAAAAGAAAGTATTTCTGAATTTCTGGGTAGGTAACTGGTAGTGTCAGGCCAAACTAGCTCTACAGTCTTATTCATTATAAATAAAGGCAACTAGAAGATCTCCATCTAGCTATTAAAAATTGGTTAAAATCTACAGAGATAAAGGATGGTGACCCTTGTATCAGTTAGTTATTGTCACAAAATGCTGCATAACAAGTCACTCCAAATCTCAGTGGCTTAATACAACAGTCATTTATTTTCATGGATCTATGGGTCAGCTGAGGATTGGTTAATCTAGCATAAGCATGTCTGGGAAGCTCTACTTTGCTGTTGGTGTCTCTTATCTTCTGCTGGAAGCAGCAGGCTGGCCTGGGCTTGTTCTCATGGTGATAGCAGGAGTGAGTGAGCACAAATGAATGCATACTTTCCAAGTTTTTGGTCATGCAGATTAATATTCCAGTGGCCAAAGCTAGACACATGACTAAACCCAACATTAGGGGCTGGAGAAATATACTCCGATTCTTCAGTGGGAGGAACTGCAGAGACAAATGGCAGAGTCTTGGATACAGGGAGGACTTGGATCCATTAATGTACCTTAATCAACAACAACCTTCTAACCACCAATACAATTAAATAAGTATTTGTTGAATGCACTTGTGCCTGAATGCTTCTGGCTGCAGCCCAGGCAATGGGGGCCTGACTGGGGAGGGACCATAGCAGGGACTCGATGTCCTGCAGGTCTGCATGTAATTGTGTACGGCCGACTCCACATTGCACATTGGTCATGGCTGATTTGCTTTGTCTTGCGTCCCCAAGGGGCAACGATTGGCTGATTTTATTTCTGAACAATTTTGACAAAGTTGTTTTCAGGAGCCCAGGAAGCAAATCAATTGTAGATTTGAATTTTGTGGGGGGTCAGAATTGTTGAATATATATATAGTCTTTTACATGCTGATAATTATTTCCATTCCACAAAGAAGGCTAGCTATTAGGAGGCTGCTGTTCAATTCCTTTGCCCCGTGAGCTCATGAGCTGTGTCTATGTGGGGGGCACTCACTTGTTAGAGATATTTCCCTTCAGAATAACATTAGCCAATATTCTAAATAAATGCAGGAAATTAAATAGTCTTCCCCAGACAGGTACTTTGCCCTTCTAAAGTGAATTACACATTGTAAAATAAAACACAGTCACATTAAAAAACCAAAAGGTCTTTGTGTTAGGTTGGTCTGGCATCAGCAAAGATATTTTCATCCAGAGTAGAAGATCCTTTTAATGCACGATATTGCGTGTGGCAGCCCCACATCTCGTTTCCTTTTTTGTTGTTGTTTTTAACTAAAAGAGTTGACAATTTTATTTTCACATTTCCCAATACAAATGAAAACTGCATCTTTTTTGGTCCCACTTCTCCCCTCCAAAACTATTCTCTTTGATAGGGCAAGGGGGCAAGTCTTCCTTATGCTGTTAAGAAAACCCAGCATCACAGAAGCATGATCTCCTGGTGAAGGGAGCAGGTAAATATAAAACTCATATAGGCCGGGCGCAGTGGCTCACACCTGTAATCCCAGCACTTTGGGAGGCTGAGGCGAGCAGGTCACGAGGTCAGGAGATTGAGACCATCCTGGCCAACATGGTGAAACCCTGTCTCTACTAAAATAAAAAAAATTTGTCGGGCATGGTGCGCACGCCTGTAGTCCCAGCTACTCAGGAGGCTGAGGCAGGGGAATCGCTTGAACGCGGGAGGTGGAGGTTTCAGTGAACTGAGATCGTGCCACTGCCCTCCAGCCTGGGCGACAGAGGAAGACTGTGTCTCAAAAACAAAACAAAACATTACAAACAAAGAAAACACAACAATAATTACAACAAAACAACACTGATGTAATGAGGCCTCCCCTCTATCCTTATCTGTCTGGTCGAGTCATTCTGGGCTGACTGGGCACCATCATGAGACGGGCAGGAGGTCTCATCATTGGGCACCCAGGCATCATGGGCATGTGGCCTCCCATGGGCGGCCTCATTACAGAAGCAGGTCCCACTGGCATCATCCCAGGAGGAGGAGGGCCCATCATTGGCATCATGGGAGGGCCCCCCCATGGGGTGCTGCCATCATTCTGAGATGGGCGAGAAGTGTCAAATACACATTAGATTGTGAAGACTTAATGTAAAAAGAAAGCAAAGTATTTTGTTAATGTTAAAATATTTTATACATGTAGACCTGGTATTTCGGATAGATTTGTTTAAATCCGTGATATTATTCCAATTACCTTCACTTCTTTTGTTTTACTTTTTAAAATGTGGTTACTACAAAATGCAAAAGTAAATATGTGGCTTGCATCATATTTCATCACATTTAGTGTGGACCCTGAGGATCTAGGGGAGTCATGAGCCTTAAGTTGAGGGTGACCCAGGTCAACGTGAATTGCTCTGAAAGAGAAGCAAAGGGCATAAAGAGAACGTATAAATGGAGAGAGGGAGTGAGGAAAGGCTTTCTTTCTTACACAGTCTGGCACTTCTTCAAAAGCTTAAACACAGAGTTCTATGACCCAGCACTTCCACTCCAGTTTATGAAAGAAATGAAAATATATGTCCGTGCAGATACTTGTACACAAACGCTCATAGCAGCATTATTCATAATAGCGCCAAAGTGAAAACAACACAAATGCTTGTCTACTGATGAGTGGAGAAATAGAACATGGTTTGACCATGCAATGGAATATTATTCAGTCATCAAAAGGAATGAAGTACTCACACGTGCTACAACACGGATGAACTATGAGAATATTATGCTAAGTAGAAGAAACCAGTCACAAAAGGTCACATATTCTAAGATTTCATTTATATGAAATGTCCAGAACACGCAAATCTATGAAGACAGAAACCCTGTCTCTACTAAAAATACAAAATTAGATGGGCGTGGTGGCATATCCCTGTAATCCCAGCTACTCGGGAGGCAGGAGAATTGCTTGAACCCAGGAGGCGGAGGTTGCAGTGAGCTGAGATTGTGCCACTGCACTCCAGCCTGTGACAGAGACTCTATCTCAAAAAAAGTAGATTGTCAGGGCTTAGTGGGAGGAGGAAATGGCAGGTACCTGCTCATGGATACAGGGTTTCTTTTGGAGTGATGAAAATGTTTTAAAATTGATCATGATGATGGTTGCCGAGCTCTGTGAATGCACTGAAACCATTGATTTGTTTACTTTAAATTGGCAAAGCATACGGTACCTGAATTATATTTTAATAGTTATATTAAAAAAGTAAAATCTTCCTTGAAGAGATGACACTTAAGGAGAGGCCTAGGGGGTGGGATGAGTTCACTATGTGGAGAAATGAGGAACAGCATTTCAGGGTGAGGAACAGCACAGTGAAGTCCCTGAGGTTGACAGGCATAGAGCAGATTTAAGGGACTTTTGTTTTTGAGACGGACTTTCACTCTTGACGCCCAGGCTTGCGTGGAGTGGCGCGATCCTGGCTCACTGCAACCTCTGCCTCCCGAGTTCAAGCGATTTTCCTGCCTCAGTCTCCCGAGTAGCTAGGATTACAGGTGCCATCCGCCACACCTGGCTAATTTTGGGATATTTAGTAGAGATGGGGTTCCACCATGTTGACCAGGCTGGTCTCGAACTCCTGATCTCAGGTGATCCACCCGCCTCAGCTTCCCAAAGTGCTGGGATTTCAGGCGTGAGCCACTGCGCTCAGCCAGATTTAAGGGACTTTCAAGAAGTTTCTGTGGCTGAAGCCTGCAGGGCAAGCGAGAGAATCAGGAAATGAGGCTGGAGAAAGAGAGGGGCTAGGTCATGGAGGGTCTCACATTAGGGTGTGGAAACTTCACACGAGTGGTCCCACCTTGGGCATCCCACGTAACTACTCTGTGTCCCAGCTTCCCCACTGGTGAAATCAAGGGCTGATGTAGGGATGGACTGAGATAGTGTGTGCTCAGTAAAGGTGACCTTTTATCTTTTTTTTTTTTTTTTTTTTTGAGATGGAGTCTCATTCTGTCGCCCAGGCCGGAGTGCATTGGCGCGGTCTCGGCTCACTGCAAGCTCCACCTCCCGGGTTCACGCCAGTCTTCTGCCTCAGCCTCCGGAGTAGCTGGGACTACAGGTGCCCGCCACCACGCCCGGCTAATTTTTTTGTATTTTTGGTAGAGACGGGGTTTCACCGTGTTAGCGAGAATGGTCTGAATCTCCTAACGTTGTGATCTGACTGCCTCGGCCTCCCAAAGTGCTGGGATTACAGGCGTGAGCCACCGCGCCCGGCCGAGCTTTTATCATTGTTAACCCACACAGCAGAGGGAGCCATTGAAAGCTGAGTGATCTGTTTGGATGCACCTTCTGAAGTGATTGCTTTGGTCTCTGTGAGGAGTGCAGATTGTCACAGGGCCAGGGAAAAGCAGAGGCCAGTCTGGAGGCATTTGCAGTCAAACAGCTGGAGGTGATGGTGGCTTGGTTTATGGTGGTGTCAGGAGAGTGGCTGAGCAGTGAAGGATATGAGAAAGATTTAGGAGGTAAAACCCACGTGACTTGGTCACTGAATGTGAGTTGTGTGGGCTGGAGGGAAGGTAAGAAAGAATGAGAAGAAATACGCAGGTGGGCCCTCCAGCCTAAGGTTACTTGAGGTCCCTTTGTGAAGAGGAATATTTGTGTTGATGATGAAGATGTCTAGACTCTGAAAGGCCATTTGCAGGACTTTTTTTTTTTTTTTTTTTTAACATCCAACAACTCCTCCTTCCCTGTGCCCTAAATATATGAATGTTTTTTGACCTAATTTATCACAGAGGGATGGACGTTCATTTGCTTTAATGAGAAATGCGGAATGCCATTAAGAAAGCATATTAAATTAATCTGGATTGCTGGGAGGGAGTTAAATCTGTTTAGATGTGCCCCAGTGTTACTATAATAGTTTGGTCTAAACCCATTTCTGGCCTGCAGCTGCAGGAGGTTGACTCCCAGCTTGCTTCATTTGAAAGACCCCAGCAACAAGCACATTTGGCATTTCTAGCCAAACCCACTTTGTGCAGCGAAGGAAAAGTTGAGGAGTGCCTCTGTTGTTTTCCCCCAAATCATTGGGCAGAAATGTGGCTGGGAGCTTCATTGCTGATTTTTTCAGCTTTAATATTGCTGTGGAAAGCCTGTACCAACACTCAGCCATGTTATTCATCCACAGCTCCAGTCTGGGCTGTGATTTGTTTTTCCTTTGCTTGACACAACCTTATTTTCCATTAAGACTCAATGCAAATAGACACTCAGGCACCATCACCATCACTCTCCCTGATTGGTGGAGGGAAGTCAATGCAGTGATTCTAGTTTGGTGTTCATATCGGAGGGTTTTATTTATTTATTTTGAGACGGAATCTCTCTCTGTCATCAGGCTGGAGTGCAGTGGCGCGCTCTCAGCTCACTGCAACCTCTGACTCCCTGGTTCAAGCGATTCTCCTGCCTCAGCCTCCCGAGGAGCTGGGCTTACAGGCATGCGCCACCACACCCGGCTAATTATTTGTATTTTTAGTATAGACGGGGTTTCACCGTGTTAGCCAGGATGGTCTTGATCTCCTGACCTCGTGATCCGTCCGCCTCGGCCTCCCAAAGTGCTAAGATTATAGGCGTGAGCCACTGCGCCTGGCCTGGAGTTGTTTTTAAAAGCACATTTCTCTCAAATTAACTCCGGGGTGTCCCACTGTGACTAGGGCAAAGGTTTGGATTTTCTGGAGGTGGGAAGTCAAACTTCAAATAGAATTTGGAGGCTGCCACTGTGGTTCATGCCTGTAATCCCAGTGCTTTGGGAGGCTGAGGTGGGTGGATCATTTGAGGCCAGAAGTTCGAGACCAACCTGGGCAACATGATGAGGCCTCGTTTCTACTAAAAATACAAAAATTAGCTAGGTGTGGTGGTACATGCCTGTAATCCCAGCTACGTAGGAGGCTGAGGCAGGAGTTATTGCTTGAACCTGGGAGGCAGAGATTTCCTGTGTCCAAATCCCATGAGGCGTATCAGCTGGCTGAAGATAAAATCGGTCACGCAGTGTTGGGATTGGGGTTGCTGTTATCATACCTCATCCCCACCCCTGCTTGGCATCCACAAACAGTCATCGTCAATGAGACATCCCTCCTGCCCCTGGCTGCCTTATTTCATCTGCACCCAACCATATCCATTGCTTGTCAGTGGGTCTCAACCTTGGCTGCACCTTGGAATCTCCTGGGGAGATGAGACAATACCAAGGCTCTCTCTCACTTAGCGTGATGTTTCCAAGGTCCATCCACATGTAGTAGGCACCAATACTTCCACTGTATGGATACAGCACATTTTGTTTATTCATTCATCAACCAAATGGCCATCTTGGTTGTTGCTAGCTTTTGGTCATTATATATATTACATGATTCCATTTATGTGAAAGGTCTAGAATAGGCAAATCTGTAGAGGCAGAAAGCAGGTAGTTGGTTGCCAGGAACTGGGGGAAAGGGGAGGGGATGGAGAGTGCTTGATGGATACAGGGTTATTTTTTGGGGGGGTGGGGGGTGTTAATGAAAATGTTTTGGAACTAGACACAGAGGATGGATGATTGCTTAACATTGTGAATGAATTTAATGATACTGAAGTGTATGGTTTCATACAGGGAGTTGTGTGTTATGTGAATTTGGCCTCATTAAAAAAATGCTGCTAGGAGCAAAGGCTCATGCCTGTAATCCCAGCACTTTCGGAGGCCAAGGTGGGCGGGTCACCTGAGGCTGGGAGTTGGAGACCTGCCTGGCCAACATGGTGAAACCCTATCTCTATTAAAAATACATAAATTATCCCTTCACATCTTTGGGGGATAATTTGTACAATGCAGTCTAACAACCAGCTGCCTCAAAATGAACTGGGATCCCTCATAACCAGGTAGCTCCCCCATCTCCAATTCTCACCTGCCAAGTCAGAATCTTGTGGGTGGGGCCGAGGACTGTACATATTGAAACAGGCAGTGACCTGGGAACTATTTCTGAACACCCCTATGTTTCCCCTTTGTTTGCTCTTTCCTTTCACATTTGGACCCCTTTGTGTGCTGACCACTGGGCTGTTTCACGTAGACATAACATAAATAAGACAGGCCAGGTGCAGTGGCTCATGCCTGTAGTCCCAGCACTTTGGGATGCCGAGGTAAGCAAATCACTTGAGGCCAGGAGTTCAAGATCTGTCTGGCCAACATGACGAAACCTCATCTCTACCCAAAATATGAAATTAGCTGGGTGTGGTGATGTACACCTTTGATCCCAGCTACTCAGGAGGCTGAGGCTGGAGAATCCCTTGAGCCCAGGAGGCAGAGACTGCAGTGAGCCAAGATCGCACCATTGCACTCCAGCCTGGGTAACAGTGAGACTCTTAAAAAAAAAAAAAGTCTAAGATTATCCTTCCTTTATGGAGCTCTCAGTAAAATAAGAAAGCTCACGATGTCCTGGCATTTGTCAGAAATACATTTGGTATATGTAGCTGGGGTCACATGCTTGACATGCCTATTGAAAGCTTCTGGGTAGGAAGAGAACAATCATTACAGCATCACAGCCTGGCATAACTGTCTCCCAGGACAGGTTTCCCTGGGGAGACTGAGACCACAACTCTGAAATCAGAGCTCAAATCCAGGTTCTACATTTCGCTCAGTAATGTACATGATGTAGGACAGTTTTTATATTAGTTATCTATTGCTGTGCAACAATATTACTGCAAACTTTGTGGCTTGAGACAGCAGACAGTTATCACTGCATGGTTTCTGTGGGTCAGGAATCCAGGCGTGACTCAGCTGGGTTCAGTGCAAGGCTGCAGCCATAGTGTCAGCCAGGGCTCAGTTCTCATCTGGAGGCTTGACTGGTGATTGATCTGCTTCCAGGCTCATCTGGTTGTTGGCAGCATTCAGTTCCTTGCAGGCTGCTGGACTCAGGGCCCCAGGTTCTTGCTGCCCTCAGCTTCTTGCCACATGGGTCTTTCCATCTGGCTGCTCATGACATGGCAGCTCACATCTTCAAAGCCAGCAAGACAGACAGCCTCCTAGCGAGACAACTTAACGTCCTATCTAACATAATCACTACATCCCATCACCTCTGCCATATTCTCTATGTTATAAGAAAGCCATAGGTCCCTTTGTCAGATGAGTAGATTGCAAAAATTTTCTCCTATTCTGTAGGTTACCTGTTCACTCTGATGGTAGTTTCTTTTGCTGTGCAGAAGCTCTTTAGTTTAATTAGATCCCATTTGTCAATTTTGGCTTTGTTGCCATTGCTTTTGGTGTTTTAGACATGAAGTCCTTGCCCATGCCTATGTCCTGAATGGTATTGCTGAAGTTTTCTTCTAGAGTTTTTATGGTTTTCGGTCTAACATTTAAGTCTTTAGTCCATCTTGAATTAATTTTTGTATAAGCTGTAAGGAAGGGATCCCGTTTCAGCTTTCTCCATATGGCTAGCCAGTTTTCCCAGCACCATTTATTAAATAGGGAATCCTTTCCCCATTTCTTGTTTTTGTCAGGTTTGTCAAAGATCAGATGGTTGTAGATGTGTGGCATTATTTCTGAGGGCTCTGTTCTGTTTCATTAGTCTGTATCTCTGTTTTTGTACCAGTACCATGCTGTTTTGGTTACCATAGCCTGGTAGTATAGTTTGAAGTCAGGTAGTGTGATGCCTCTAGCTTTGTTCTTTTGGCTTAGGATTGACTTGGCAAAGTGGGCTCTTTTTTGGTCCCATATGAACTTTAAAGTAGTTTTTTCCAATTCTGTGAAGAAAGTCATTTGTAACTTGATGGGGATGGCATTGAATCTATAAATTACCTTGGGCAGTATGACCATTTTCATGGTATTGATTCCTCCTAGCCATGAGCATGGAATGTTCTTCCATTTGTTTATATCCTCTTTTATTTCATTGAGCAGTGGTTTGTAGTTCTCCTTGAAGAGGTCCTTCATGTCCCTTGTAAGTTAGATTCCTCGGTATTTTATTCTCTTTGAAACAATTGTGAATGGGAGTTCACTCATGATTTGGCTCTCTGTTTGTTTGTTGTTGGTGTATAAGAATGCTTGTGATTTTTGCACAATGATTTTGTATCCTGAAACTTTGCTGAATTTTGGTATTTTCAGTAGAGATGGGGTTTGCTGAATGCAGCCCCCAGTCACGTACTCCCTGTTTGGTCAATAGATCAAGACCCTCTCATGTGGACCCCCTTAGACTTGTGAGCCCTTAAAAGGGACATGAATTGCTCACTTGGGGATCTGGGTTGTTAGAGACATGCACCACCATGCCCAGCTAATTTTTTTATTTTTAGTAGAGACGGAGTTTCACCATGTTGGTTGGCCAGGATAGCCTTGATCTCTTGACCTCGTGATCCGCCCACCTCGGCCTCCCAAAGTGCTAGGACTACAGGTGTGAGCCACTGCACCCAGCCCGGAGAAGGCTTTTCATACTTGCTTCACAGCCTCCTGCATCCTACCCCAGCACCAGGTACTCACCACCTGTGGGCTTCCCTCATCTGTGATCATCTCTCCCCAGGCCTGCTGTTCCTCGAGAAAGGATGTTGTAATGGGCAGAGTTCTAGGACAGCCCCCAAGAGACCCACTCCCTTATATCTGCTCCCTGTGTCATCTCCTCTTCTTGAGTGTGTGCAGAGCTTGTGATTTGGCCAAGAGGAAGGAATTTTGCAAATGTGATTATGGTCACACTTGCTTTGTTAAGCACATTTGCTCAGCTGACTTTGAGTTCATCCAAAGCAGGATGATCTTAGGTGGGCCAGACCTAATCAGGTGAATCTTTTAAAGGTGAAGTTTCAGAGATTTAACCCTTAGCCTCCAAGGAGACACAAATGGCCATGCTGTGAGCTGTGTTTGGAGGTGGCAGCTCTAGGAGTTGAGGGCCTTCATTCAACAATTGTAAGTAATTGAATTCAGTTCACAGACTGAATAAGCTTGGAAGAAGACACTGAGCATCCAATGAGACCCCAGCTCCAACTGACACTCTGGTTGCCGTATTGTGACCCTGAATAGAAGACCCAGTTAAACCCTGCCCAGACCCTTGGCTCATGAAAACAGATAATAACTGGGTGGTGTTTTAAGCTGCTCAGTTTGCACTGGTAAAACCACCAACAGGAAAGTATTATAGCAGTTAAATGGGCCGGACGTGGTGGCTCATGACTGTAATCCCAACACTTTGGGAGGCTAAGGTGGGTGGATCATAAGGTCAAGAGATGGAGACCATCCTGGCCATTATGGTGAAACCCCGCCTCTACTAAAAATATAAAAATTAGCCAGGCGTGGTGGCATGCACCTGAAATCCCAGCTACTCAGGAGGCTGAGGCAGGAGAATCACTTGAACCCAGGAGGTGGAGGTTGCAGTGACCCGGGACCATGCCACTGCACTCCAACCTGGGCAACAGAGAGAGACTCCATCTCAAAAAAAAAAAAAAAAAAAAAAAAAAAAAAAAAAAAATTAAACGAATACTTTTGACCGTTGATTGAAGATACTTTCATTCCCTCTACTTAATCATCTTTATCTTAGCCCTGAAAGAGGGATGCTTTAACCCCATTTGTAACAAGTGAGCCTGAGGCCCAGGAAAGTGATAGAATTTAGCAAAGTCCACCTTGCCACCTGGTGGTCCCAGCTAGAACTCAGCCCCAGGTCCATATACCTAAAGTCATTACAACATCCACTGAAATTTTGCCCCTCTCTCCATGCCTTCCTCTTTAGAAGCCTGTTCCTTCAGGGATAGATCTCAACCCAGTGTTACAAGGTACTGAACTCTGATTTTCACAAAATATAGTAACTACCCCCCAAAATTAATAACAGTATTTATGAGCCGGGCACAGTGGTTCATGCCTGTAATCCCAACACTTTGGGAGGCTGAGGTGGGCGGATCATGAGGTCAAGAGATCGAGAGCATCCTGGACAATATGGTGAAACCCCGTCTCTACTAAAAATACAAAAATTAGCTGGGAGTGGTGGCAGGCCCCTGTAATCCCAGCTACTTGGGAGGCTGAGGCAGGAGAATCGCTTGAACCCAGGAGGCAGAGTTTGCAGTCAGCTGAGATTGCACCACTGCACTCCAGCCTGGCAAGAGAGCAAGACTCTGTTTCAAAAAAAATATATATTTTTGAGTCCTTATGTGTCAACCACTGGGCTATCCCAGCACCAATAGATATTATGATTATGATTAGTTTTTCTGTTTTATTGATGAGGAAACCAACACATAGAAACATAAACTTGCCAAAGGTGATGGTCACACAGCGAAAGAGCTGTAGAAGCAGCACAGGAATCCCAGCAAACTTACAGCCAAGCTCTGCTTTTCACCTTCACATCATACAGTCCTCAGACTAAAACCCTAACTCTGACCTTCCCAATCAAAAATCATACTCAAGGATGGGCGTGGCAGCTCACGCCTGTCATCTCAGCACTTTGGGAGGCCGAGGCAGGTGGGTCACCTGAGGTCAGGAGTTCCAGTCCAGCCAGGCCAACATGGTGAAACCCCATCTCTATAAAAAATACAAAACTTAGCCAGGCGCAGTGGTGGGTGTCTGTAGTCACAGCACTTTGGGAGGCTGAGGCACGAAAATCACTTGAACCCAGGAGGCATAAGTTGCAGTGATCCATGATCATGCCACTGCACTCCAGCCTGGGCAAGAGAGTGAGACTCTGTCTCAAAAAAAAAAAAAAAAATTGTGCTTAATAATAACTTGGAAGTGCACATACCTTCTGTGAAGTTTGATGGACAACAATTAGCTTCAAAACACAAATAAGTAACTGTGTTTAAATGAGGCGTTCTGTGTAATAGCTAGGGAAAATCAACGTAGCTATTCATATTTTGATTCCCCTTCCAGGCACAGAGAAGTTGCCCATGTCTCTGTGATCTGTTTTGTCCAATGAACCATGAGCAAGAGCAACTTGAGTCACCTCCAGGTGGAAGTGTTAAGAGGCTGTGTGATCCACCACATTCCCTTTCCCCTGAAGTGGTGATCAAGGACACATGCAGAGATGGGGCTTCTGTCAGCCTGGATCCCTGAGTGAACACAATGAACAGACCACCCCACAATGCACTAACACAGCCCAGACATGCAACGTGACCAAGAATAAGCCTCACTGTGGCCAGGCATGGTGGCTCATGCCTGTCATCCCAGCACTTTGGGAGGCCAAGGCAGGTGGATCATTTGAGGTCAGGAGTTCAAGACCAGCCTGGCTAACATGGTGACATCCTGTCTCTACTAAAGTACAAAAATTAGTGAGACAGTAGTGGCATGGGCCTGTAATCCCAGCTACTCAGGAGGCAGGAGAATCACTTGAGTCTGGGAGGCAGAGGTTGCAGTGAGCTGAAGTTGCACCATTGCACTCTAGTCTGGGTGACAGAGTGAGACCCTCTCTCAAAAAACAAACAAACAAACAAACAAAAAATACCCCACTGCATGGATCCACTGAGATTTGGGGATTGTTGTTACTGCACCAGAACCCAAATCATCCTGACTGCTAGACTGTCCCAAGTAGGGTTTCTTACCAAAAGCAAAGGCATTTTTAAAGTTCATGACATTTAAACAAAAGAGCAAATACCAATATCTGCCAGTTTGTCAGGCTAACAAACCCAAACAAAGCCAACAGCCAGAAGTTAAAAGAAACAGATCATTAGATTGAAAACAGAACTGTCAAAACAGGCACAATTGACTTCATTTAGTGATTGCAAAGAACATCAGGCAAGACACAGGTGCGGTCATCATATCATTTATCACATGCTTAATTGCACATGTTTGACTAAGAAAAACACAAAGTATTTAAACTCATCTGTAGTTCAAAGTGCCTATCCATGTATTTATCCATTCATCCTGATTTATTTATTGAGCAACTCTTTTGTGCCAGGCACTGTGCTGGGTGGTGGTAATGCAATGATGAAGATGGCAGACACAGCTCTGCCCTCCAGGAGTTTCTAGGGTAAGGAGGGAGACAAAAAATAAGTAAATCCATGAAAGAAGTATTGATGGAACCTGCCCCCAATATTTCAACGTAGGTTCTTTCTATTTTCCATAAGTGTCAACCAGCCGAGAAATAAAGAGAGACACTGCAAAGAGAGGAATTTTACAGCTGGGCCGCTGGGAGTGACATTACATATCAGTAAGTCTGTGCTGCCTGCTGAGTCTCAGACCAGCAAGTTTTTATTAAGGGTTTCAAAAGGGGAGGGGCTGTAAGAACAGGGAGTAGGTACAAAGATCACATGCTTCAAAGGGCAAAAAGCAGAACTACTACTAAGGGTCTAAGAAAGATCACATGCTTCTGAGGGAACAGGACAAAGGGCAAAAGCAGAACTACTGATAAAGGTCCAGCAAAGATCACAAAGCAAAGGGCAAAAGCAGAACCACTGATAAGGGTCTATGTTCAGTGGTGCACGTATTGTCTTAATAAACATCTTAAACAAAAGAAAACAGGGTTCGAGAGCAAAGAACCAGTCTGACCACAAATTTACCAGGGCAGAGTTTTTCCCCACCCTAGTAAGCCTTTGGGTACTGCAGGAGACCAGGGCGTATCTCTGTCCTTATCTCAACTGAATAAGACAGACATTCCCAGAGCGGCCATTTATAGACCTCCCCCCAGGAATGCATTCCTTTCCCAGGGTATTAATATTAATATTCCTTGCTAGGAAAAGAATTTAGCAATATCTGTCCTACTTGCACGTTCATTTATAGACTCTGTGCAAGGAGAAACATATGGCTCTTTTTGCCCAACCCTGCAGGAAGTCAGACCTTATGGTTGTCTTCCCTTGTTCCCTAAAAATTGCTGTTATTCTCTTCTTTTTCAAGGTTCACTGATTTCATATTGTTGAAACACACATGTTTTACAATCAATTTGTACAGTTAACACAATTATCACAGTGGTCCTGAGGTGATGTACATCCTCAGGTTATGAATATAACAGGATTAAGAGATTAAAATAAAGACAGGCATAAGAAAATATAAAAGTATTATTTGGGAACTGATAAATGTCCATGAAATCTTCACAATTTATGTTCCTCTGCCACAGCTCCAGCCAGTCCCTCCATTTGGGGTCCCTGAGTTCCCACAACAAGAAATAATGAGGTTAAGGTGGAGACGAGCAGGGAAGTCCACTTTATAAAGGGGTTAGGAAAGAGCTGTCTGGAAGCACCATTTTAGCTGAGACCTAAAGGATGGTCTAATTTGGGGAGGTGCAGAGGAAAATCATTCCAGGCTGAAGCAGCAAATGCAAAGGCCCAGTAGTGGAGAAAGGTTTGAAAGTCGAAGACAACAAAAGGAGGACAGAGTGGCTGAAATAGAGTAGGCCAAGGGGAGGAGATAGGAGAGAGCTGGAGAGATGGTAGGAACAGGCAGAAGACTCGGGGTCTCGATTTTATTCTATGTGCCATGGGCAGGAAAGAGACTCAATGGACACCTTAAGATCACTGAAGCTGCTAGGTAGGAAATGGATTGCTGAGCATGGAGAGCAGGTGCAGAGGACCAGTTAAGACCAGTTAGGAGGCTGCCGCTGTAGCCCAGCTGGGATAGCGGTGTCCTAGGCAAAGATAATGACAGTGAAGATAGAGAGAGTGGACAAGTTGGATAAAGTTTAGAATCAGAGGACTTCTGACTGGAGAAGAGGGCAAAAGTAGAGTTAGCACAGCACATGAGTTATGACTACCTTGAGCAGCTCAGCAGGGGGTGGAGCCATTTACAGAACAGAGATGGCACGGACAGAGCCCATGGAGAAGGAGGAGGAAAAAGAGTTTTGATTTTGTTTTTTTTTTAAGACAGGGACTCTGGCTCTGTCACCCAGGCTGGAGTGCATTGGTGCAATCATAGCTCTTTGCAGCCTCAAACTCCTGGGCTCAAGTGATCCTCCTGCCTCAGCCTGCCATGTAACAGGACTACAGATCCTACAGATGCACTTCACCATGCCTATCTTTTTTTTTTTTTTTATTTTTTTTTTATAGTTAGGGAGTCTCACTGTGTTTTCCAAGCTGGCTTCAAACTCCTGACCTCAAGTAATCCTCCCACCTCAGCCTCCCATAGCACTGGCATTACAGCCATCACCTACCACTCCAAGCCATGAGTTTGGCTTTGGATTTAACAAGGTTGAGGTTTTCATGAGTTGACAAGTGGAAAAAACAAGAAAGAAGTTGAGTGTTTAAGACTGCTGTTTGAAGGAGAAGTCTAGCCTCAAGACAAAAGTTCAGGACTCATCAGCTGAGAAATGGCACTGAAAATTATGCAAATGGATGAGCTCAGCTAGCAAACAAGTCCAGAGAGAGCAGAAAGTCCAGAGAGAGCAGCACTGGGCTATGCACCTGGCCTAATGCCACCCCGCTCCTCCCAATCCCTGTGTTATGCTGGAGAGGGTTCAGCCTCTGGTGAGTTTCACCAAACCCCCACATCTCTTTCTTCTGAGACCTTCTCTAAAATCCCCTCTTTTATACTTAGTCAAATGGGATTCTCTTTTTCCCATCCAGCTTCAGCAAAAACTTTTGACTATGAGAAGAATGAGGATGCATTTAGTATCTGTTCTGCATGGCTAATTCCATCAAAGATTTCTCATTATTCATGCCTGGCAGTCTCATTTTCTTCTTTTGCCTCTAAGAGCACAGTCGTAGCCTTAATTACTGACCTTTTCACCCTTCTAATACCAGCGATTTCCCCCATCTCAGTTCTCAGGAATTTCTGTTCGCAGAATTATCTCCTATATCTCCTATTAAAAAATACAAAAATTAGCCAGGTGTGGTGGCAGGTGCCTGTAATCCCAGCTACTTGGGAGGCTGAGGCAGGAGAATTGCTTGAACCCAGGAGGCAGAGGTTGTGGCAAACAAAGATTGCAACACTGCACTCCAGCCTGGGCAACAGTGAGACTTTTTCTCACCAAAAAAAAAAAAAAAAACCTAGAGATGTCCATCCAGGCTAAAGAGAATATTCCAGAGCAGAGGTTGGGACACTATGGCCCATGGGCCAAATCTGACCTGCCTGCACATGTTTTTGTCAATAAAGTTTTATTGAAACACAGCCATGTCCATTTGCTACATATTGTCTATGGCTGCTGGATTAGGCTGTTCTCTCATGCTATAAAAAATACCTGAGACTGGGTAATGTATAAAGAAAAGAGGTTTAATTGGCTCACAGTTTTGTAGGCTGTACAGGGAGCATGACACTGACATCTACTGAGCTTCTGTGGAGGCCTCAGGAAACTTACAATCATGGCAGAAGCTGAAGTGGGAGCAAGAGAGTAAGGAGGGAGGTGCTACACACTCGTAAACAACCAGATCTTGCAAGAACTCACTCACTGTTGCAAGGACAGGACCAAAAGGATGACGCTAAATCATTCATGAGAAATCCACCCCCGTGATCCAATCTCTTCCCACCAGGCCCCACCTCTAACACTGGGGATTACATTGCAACATGAGATTTGGGAGGGGACACATATTCAACCTATATCAGCTGCTTTCATTCTATGGGTGACAGAGTTGAGTAACTACTACAAGAGACTGTATGGCCCACGAAGTCTAAAATATTTACTATCTATCTGATGCTTTCAAGTAAAAGCTTGCAAACCCTGCTCTTGAAAAGGGAGGGAAGGAAGAGGAGAGGAGGAAGGCAGGAAGGAGCAGAGAGGGACACGGGGCTGTATTCAAACATCTGTTGTTAAGAAAGAGAAATTCAATTTATTTGGCATGGTCCAAGTTATCAAACTAGGAGCACTCCATTGAAGTTTCAGGACAAACACTGTGCTGAATATAAGGATGACCCCATCTGTAATGCCTAACCTTGTTTTTATTAACTTTGTTCGTAGACTTTCCTTTTCTTTTATTCCCTTAGCCTTGTTTCTACCTGAATTGACTTTCTTTTAGCTAAGAGAGCTAGACAGACTTTATCTTGGCTTTTTCACTGGCAGCCCCTTCCTCAAGGACTTAACTTGTGCAAGCTGACTCTTAGCACATCTAAGAGTGCAATTAACTGATAAGATACTGTGGCGAGCAATATCCGCAGTTCCCAGGAATTTGTCCGATTGATAATGCCTAAAGCCCCACGTCTATCACTTTGTAATAGTCTTAAAGCCCTTAGACCTAGATCTGTTTACTTTCCTGTAACAATTTATCCTTTTAACTTTTTTGCCTACTTTACTTCTGTAAAATTCTTTTAACTACACCCCTTTCCCCTTTCTAAACTGAAGTATAAAAGAAAATCTAGCCCCTTCTTCGGGGCCAAGAGAACTTTAAGAGTTAGCCATCTCTTGGCCACCAGCTAAATAAACAGACTTAATTCATGTCAAATTGTGGCATTTTCTCTAACTCGCTCAAGTACAACATTTGGAGGCCCGAGTGAGAAACACCACCAGGCGAGAGCCGGGCTCGCTCCGGGCTCCCCCGGAAGGACGGCCGGCTTGTAGGGGGGGTGTCACCTAAAAAAAAATTTTCAGGTCCCCGAAAGGTGACCGTCTTCCAGAGGAGAGCGGATCGACTACCGTGTGGGTGCCCATAAAAATTCCACCTCTGAGTCCTCGACTTCTGACCCCGAGGTCAGGTAGGTCAGATTTGACTTCAGTTCTTGTAAGAGGGAAGCGGCCCTGATGAGGGTGTCCCTCTTTTGACTCTGCCCGTTTCTCTAGGACGCTGGAAGGTAGAGCCCTGGTTTTCTGTTAGGCACTTCTGTGTCTCTTTCTAGGAGGGAAGTAGCCCTGACAGGGGACCTCCCTTGACTCAGTCCACATCCCAGGATGCTGGAGGACTGAGTCCTGGTTTCTGGCAGACCGGTCACTCTCTCTCTCTCTTTTTCTATCTCTCATCTTTCTCTTGTTCAAGTTTCTTGAAGAATCTCCAAGAAAGAAAAAAAACTGTTATAAACTCTTTGTGAATAATGAATGAATGAGGGAGGACAAGGGCTTGCGCTTGTCCTCCAGTTTGTAGCTCCACAGCGAAAGCTACGGAGTTCAAGTAGACCCTCACCTGCGGTTCCATGGCGACCTCATAAGGCTTAAGGCAGCATCAGGCATAGCTCGATCTGAGCCGGAAGTTTATACCGGCCTGCCAATGCTAAGAGGAGCCCAAGTCCCCTCACGGGGAGCGGCCAGGCAGGCATCTGACTGATCCCATCGCTGGATCCCCTCCCCTTGTCTGTCTAAAAAAAAAAAAAGGAAGAAACTCTCGTAACTGTTTACATGCCCTAAAGTCAATTGTTTGTTTTATGTTGACTGTTCTGTTCAGTGTCTATTGTCTTGTTAGTAGTTGTGAAAGTTTTCATGTCAAGACGTTGATATTGCCCAAGACGTCTAAGTAAAAACTTCTTCAAAGTCCTTAGTGCTGATTTTTTGTCACAGGAGGTTAAATTTCTCATCAATCATTTAGGCTGGCCACCACAGTCCTGTCTTTTCTGCCAGAAGCAAGTCAAGTGTTGCTACAAGAACAAGTGTGAAAAACATTTGCCTGATTACGATTTCTAGCACCATGAAAGTTGTAAGTATTTAGATCGTCATACTCCACGTCCAAGTGATTAGACGTCCTCTAAACTAAACCAGTAGTGAGTTCAAAACAGCCACCCTGCAGATCTCCTCACTCACCTCTTTTGTCATTCTGTAACTTTTCCTGTGCCCTTAAGTAGAACACTGTGTAAAGAAATGTACGCCCGTACTGCTTTACTTCGTTTAGATTCTTACTCTGTTCCTCTGTGGCTACTCTCCCACCTTAAAAGTGATCCGAGTAGTCCTTTTCCACCTTGTCCCTGCCCCCTACCCCGCACATCTCCTTTTCCGGTGAGACAGCAAGTTCTGCGTCTCCAGGACTTGGCTCTGCTCTCACTCCTTAAACCCTTAAAAGAAAAAACTAAGTTTAAGCTATTTGCCTTTAAGTCATAAAGACACCAAAAGTATTTAAAGTGCAGATCTAGAAGAAGAAGAACGCCTAGATCAAACTGACCCAGAAGATCTCAGGCTGGCTCTAGTCCTCCTCCCTCGATCTTAAAGCTACAGCAATGTAGCAAGTAGTATTAGCTGTTGTAAGTTTTTCTGCTCTTTGTAGTCATGTTGATTCTGTTCTATCACTACTCCAGTCCCCCAAGAAATAAGTTTCTCTGTCCATGCTAAGTTTAATATCAATGCTCAAATCTTATTAAATTGCCTTCAAAAAAAAAAAAAAATAAGAAACACTTCCTCCCAGCCTTATAAAAGTTAAAGCCCTCTCCAATGTATGCTGCAGAATTTTCCTCTCAGTTCCTCAGAGGATTATAAAGTCCGCCTTAAAAAAGGCAGGCTCCAGACACTGTGCAAAATAAAATGGCCAAAGTTTAAAGTCAAGTGGCCCCCTGAAGGGTCATTGAACCTCACAATTGTTCAAGCTGTGTGGCAGGTTGTTACTGAAACTCCTAGCCACCCTGATCAGTTTCCCTACATTGATCAATTGCTAAGTTTAGTCAGGATCCCCCCTCCGTGGCTCCATTCATGCGCCATTCATAATTCTACCTCCCAGGTCCTCCTAAGCCAGACCGCGTTTTCGCCT
Organism: Homo sapiens; assembly: GCF_000001405.40. NCBI lineage: Eukaryota > Metazoa > Chordata > Mammalia > Primates > Hominidae > Homo > Homo sapiens. The sequence goes on along the minus strand of NC_000011.10, from coordinate 3,514,052 downwards.
CGACCCTCAGCCGGTTCAGCTCCCCCTGTACTGCCTCCCTCTGAAGAAGAGGGGAGTCTCCCTCACCCAGTCCCACCGCCTTACAACCAACCTTCTCCCTTAAAGTTATCCCATGTCTCCTCGACGACGTCCCCTGTAGGCTCGCCACCCATTGCCTCTCAATCATGACCGTGGCAGGAAGACGTAGCCCCTCTCCTACCACTGAGAGAGGCACAAGTCCCTCCAGGTGACGAGCGCTCAGCACCCTTCTTAGTTTATGTCCCTTTTTCTACTTCTGACTTATATAATTAGAAAACCCATAATCCTCCCTTCTCTGAAAAGCCCCAGGCTTTGGCCTCTCAGACAGAGTCGGTACTCCGGCCTGACTCACCCACCTAAGATGATTGCCAACAGCTCCTTTTAACCCTTTTCACCTCTGAAAAGAAAGAATGTATCCAAAAAGAAGCCAAAAAGTACTTCCTCACATCAGCCAATGGACCGGAAGAAGAAGCTAGAGACCTCCTTGAGGAGGTCTTTCCCTCTACACGGCCTAACCAGGACCCAAATTCCTCAAGTAGAAAGGGAGCTTTAGACGATTCTCACCGGTATCTCCTCGCAAGTATTAAAAGAGCCTCTCAGAAACCCATCAACTTGTCTAAGACGACCGAAGTTGTCCAAAGGCCCGAGAAGTCACCAAGAAGGTTTTTAGAGCACCTCCAGGAGGCTTATCGGATTTACACCCCTTTTTATCGGATTTACACCCCTTTTGACCCGGCAGCTCCCGAAAATAGCCGTGCTCTTAATTTAGCATTTGTGGCTCAGGCAGCCCCGGATATTAAAAAGAAACTCCAAAAACTAGAAAGATTTGCTAGAATAAATATCAGTCAGCTTTTAGAAATAGCCCAAAAGTTTTTGACAATCAAAAGTTTAAAAAACAAAAGCAACACAGGCAGCTGAAAAGGCCGCTGATAAAGCATTCAAAAGACAAACAAAAATCTTAGTGGCAGCTCTCCAAGAAGTACAGAATGAAATAGCCCGTTAATTCAGCATTAACTGAAGCCCCTGCTTTAGCCCTCTCTAATATCTCCATAAAAGCCAAGGAGTTGCTAAAGACGTGCTTACTCAGACTTTAAGACCCTAAAGATGCCCAGTGGCCTATTTATCTAAGATGCTAGATCCTGTGGCCTGTAGATGGCCAAGTTGTCTGCGAGCCGTAGCAGCTACAGCAAGCCTGGCCCAAGAAGATGATAAGTTAACTCTAAGCCAAAATTTAACCCTTACAGCTCCTCATGCCGTAAAGAACTTACTACAAAATGCTTCTGGCAAATAGATGTCAAATGCTCGCATCTTGCAGTATCAAAATTTACTGTTAGATCAGCCTCGTTTGACTTTCTCTCCCACAAAGTGTTTCAATCCAGCTACACTACTTCCTGACCCAGACTGCACTATTCCTGCTCATGACTGTCAAGAACTGTTAGAAACTATCGAAACTGGCTGATCTGATCTTCAAGCTGTGCCCCTAGAAAAGGCAGATGCCGCCGTGTTCACAGACAGTAGCAGCTTCCTCAAGCAGGAAGTATGAAAAGCCAGTGCAGCTGTTACCACGGAGACAGATGTGTTCTAAGCTCAAGCTTTACCAGCGAACACCTCAGCACAAAAGGCTGAATTGATCACCCTCACTCAGGCTCTCCGATAAAGTAGGATAAACGTATTAACATTTACACTCACAGCAAGTACGCCTTAGCTACTGTGCATGTACATAAAGCCATCTACCAGGAAATCAGGCTACTCACCTCAGCAGGTAGCTGTGATCCACTGCAAAGGACATCAAAAAGAAAACACGGCCGTTGCCCATAGTAACCAGAAAGCTGATTCAGCAGCTCAGGTCGCTGCCAGACTTTCAGTCATGCCTCCAAACTTGCTGCCCACAGTCTCCTTTCCACAGCCAGATCTGCCTGACAATCCCGTATACTCAACAACAACAGAAAAACTGGCTTCAGATCTCAGAGCCAATAAAAATCAGGAAAGTTAGTAGATTCTTCCTGACTCTGGAATCTTCATACCCTGAACTTAAACCAGTTACCTACAGTCTACCACCCATTTAAGAAGAGCAAAGTTACCTCAGCTCCTCCGGAGGCATTTTAAGATCCCCCATCTTCATAGCCTAAGAGATTAAGCAGCTCTCCAGTGCACAACCTGCGCCCAAGTAAATGCCAAACAAAGTCCTAAACCCAGCCCAGGCCACTGTCTCTGAAAAAACTCGCCAAGAAAAAAGTAAGAAATTCAGTTTAGAGAAGTCAAACCACACCAGGCTAAGTACAAATACCTTCTAGTACTAGTAGACACCTTCTCCAGATAGACTAAGGCATTTGCTACCAAAAACGAAACCACCAACACAGTAGTTAAGTTTTTACCCAATGAAATCATCCCTCAATATAGGCTGTCTGCTGCCATAAACTCTGATAATAGACCAGCCTTCCCCTCGCCTATAGCTCAGTCAGTCAGTCAGTAAGGTGTTAAACATTCAACAGAAGCTCCATTGTGCTTATCAACCCCGGAGCTCCAGACAAGTAGAACGCATGAACCACACCCTAAAAAACACTCCTACAAAATTAATCTTAAAAAAACAGTGTAAATTAAGTAAGTCTCCTTCCTTTAGCCCTACTTAAAGTAAGGTGCATCCCTTACCAGGCTAATTTCTCACCTTTTGAAATCATCTATAAGAAGGCGCCACCTATCTTGCCTAAGCTAAGAGATGCCAAATTAGCAGAAATATCACAAACTAATTTGTTACAGTACCTATCGTCTCTCCAACAGGTACAAGATATCATCCTGCCACTTGTTCGAGGAACCCATCCCAATCCAATTACTGACCAAAATCCTGCCATTCCTTCCAGCCAGGAGACCTAGTGTTTGTTAAAAAGTTCCAAAAAGAAAGACCCACTCCTGCTTAGAAAAGACCTCACACCGTCATCGTCACGACGCCAATGGCTCTGAAAGTAGACGGAATTCCTGCTTACATTCATCACTCCCGCATCAAAAAGGCCAACAGAGCCCAACTAAAAACATAAGTCCCCAGGCCTAAGTCAGGCCCCTTAAAACTGCACCTAAGTCAGGTGAAGCCATTAGATTCATTCTTTTTACTACCTCACTTATTTGTTTTTGCCCGTTACATCCTCTGTGCCTTCCTACTCCTTTCTCCTCACCTCTTTCACAACAGGACTTGTATTTGCAAACACCACTTAGAAGGCCGGTACCTCCAAGGAAGTCTCCTTTGCACTTGATTTATTTGTACTGTTCCCAAAGCCAGCCCATACCCAAGAAAAGCAACACCATCTGCCAGTCCCAGGAGCAGGAAGTGTCGACCTTGCAGCAAGATTCAGACACTCCAAGAGCCAAACTAAGTGTAGAAGCTCCAAAAGTGCAGAAAAAAGACTCCAAAATATTGGCTTTTACCTCTGTCCTAGAAATCACCCTGATGCTAGCTGTCAAGATACTTATCAGTTTTTCTGCCCTGATTAGACATGTGTAACTTTAGCCACCTACTCTAAAAGATCAACCAGATCTTCAACTCTTTCCACAAGTCATGCTTCTCATCCTAAATTATGTACTAGAAAAATTGTAATCCTCTTACTATAGCTGTCCATGACCTTAATTCAACTCAATAGTATCATGGCATGTCATGAAGATTAAGATTTTATATCCCAGGATTTAATGTTAGGACTATGTTCACCATCCAAAAAAACCCTAGTCTCATAAAGCCCACCCAAGTCAATCAGGCCTTTTACTGATCTAAGTAACCCTATGTTCCAGGAACACCCTGACAAAGTTGATTCAACTGTTCCTCCACCATTCTTAGTCATAAAAGATACACTCCAGACAGTGCAAGAAAATCTAGATAAGCGCCAACAAGAACAAGAAAATAACATCCCCTAGTATCAAAGCATGTTCAACTAGAACCCAGAGCTAACTATTCTAATTACTAAGTTAGCCAGACCCCCTCCCCATCCTACTATTAAGTCTAATTTTTGGACCTTGTATATTAAATTAGTTTATTAATTTTGTAAAACAACACATAGCTTCTGTCAAACTTATGTATCTTAAGACTCAATATAACCCCCTTGTTATAGCTGAAGAATCAACGATTTGATTCCCCAAAAACACAAGTGAGGAATGTAATGCCCAACCTTCTTTTTACTAACCCTGTTCTAAGACTCTCCCTTTCTTTTAATCACCTAGCCTTGTTTCCACCTGAATTGACTCTCCCTTAGCTAAGAGAGCCAGACAGACTCCATCTTGGCTCTTTCACTGGCAGCCGCTTCCTCAAGGACTTAACTTGTGCAAGCTGACTCCCAGCACATCGAAGAATGCAATTAACTGATAAGATACTGTGGCGAGCAATATCTGCAGTTCCCAGGAATTCATCCAACTGATAACGCCCAAAGCCCCGGGTCTATCACCTTGTAATAGTCTTAAAGCCCCTAGACCTAGAACTGTTTACTTTCCTGTAACAATTTATCCTTTTAACATTTTTGCCTACTTCTGTAAAATTGTTTTAACTAGACCCCCCTCCCCTTTCTAAACCAAAGTATAAAAGAAAATCTAGCCCCTTCTTCGAGGCCGAGAGAACTTTGAACCTTAGCCATTTCTTAGCCGCCGGCTAAATAAACAGACTCTTAATTCGTCTCAAAGTGTGGCATTTTCTCTAACTCGCTCAAGTACAACACAACCAGCAGGCACGTAATCCACTCTAAAATGCCATCCTGGGGTAGTGAAGATGATGTTTCTGGAAATATCCTTAAATGGCATGTGGATGAGTTCCCCCAGAGGCATACATGTTGAGCCAAGTACTTTGCTGATTAAGGGTACAAGTTGAAGGGGTTTTGAAAGGCAGAGTGAGGTTCCTCAGAAGGCTGTTGCTACAGAAAGCCAGGAGGAGAAATTACATGGCCAGATAGAGTGGCATGACCATTGGATAAGGGCTTTTTGTTTGTTTTTGAGATGGAGTTTTACTCTTGTTGCCCAGGCTGGAGTGCAATAGCACGATCTCAGCTCACCGCAACCTACGCCTCCCAAGTTCAAGCGATTCTCCTGCCTCAGCCTCCCTAGTAGCTGGGATTACAGGCATGTGCCACCACGGCCGGCTAATTGTGTATTTTTTGTAGAGATGGGGTTTCTCCATGTTGGTCAGGCTGGTCTTGAACTCCCGACCTCAGGTGATCCGCCCACCTTGGCCTCACAAATTGCTGGGATTATAGGCGTGAGTCACCGTGCCCAGCCTGGATGAGGGTCTTTAGCAAAGATGGAAGTTTTGGTACCTTGCAGTTTAGTCTCTTCATTTGTGTCCTCCTGAAATCTTCAGGAACAGCACCATTTTGTCAATACTCCTGGGGTCGTACTTAGGGGGACTTAAAGGAGATATGATGTGGCAGCCTTTGACTCAAGGGAGTATCATACTAGGTCAAAGAGATCTGGGTACATGTCAGCTGAACCAACTCTTCTGAGGATGTGATAGATCCTGAGAGGCCACTCTGGTCCTGCCAACCTTGAGGCCAGATGAGTCTTTGAAAAACATAGTTTGGCTTAACACCAGCACTTAGTCTAATATCCACCATTAATCTTGCTGAAGTGAAGCTATACAAATACCTTTTCAAAATATTTTTTTTTTTTATTCCAGATCCTTCTTAGAAATTCCTAAGGCTCAATGCTGTGTGGAAGATTCTGAGAAAAAAAATAGTTTCCGATCTTTGGGATTCCCGAGATGGTCCAATCTGCAAAAAGTTCATTGCCATTTCCATCAAGGACACTGAGAACAAGAGTCTTATCTGGATTAGATCCTGGGAATTGAGAAGCTTCAGCAGGTGGGAAATGCACCCTCCACAGGCTCACACCCTTCTGGGTTGTTTCAGTTACCTATTGCACCTAAAATTAGAAACTTTAAACCACCACAAGCCATTATTGCTCATGACCCTGTGAGTTGCATGGGGACTTCCTGGCTGGTTTAACCTGGGCTCATTTGTGTGGCTACCTGCAGCTGGAGGGCCAGCTGGGTGGAACATCCAGGATGGCCTCATGCATGTGCCTGGCAGTTGGTGCTGGTTGTCAGCCGGGGAACCTTGTTTTCCTCCATGTGGCCCCTCGCCCTCCAGAGCCCCTCTCCAAATGGCCCTTTAAGCAGATAGCCAAGGTTTGCTTGGTGCCAGCATGCAAGAGGGCAAAAATATGGAAACTACGAGAGGGCTCTCAAGGCCTAAGACTATTTGCACCCCAAAAATCTGAGGTCTCAGTTAATTCAGAAAGTTTGTTTTGCCAAGGTTGAGAACGCATGCCTGTGACACAGCCTCAGGAGGTCCTGACAACATGTGCTTAAGGTGATAGGGACTCAGCTTGGTTTGATACATTTTAGAGAGACATGAGACATCAATCAATATGTGTATGATGTACATTGGTTCAGTCTGGACAGGCGGGACAACTCCAGGTGAAGGTGAGAAAAGGGGAAGGGTTTTCCAGGTCATAGGTAGTTAAGAGACAAATGGTTGCATTCTTTTGAGTTCCTGATTAGCCTCTCAAATGAGGCAATCAGATATACATTTATCTCAGTAAGCAAAGGGGTGACTGAATAGAATGGGAGGCAGTTTTCCCCTAAGCAGTTCCCAGCTTGACCTTTCTCTTTAGCTTAGTAACTTTTTTTGGGTGGAGGGACAGAGTCTCGCTCTGTTGCCCAGGCTGGAGTGCAGTGGTAAGATCTCGGCTCACTGCAACTTCTAACTCCAGGGTTCAAGCAATTTCCCTGCCTCAGCCTCCCAAGTAGCTGGGATTACAGGCTCCTGCCACCACGCCTGGCTAATTTTCATATTTTTTAGTAGAGATGGGGTTTTGTCATGTTGGCCAGGCTGGTCTTGAACTCCTAACCTCAGGTGATCTGCCCGCATCAGCTTCCCAAAGTGCTGGGATTACAGGCGTGAGCCACCGAGCCCAGCCTAGCTTAGTGATCTTGGCGCCCCAAGGTTTGTTTTCCTTTCACGGCTAGAAGTTGGTCACCATCACTTTGGCAGCATTCCACTGGCCAAAGCAAGTCATAGGCAGCCCAGATTCATGTAGAGGAGTATAAACTCTACCTCTTAAAGGAAAGATTGGTTCAGTTACATTGCAGGAGCATTTGCAGAAAGTTGTACCAATCTTTGGAAACTACCACACACACACACACACACACACACACACACACACACCTTTACATGCAACCCTCCCTTGAGGTGCATCTACTTCCAGGCAGAACTAAAACTTGACAGTACTCGACAGAAGAAAAGTAGTGTCCTAAATGCCAGTTCTCTTCTTACTCAACTTCAGCCTCATTATAAGCAGATTCTAACAGTTTATGTGTCTTGAGAAGCATTTTAATTAATCTTTGGAATTTAAGAATTTCAATTCATAGCAGTAGCCTGTGCATAGGAAATACGCATATTGTTTTTCCTTTCTGATAAATCATGCTGGGGGAACCACAATGTAACTTTTTTTTTTTTTTGAGAAGGAGTCTCACTCTGTTGCCCAGGCTGGAGGGCAGTGGCATGATCTCAGCTCACTACAACCTCCACCTCCCTGGTTCAAGTGATTCTCCTGCCTCAGCCTCCTGAGTAGCTGGGATTACAGGCACACAAGATGGGGTTTCACCATGTTGGTCAGGTTGGTCTCGAACTCCTGACCTCTGATCTGCCTACCTCAGCCTCCCAAAGTGCTGGGATTACAGGCGTGAGCCACCGGCTCATGTATACTGTGACTGTATATTGATTGAAAGTTTCTCTTTTTTTCAAATAATTAACAGGTTTAACAGAATGTATCTCTGATCTATTCCTTTCACTGCAGACATCTATTGCCTTTTCAGCCTAGCAGCCCTCCCCTCTATAGAGACTCACACTTCCTACTCCAGTCATGTGGCTCTCATGGGGGCTGCCATGTTCTCAAATGACTCCACCCCTCTGGCATCAGTTGATTGGTCCAGGGATGAGCATCTGGCCTAAATTGGCCAATCAGAATTCTTCCCTTGAATATTTTTCCAAACTGGAACTAGACCAAGTTAATCATTCTCTGTGATGACAGGAATTGTGTGTAGTGAGAAATACAGCAGCTTTTGTGGCCACGTTTCTTGCCTTATGGAGAAAAGGCTTGAGTAAGAAGAAATTAAGCCAGGATGCAGACAAAGCTAGAGACAGAGATAGAGAGAGAGATCTTGTGGTAAGCCCCTTGGTTTTTATCATTCTAGTACATGCTTGCTACTGCATACTACCAAGACTTTCACCTGAGGGCTTTCTCAAAGTCAGGCATGGAGTACGTCAGAAAAGCCACAGAAGCCGGGCGCAGTGGCTCACTCCTGTAATCCCAACACTGGGAGGCCGAGGCAGGTGGATCACGAGGTCAGGAGTTCGAGACCAGCCTGACCAACATGGCAAAACCCCATCTCTACAAAAAATAAAAAAATTAGCGGGGCATGGTGGCAGGTGCCTGTAATCCCAGCTACTCAGGAAGCCAAGGCAAGAGAATCGTTTGAACCTGGGAGGCAGATGTTGCAGTGAGCAGAGATCATGCCATTGCAGTCCAGCCTGGGTGACAGAGCAAGACTGTGTCTAAAAAAGAAAAAGAAAAAGAAAAAAAAAGCCAGAGAGTTGATGCCCTGGGACCATTCCTCAGCCAGTGACGGATGGGAGCCAGGCTATAAATGCTGCAATATTTTCACCCCCTGGATGGAACAACTTTGAAATGTATTCCACATCACCTCCCAGAGGTCCCCAGTGGGGTCAAATCCTAGTTGCCTGGAGTGGTAAGCTGCTCATTGAAGCCCCCTGTGTGGCCTCCTGCCTTTCCATGAATCAATTCCTCACTCCCCTATTGGTGTTCCCTGGAATCATCTCCTAAATAATCCACTTGCAATCCTGTCCCTCTTTCAGGATCTGCTTGGGGTTGGGGTTGGGGAGTGCAGAGAAAAACATGATCCCTTCTCCACTCCACACTAGTAAGATGAGTTTCTGTCACTGGCAACCAAGAGTTCTGACTATTACCTCCTTCTGAGAGAATTCCTAAAATGTATTTGGGAATTTCCCCACCTCCACCCCACTGCCTATGTCATCAATATGTAGATTTCTTAACCAAGTTTAATGGTATTCTTTGATCAACCTCAAGTTTCACAAAACACACTGCACTTTCATAAGGGCTCCCCATGGCTGACAGATCAGCCGTTCAAAAGAAGGGAAGTGTCAGAGATGGCTCTGCTAGACTCACGTATTTTTCAGTAGAATCTGGGTCAGGTTGTTGTGGTCAGGAGATGCTTCTGGAGCTCTGGGACCCACAAGCCTGCGTGTCATGGTGGAGTATTAGGACAACTTGAAAACACAGTGGCAGGAGGAGGCTTCCTCTCTCCCCTGCAGTTCATCCTCCACCACACCCAAAGTGCTAAATAGATATTGGTTAAATGAATAATGGGGCTGGGCATGGTGGCTCACGCCTGTAATCCCAGCACTTTGGGAGGCTGAGGCAGGTGGATCACCTGAGGTCAGGAGTTCAAGACCAGCCTGGCCATAGAGGCAGGAGAAGCACTTGAACCTGGGAGGCAGAGTTTACAGCAGGCTGAGATGGTACCACTGCACTCCAGCCTGGGTGACAGAGCAAGACTCAAAAAAAAAAAAAAAATGGATTTATTCCTTCCAAACTGGAACTCACCAAAAGAAGACCAACACGCATCACAATGTTGTGGCCATAATCACCACAGTGACAATAATAAATATAACCAACTCTCGAGCCAGCCACCCCCACTAAACCTAGTGGATCACATCTGGTGTTTCACTTTGGGGATATTTTAGTGGTCATGGTAGATTGTCGCCTGACTGCTGGCTGTTTCTACCATGTTTCAGGAATATAGAGATGTGTACAGATGACCCCTAAAATTAATTAGTATGCAATTCTCAAAGAGCCAAACTGTACCCCAAAAACTACTGGAATGAAAAAAAAAGTTTTAATTCTCAAAGAGACAAACTAGATAGTAGAAGCATTTATGTTCCCTTGGAGAATCTTCCCACCAAGGACTCAAAGTTGTCTCCAGACCAGGGAAGTCCTGGGGCCTTGGACTTTCCCAATTCTGGTATCATCTCCCATTCTCCTTTAGGTCCAGTTTTCTCAGAGGGGCATGCATTGTTCATTGCCACCAAGGGTATACAAGGACACAAACTGAAGATAATAGTGCCTTATTGTCTCTCAGTCATCTTTCTCTCCCACATGCTGGAAGGAGAGCCAAGTCCAATTTATCCAATTACAAAATAGCAACATTGGCATCATGAGATCAGCTAACACAACTTTCGAGGCAAACTATCTTCCTACCAAAAGTAACCAACATCTGTGGAGCACTTACCATGACTAAGGGTCAACATAAGTGGTTTGCATGCTGCATGCATCAGGATGGACTAGGTTATGCTGCAGTAACAAATTAACCCCAGAGTCTCAACAGCTTAGCAACCAAGGTTGATTTCTTACATTCCATGTCCACAATGGGTTGGCTGGGTATGGTGTGTTCCATATGGCCACTCAGAGACCTAGAATGATGAAAATTCTACCATCTTCATGCAAGGATTCTCCCATAGTTACTACACCAGGAGATGAGAGAATGAGATAGTTATTCCCAAGCCCTCAAAAGCTGTAGAATAGAGGTGATGTCAGTGACTTCCACTTATAGAGCATTGGACCCTGGCATGGATCCATCTAACTACAGGGGGTCTGGGGAATACAGGGAGAACCTGGAAATCCCATGAGCAGTAACCATTTCTGCCAGCATGCATTATTTCATCTGACCCTCACAACCCCATGGAATATAGAACAGAGGCTTGGAGAGTTATGGGACCTGCCCCAAGGCGTCACAGATAATGAGTTGCAGAGCTGAGATATGGCCCTCGGCCTGGCAGGATTCAAACCACTATGCTGCATACTCATCACAAAATCCTATGAAATTCCTCATACAGCAAAACACCACACCAAGTAAAAAGAAAGCCAAGTTGTGCAAATATAAAATAGAACTGCCCTGACACTTCACCTCCTCACCCACCCCACGCCCACCGAAAGAATCAACCTACACAAATAACTGGAATGAAATTCTCAGGCAATTCCAGCAGGGGAAATGGGGTTATCTCATCTGGGTCTCACATCCGACCTCGTCAAGACAAGACCTTCCCTAAACTTCACCTGAACACACCGTCATGTCTTGCCGCTTCTTGTTACTGGAAATCCAATGATGATGTCTTTATACAATTTATAGGTCTTTCTATAAGTGCCAAGATAAATGTCATCTCTGTACCTGCATATCATTCAGAGGTAGGCAAGCTTCTATGTAAAGTGCTAGATAGTAAATATAAACTTTGCAGGACTCATCTGATCTCCATCCTATACATTTTTTTGTTTTTGTTTTACAATTTTTTTTTTCTTTTTAGATAGGGTCTAAAAAGAAAACAAAACTTATCCATGTTGTGATATGGATGAACGTTAAAAACATGCTCAGTGAAAGAAGCAGACATGAAAGGTCATATATTGTACAATTCCATTTATATGCAATGTTCAGTCTAAGCCAATCGACAGAGATAGAAAGTAGATGAGAGGCTTCCAGGGGCTGCAGGAGGGGGTAGGCAGAGTGACTGCTGAATGGATATGAGGCTTCCAATTGAGGTGTTGAAAAAAACCTGAAACTAGGTAGTGGTGATAATTGCACAACATGATAAATGTACAAAATGTCACGGAATTGTACACTTTCAGATGCACAAAATGGTAAATGTTGCATATATTATACCACAGTTTTATTCATTTATTTTAGAGATAGAGTCTCACTCCATCACCCAGGCTGCAGTGCAATGGCAAAATCATAGCTCACTGCTGCCTTTACCGCCTGGGCTCAAGCAATCCTCCCATCTAGTCTTCCAAGTAGCTGGGACTACATGTGAATGCTACTACACCCAGCTTTTTAAATTTTTTTATAGAGTTGCATTCTCACTTTATTGCCCAGACTGGCCCAAACTCCTGGCTTCAAGTGATTCTCTCATCTCACCCTCCCAAAGTGCTGGGATAACAGGTGTAAGCCATCAGGCCAGGCAATTTTTAATTCTTATGCGAAATTTTCAAATAATTCCTAGGACTAAAAAAAATGTCGATCAACATGAGGATTAGAGGAAAAAATAATTTTAAACAAAGAAAAAATTAAATGAGATGATGTGTATGTATACAGAGCCTGGCCTCATGATCACCGAGTCCACTGCAGCTTTTTATTTTTTTTTCCATACAGGGTCTCACTCTGTCACCCAGGCTGAGTACAGTGGCATAATCATGGCTTACTGCAGCCTCAAACTCCTGGGCACAAGTGATCCTCCCACCTCAGCGTCTCAAGTAGCTGGGACTACAGAGGCACACAACCACACCTAGCTATATTTGTTGTTGTTGTTATATTTTTTGGTAGTGACGGGGTCTCACCATGTTGCCCAGGCTGGCATCTTGAACTCCTGGGCTCAAGCGATCCTCCCACCTCAGCTTCCCAAAGTGCTGGGATTACAGGTGTGAGCCACCATGCCCATCCTGTTGTAGCTATTTTAATAGTGCTGGTGAACAATAATTTGCTCTCCCTATAAAAACAGAACATACTAAGCCAAGGAAAGCACCAATCTAGTTTGTTCTCCCCAGATCTTGAAATGTTGGAATTAGTATAAGAGTCCAAAATATTTCATGTGGTTTGATTTTTTTTTTTTTTTTTTTTTTTTTTTTTTTTTTTTTTTGGAGATGCAGTCTCGTTCCATTGTCCAGGTCAGAATGCAGTGGCGCAATCTCGGCTCACTGTCACCTCCGCCTCCCGGGTTCAAGCGATTGTCCTGCCTCAGCCTCCCGAGTAGCTGAGATTACAGACATGTACTGCCACGCCTGGCTAATTTTTGCATTTTTAGTAGAGATGGGGTTTCTCCATGTTGGCCAGGCTGGTCTTGAACTCCTGACCTCAAATGATCTACCTGCCTTAGCCTCCCAAAGTGCCGGGATTACAGGTGTAAGCCACCATGCCCGGCCAGTTTGATTTTTTATTGTGGTAAAATACATACAAAATCTATTATTTCAGCCATTTTCAAAGGAAAAATTCAGTGGTGTTAAGTGCATCCACCACATTGTACAGCCATGACCCCCATCCATCTCCAGAACGCTTTCATACTGTCCTGCAAATATGCAGCACCTTGCTACACTCCAGGTTGTTTGTCCCACAACAGAGCTGGGCTGAATTATTAATGTGACTTTGTTCAACAACGGACTAAAGAGGGAGAAGCCCATGAACTGCGTGAGGAGTGCATGACAGGTGCTCGTGGGATAACATGGCTCGGCGCCCTCCAGCTGCTGCTACCGCTGCCTGTCCTGCTGGGCGGCCACCTCCTCCCAGGGAAGAAGAGCACTCACAACTGCTGCTGATCTCCTTCCAGGGCTTCCGCTGGGACTAGGATCAGGATGTGGACACCCCCAACCTGGACCGTCTGGCCGGGGAGGGCGTCAAGGCCAAGTACCTCATGCCGCCCCTTGTCACAATGACCTCCCCATCCCACTTCACTGCCATCCCAGGTAAGCGTCACTCTGCCCATTTCACCCAATGCCCATCAAAGCCCCAGCGTCCGTCATTCCCTATGATAAGAAGCAAAAGCTCGGTCAGCTCTAGAGAAGCTGAGGCGGCTCCAGGGTCTCACTCTGTTGCCCAGGCTGTAGCTCAGTGGCATAATCACAGGTCAGTGGAGCCTCAAACTCCTGGTCTCAAGCAGTCCTCCCTAGCTCAGGCTCCCCAGTAGCTGGGGCTACAGACAAGCCACAGTGTCTAATTTTCTCATTTTCTTAGAAATTGGGGCAGGGGGTGTCTCACTATGTTGTCTGGGCTGGTTTTGAACTCCTGGCCTCAAGTGATCATCCCACCTCAGCCTCCCAAAGTGCTGAGATTGGAGACATGAGCTACCGTGCCTGGCCTGAACTTTTTTAAAAAAGTAAATAAGGCCAAGCATGGTGGCTCACCCCTGTAATCCCAGCACTTTGGGTGGCTGAGGTGGGTGGATCACCTGAGGTCAGGAGTTCAAGACCAGCTTGGCCAACAAGGTGAAACGTCATCTATCCTAAAACTACAAAAATAAGCTGGGCGTGGTGGCAGATGCCTATAACCACAGCTACTCGGGAGTCTGATACAGGAGAATCACTTGAACCCAGGAGGTGGAATATGAAGTGAGCCGAGATCATGCCATTGCACTCCAGTTTGGGCAACAGAACAAGATTTTGTCTCAAAAAAAATAATAAAAATAAAAAGTTAAATAACTAAAATCACTTTTAAATAACTATAAAAATAATAAAACACTGACATTTACAGAGCTCAGTTAGATGAGGTGACTCATACCCTCCAATGGTGTCCTGGTTCTCTTACATAACAATTGAAATGTCTTTCTGTGGCCCAAAAGATCCCACACAGCCTGGCCCCTGGCCCATCTTCTGCCAGCCTCTCTCATCTCTCTCCCTCTCCTTCACTTCCTTCCGGATCACAAAGGCCTTTTGCCTGTGCCTTCTGCCCTGCTCCCTCCAGCCCCAGGGCCTTGCTTATCCTCTGCTCATCCAGTCCCTCCAGCTCACCAGGAGCATGCAGTCCAGTCGGGGAGACAGACACCAGACACCCAAACAGGCACATACATCCCGTGACAACTCAGGAGGCATCAAGGAGGAAAACGAGTTTTCCAGGCACTGACTACAGGGGTAAACTGGCTTCAAACTAGAGAGGGAGAAAGGGGGTCTCTGAGCATGGGGCAGTTGAGCTGAAAGAGATCTCAGGGGACCAGAGCAAGCAAAAGTGTTCCAGGCAGAGGGAAGAGCATGCGTGAGGTCTCTGAGACAAAGACCTGGTCATTTCAGAATCCCAGTGGCCACTAAAATAGAGGGATTCCAACCTAAAAAGGAGGAAGAGGAGGCTGCTGGAAAGCAAAGTACTCTGTGTAAGAATCATAATAGTGGGGGTGGAGCCAAGATGGCCGAATAGGAACAGCTCCAGTCTACAACTCCTGGCATGAGAGACGCAGAAGACAGGTGATTTCTGCATTTCCAACTGAGGTACTGGGTTCATCTCACTGGGGAGTGTCAGAATGTGGGTGCAGGACACTTGGTGCAGTGCACCGAGCATGAGCCCAAGCAGGGCGAGGCATTGCCTCACCTGGGAAGTGCAAGGGGTCAGAGAATTCCCTTCCCTAGTCAAAGAAATGGGTGACAGATGGCACCTGGAAAATCGGGTCACTCCCACCCTAATACTGCACTTTTCCAATGGTCTTAACAAGTGGCACACCAGGAGATGATATCCCGCACATGGCTCAGAGGGTCCTAAACCCATGGAGCCTCACTCATTGCTAGCACAGCAGTCTGAGATCAAACTGCAAGGTGGCAGCAAGGCTGGGGGAGGGGTGCCCACCGTTGCCTAGGCTTCAGTAGGTTAACAAAGCAGCTGGGAAGCTCCAACTGGGTGGAGCCCACCACAGCTCAAGGAGGCCTGCCTGCGTCTGTAGACTCCACCTCTGGGGGCGGGCATTGGCAAACAAAAGGCAGCAGAATTCTCTGCAGACTTAAATATCCCTGTCTGACAGCTTTGAAGAGAGTAGTGGTTCTCCCAGCACACAGCTGGAGATCTGAGAATGGACAGACTGCCTCCTCAAGTGGGTCCCTGACCCCCGAGTTTCCTAACTGGAGGCACCCCCCTGTAGGGGCAGACTGACACCTCACATGGCCGGGTACTCCTCTGAGACAAAACTTCCAGAGGAACAATCAGGCAGCAACATTTGCTGCTCACCAATATCCGCTGTTCTGCAGCCTCCACTGCTGACACCCAGGCAAACTCCAACAGACCTGCAGCTGAGGGTCCTGACTCTTAGAAGGAAAACTAACAAAGAGAAAAGACATCCACATTAAAACCCCATCTGTAAGTCACCATCATCAAAGACCAAAGATGGGGAAAAAACTGAGCAGAAAAACTGGAAATTCTAAAAATCAGAGTGCTTCTCCTCCTCCAAAGGAATGCAGCTCCTCACCAGCAATGGAACAAAGCTGGACAGAGAATGACTTTGACGAGTTGAGAGAAGAAGGCTTCAGACGATTAAATTACTCCGAGCTAAAGGAGGAAGCTCGAACCCATGGCAAAGAAGTTAAAAACCTTGAAAAAAAATCAGATGAATGGCTAACTAGAATAATCGATGCAGAGAAGTCCTTAAAGGACCTGATGGAGCTGAAAACCAAGGCACGAGAACTACGTGACAAATGCACAAGCCTCAGTAGCCGATTCGATCAACTGGAAGAAAGGGTATCAGTGATGGAAGATGAAACGAATGAAATGAAGCAAGAAGAGAAGTTTAGAGAAAAAAGAATAAAAAGAAATGAACAAAGCCTCCAAGAAATATGGGACTATGTGAAAAGACCAAATCTACGTCTGACTGGTGTACCTGAAAGTGACAGTGAGAATGGAACCAAGTTGGAAAACACTCTGCAGGATATTATGCAGGAGAACTTCCCCAATCTAGCAAGGCAGGCCAACATTCAAATTCAGGAAATACAGAGAACACCACAAAGATATTCCTCAAGAAGAGCAACTCCAAGACACATAATTGTCAGATTCACTAAAGTTAAAATGAAGGAAAAAATGTTAAGGGCAGCCAGAGAGAAAGGTCAGGTTACCCACAAAGGGAAGCCCATCAGACTAACAGCTGATCTCTTGGCAGAAACTCTACAAGCCAGAAGAGAGTGGGTGCCAATATTCAACATTCTTAAAGAAAAAAATGTTCAACTCAGAATTTCAAATCCAGCCAAACTAAGCTTCATAAGTGAAGGAGAAATAAAATACTTTACAGACAAGCAAATGCTGATTTTGTCACCACCAGTCCTGCCCTACAAGAGCTCCTGAAGGAAGCACTAAACATTGAAAGGAACAATCAGTACCAGCCACTGCAAAAACATGCCAAATTGTAAAGACCGTCAAGGCTAGGAAGAAATTGCATCAACTAATGAGCAAAATAACCAGCTAACATCATAATGACAGGATCAAATTCACACATAACTATATGAACCTTAAATGTCAATGGGCTAAATTCTCCGATTAAAAGACAGACTGGCAAATTGGATAAAGAGTCAAGACCCATCAGTGTGCTGTATTCAGGAAACCCATCTCATGTGCAGAGACACACATATGCTCAAAATAAAGGGATGGAGGAAGATCTACCAAGCAAATGGAAAACAAAAAAAGGCAGGTGTTGCAATCCTAGTCTCTGATAAAACAGACTTTAAACCAACAAAGATTAAAAGAGACAAAGAAGGCCATTACATAATGGTAAAGGGATCAATTCAACAAGAAGAGCTAACTATCCTAAATATATGTGCAACCAATACAGGAGCACCCAGATTCAAAAAGCAAGTCCTTAGAGGCCTACAAAGAGGCTTAGACTCCCACACAATAATAATGGGAGACTTTAACACCCCACTGTCAACATTAGACAGATCAACAAGACTGAAAGTTAACAAGGATATTCAGGAATTGAACTCAGCTCTGCACCAAGCAGACCTAATAGACATCTACAGAACTCTCCACCCCAAATCAACAGAAAATACATTCTTCTCAGCACCACACCACACTTATTCCAAAATTGACCACATATTTGGAAGTGAAGCACTCCTCAGCAAATGTAAAACAACAGAAATTATAACAAACTGTCTCTCAGACCACAGTGCAATCAAACTAGAACTCAGGATTAAGAAACTCACTCAAAACTACTCAACTACATGAAAACTGAACAACCTGCTCCTGAATGACTACTGGGTACATAATGAAATGAAGGCAGAAATAAAGGTGTTCTTTGAAACCAACGAGAACAAAGACACAGCATACCAGAATCTCTCGGACACATTCAAAGCAGTGTGTAGAGGGAAATTTACAGCACTAAATGCCCACAAGAGAAAACAGGAAAGATCTAAAATTGACACTCTAACATCACAATTAAAAGAACTAGAGAAGCAAAGAGCAAACACATTCAAAAGCTAGCAGAAGGCAAGAAATAACTAAGATCAGAGCAGAACTGAAGGAAATAGAGACACAAAAAACCCTTCAAAAAATCCATGAATCCAGGAGCTGGTTTTTTGAAAAGATCAACAAAATTGATAGACCACTAGCAAGACTAATAAAGAAGAAAAGAGAGAAGAATCAAATAGACACAATAAAAATTGGTAAAAGGGATATCACCACCAATCCCAGAAAAATACAAACTACCACCAGAGAATAGTATAAACACCTCTATGCAAATAAACTAGAAAATCTAGAAGAAATGGATAAATTCCTCGACATGTACACCCTCCCAAGGCTAAACCAGGAAGAAGTTGAATCTCTGAATAGACCAATAATAGGCTCTGAAATTGAGGCAATAATTAATAGCCTAGCAACCAAAAAAAGTCCAGGACCAGACGGATTCACAGCCGAATTCTACCAGAGGTACAAGGAGGAGCTGGTACCATTCCTTCTGAAACTATTCCAAATAATAGAAAAAGAGGGAATCCTACCTAACTCATTTTATGAGGCCAGCATCATCTTGATACGAAAGCCCGGCAGAGACACAACCAAAAAAGAGAATTTTAGACAAATATCCCTGATGAACATCGATGAAAAAATCCTCTATAAAATACTAGCAAACCGAATCCAGCATCACATCAAAAACTTATCCACCATGAACAAGTGGGCTTCCTCCCTGGGATGCAAGATTGGTTCACATATTCAAATCAGTAAACATAATCCAGCATATAAACAGAACCAATGACAAAAACCATACGATTATCTCATTAGATGCAGAAAAGGCCTGTGACAAAATTCAACAACCTTCATGCTAGAAACTCTCAATAAATTAAGTATTGATGGGACGTATCTCAAAATAATAGGAGCTATCTATGACAAACCCACAGCCAATATCATACTGAATGGGCAAAAACTGGAAGCATTCCCTTTGAAAACTGGCACAAGACAGGGATGCCCTCTCTCACCACTCCTATTCAACACAGTGTTGGAAGTTCTGGCCAGGGCAATCAGGCAGGAGAAGGAAATAAAGGGTATTCAATTAAGAAAAGAGGAAGTCAAATTGTCCCTGTTTGCAGATGACATGATTGTATATCTAGAAAACCCCATTGTCTCAGCCCAAAATCTCCTTAAGCTGATAAGCAACTTCAGCAAAGTCTCAGGATACAAAATCAATGTGCAAAAATCACAAGCGTTCTTATACACCAATACAGACAAACAGAGAGCCAAATCATGAGTGAACTCCCATTCACAATTGCTTCAAAGAGAATAAAATACCTAGGAATCCAACTTACAAGGGATGTGAAGGACCTCTTCAAGGAGAACTACAAACCACTGCTCAACTAAATAAAAGAGGACACAAACAAATGGAAGAACATTCCATGCTCATGGGTAGGAAGAATCAATATCATGAAAATGTCCATACTGCCCAAGGTAATTTATAGATTCAATGCCATCCCCATCAAGTTACAAATGACTTTCTTCACAGAATTGGAAAAAACTGCTTTAAAGTTCATATGGAACCAAAAAAGAGCCCACATTGCCAAGTCAATCCTAAGCCAGAAGAACAAAGCTAGAGGCATCACGCTACCTGACTTCAAACTATACTACAAGGCTACAGTAACCAAAACAGCATGGTACTGGTACAAAAACAGAGATATAGACCAATGGAACAGAACAGAGCCCTCAGAAATAATGCCACATATCTACAACCATCTGATCTTTGACAAACCTGAGAAAAACAAGCAATGGGGAAAGGATTCCCTATTTAATAAATGGTGCTGGGAAAACTGGCTAGCCATATGTAGAAAGCTGAAACTGGATCCCTTCCTTACACCTTATACAAAAATTAATCCAAGATGGATTAAAGACTAAATGTTAGACCTAAAACCATAAAAACCCTAGAAGAAAACCTGAGCAATACCATTCAGGACATAGGCATGGGCAAGGACTTCATGTCTAAAACACCAAAAGCAATGGCAACAAAAGCCAAAATTGACAAATGGGATCTAATTAAACTAAAGAGCTTCTGCACAGCAAAAGAAACTACCATCAGAGTGAACAGGCAACCTACAGAATGGGAGAAAATTTTTGCAACCTACTCATCTGACAAAGGGCTAATATCAAGAATCTACAATGAGCTCCAATAAATTTACAAGAAAAAAACAAACAATCCCATCAAAAAGTGGGCAAAGGATATGAACAGACACTTCTCAAAAGAAGACCTTTATGCAGCCAAAAGACACATGAAAAAAATGCTCATCATCCCTGGCCAGAGAAATGCAAGTCAAAACAACAATGAGATACCATCTCACACCAGTTAGAATGGCGATCATTAACAAGTCAGGAAACAACAGGTGCTGAAGAGGATGTGGAGAAATAGGAACAATTTTACACTGTTGGTGGGACTGTAAACTAGTTCAACCATTGTGGAATTCAGTGTGGCAATTCCTCAGGGATCTAGAACTAGAAATACCATTTGACCCAGCCATCCCATTACTGGGTATATACCCAAAGGATTATAAATCATGCTGCTATAAAGACACATGCACACGTATGTTTATTGCGACACTATTCACAATAGCAAAGACTTGGAACCAAGCCAAATGTCCAACAACGATAGACTGGACTAAGAAAATGTGGCACATATACACCATGGAATACTATGCAGCCATAAAAAATGATGAGTTTACATCCTTTGTAGGGACATGGATGAAGCTGGAAACCATCATTCTCAGCAAACTATTGCAAGGACAAAAAACCAAACACCGCATGTTCTCACTCATAGGTGGGAATTAAACAATGAGAACACATGGACACAGGAAGGGGAACATCACACACTGGGGCCTGTTGTGGGGTCGGGGGAGGGGGGAGGGATAGCATTAAGAGATATACCTAATGTTAAATGACGAGTTAATGTGTACAGCACACCAACATGGCACATGTATACATATGTAACAAACCTGCACGTTGTGCACATGTACCCTAAAACTTAAAGTATAATAAAAAATAAAAAATAAAATAAAAACTTTGGCTGTTGACTCCAAATATCCTGCTTCATCATCTCTCCACTCCAGAAACATTTCACATGCTTACAAAGGGTGTTCGTTTCTCCTCTAAGTATTTGCTCGCCAGCCCCACCTGCAAGAAGGTGGAAGTAGGGCCTCTGCCTGGGATGGTAACTCTCAAATGTAAGGCAAGACCTGTCTCTCCACCAATATCCCCAGGACTGAAGGACTGTGAAAGTCTGCATATTGATCAAGCTTCTCCCTCCCTTATCTGAAGGGACTTACTTCCTTCAAGACACTTTTCCTCTTCCCACCTAGCTCCATGCCCCCATCCAGTCATCTTCCAACCCATCTCTCCCCACCTGCATGCCACACAAGAGGGGCGTGACCACAGCACCTGGAAGTTCCTTAAAGTGGAATGGTGTGTCAGGCCGGGTGCGGTGGCTCATGTCAGTAACCCCAGCACTTTGGGAGGCTGAGGCAGGCAGGTCACTTGAGGTCAGGAGTTCGAGACCAGCCTGGCCAAAATGGTGAAATTCCATCTCTACTAAAAATATAAAAATTAACTGGGTGTGGTTGTGCTTGCCTGTAGTCCCAGTACTTGGGGGGGGGCTGAGGCAAGGGAATCACTTGAACCTGGGAGGCAGAGGTTACAGTGAGCCAAGATTGCGCCATTGCACTCCAGCCTGGGCGACAGAGTGAGACTCTGTCAAAAAAAAAAAAAAAAAAAAAAAAATCGAATGGTGTGATTAGCTTATGATTTTTTAAAAATGGAATGATGTATTCATTTTCTAAGCTGCATAACAAATCAACACAAATTTAGCAGCTTAAAACACCCATCTATTCCCTCTCCTTTCCTGTGGGTCAGGAGTCTGGGGGTGCAGCTTTAGCTGGGTGCTCTGCTCAGGTTCTTACAAGGTTGTGATCAAGGTGTCGGCTGGAATTAGTGTCTCATATGAGGCTTGGGGTCCTCTCCCAACCTCACATGGTTGTTGGCAGAATTTATTTCCATGCAACTGTGGAACTCATGTGGCTGGCTTCTTCAAAACCAGCCGGGCAAGGTGGCTCACACCTGTAATCCCAGCCCTTTCGGAGGCCGAGGCAGGTGGATCACCTGATGTCAGGAGATGGAAACCAGCCTGGCCAATATGGTGAAACCCCGTCTCTACATAACTTAGCCGGGCATGATGGCGCACACCTGTAATCCCAGCTACTTGGGAGGCTGAGGCAGGAGAATCACTTGAACCCAGGAGGCAGAGGTTGCAGTAAGCCGAGATCGTGCCACTGCACTCCAGCCTGGGCAACAGGTGAGACTCCATGTCAAAAACAAACAAACAAACAAAAACCAAAAACCAGGAGGAAGGAGTTTCTCTCCTCCAGACCTTCATTGAAGATCTCACCTGAAGATGTCAGGCCCACCCTGAATAATCTCCCTTTTGATTAACTCAAAGTGAATGGATTAGGGGCTTAGTTACATCTGCAAAATCCCTTCAACTTTTTCATAGGTATAGATTAGAAGCAAGCCACGGGTCCTGCCTACACTCCAGGGGAGAGGAGATTACACCTGGCATTTATCCAGGGCAAGAACCTAAGGGGTCATCTCAGAATTCTGCCTTCCAAACAGATCCTCGGTGGAGCTTACATGCCTGGGCGAGCACCAGCCTTTGTTTATAGGCAACAGAGAATGGTGTCCTGGCTCAGATCTCCAGCAAGCCTCCACAATGATGGTCCAGTATCTGAACCCAGGGCCAAGGCAGCAGGAGCTTTGGGTGCACATGGGGGCTTCCCCCACTTTGAAGTGAGTCGCCACATCCGTATTAGACCCTAGCTGTTGCTTAGGCAAAAATGATGATTTAGAAGAAGATGGAGAGAAGAGGAGAGATAATTTAAAAGTACTTATATTTGGCCGCGCGTGGTGGCTCATGCCTGTAATCCCAGCACTTTGGGAGGCTGAGGCAGGCGGATCATGAGGTCAGGAGATGGAGACCATCCTGGCTAACACGGTGAAATCTTGTCTCTATTAAAAATACAAAAAATTAGCTGGGCGTGGTGGCGGGCACCTGTAGTCCCAGCTACTCAGGAGGCTGAGGCAGGAGAATGGCGTGAACCCAGGAGGCGGAGCCTGCAGTGAGCCGAGATCTCTCCACTGCACTCCAGCCTGGGCAACAGAGCGAGACTCCATCTCAAAAAAAGAAAAAAAAAAGAGAAAATACTTATATTCATTCCCTAGGGCTGCCACAACTAAGTACCAAAAGCTGGGTGACTTGAAACCAGAGAAATTGATTGTCCTGTGGCTCTGGTGGCCAGCAGTCTGAAACGGACGTGCCAGCAGGGCCACGCTCCCTCCTGCACTTGTCGGGGAGTCCTGCCTTGCCTCTTCCTAGCTTCCTGTGGTCTCCTGGCAGTCTTCAGTGTTTCTTGGTTTGCATACGCATCAGTCCAATCTTCCGTCCAATCCATGGCCTTCTTCCCTGTGTCTCTGTGACTCGGTGTGTCCTCTCCTCTTTTATAAGGACACCAGTCATTGACTTAGGGCCCTCCCTACTCCAGCAAGACTTCATCCTAATCAATAGCATCTGCAATAACCCTATTTCTTTCTTTCTTTCTCTTTTTCTTTTTTTCTTTGTTTCTTTCTTTCTCTCTCTCTCTCTCTTTCTTTCTTTCGAGACGGAGTTTCACTCTTGTTGCCCAGGCTGGAGTGCAATAGCGCGATCTCAGCTCAATGCAACCTCCGTCTCCTGAGTTCAAGCAATTCTCCTGCCTCAGCCTCCCGAGTAGCTGGGATTACAGGTATGCGCCGCCACCTCACCCAGGTAATTTTGAATTTTTAGTAGAGAAGGGGTTTCTCCATGTTGGTCAGGCTGGTCTCAAACTCCTGACCTCAGGTGATCCACCCGCCTTGGCCTCCCAAAGTGCTGGGATTTCAGGCGTGAGCCACCACGCCTGGCCCGCAATAACTGTATTTCTAAATAAGGTCACATTCTGAGCTCCTAGAATTTAGGATTTCAACATGTTTTGAAGAGGACTCAATTTAACCCGTAAGAATACTATGTGGACCACACATGCTGCTTCACATCTGTTATCCCAGCACTTTGGGAGGTTGAAGCAGGAGGATCATTGCTCAGGGCGTAGGGGGACACGAGGTGCATAAAACCACAGCGTTGACTGGTGTGGGGGCTCACACCTGTATGTTTGGGAAGCTAAGGCAGGGCGATCACTTGAGCCCAGGAGTTTGAGGCCAGCCTGGGTGACATAGTGAGATTTCACTTCTAAAAAAAAAAAAAAATTTAATTAGCTGGGCATGGTGGTAGCCACCTACAGTCCCAGCTACTCAGGAGGCTGAAGCAGGAGGGTCGCTTGAGTCCAGAAGATCAAGGCTGTGGTGAACTGTGATTGCACCACTGCACTCCAGCCTGGGCAACAGAGCAAGCCCTGTCTCAAACAAACAAAAAAATAAATGAAAGTCATCTCCCTTGTCTTCTGATTCCCTGAGCTGTCATAGAAAGGAAGTGAAGCAGTGAAAGCATCCCCCCAAAAGGGACTTTTCAAAACCAGCCTAAGCCACATAGCAAGAGCTTGCCTTTAGAAAGTATTTAAATTTGAAGGAAAAAAAAAAAAGCAGTACTGTGGCACAGAGTTGACAGCTACAGGTGTGGCTACATCCAGGTCCTAAAACTATATCATCAGAATGACCCCTCACCCTCCCCGCGCTTTCCATTTTACTTTCTTAAGCATGAACATGAAATTTCCAAGATTGTTTCTCCTTTGGCTAATCTGCTTCTCAGACCCAATCACTGTGGCCAGGGTGGTGGAAGGATGCTGACATCCAGGCTGGGACTACATGCCCCAGCTCCAGATCAGGATGGGGAATGGCCAGTCGCAAACATGTCGTGGGGGACTGGTGACTCCTCGGTGGAAAATCGGGGACTGTCATTGGAGAGGAGCGATAGAAGAAAGGCTGAAGCAGTGAAATGTATCTCCTGCACCAGCCTGGGCCTCGATGTCTTGAGTACTGATGACCCAGTACTCAGTCTAGGGCAATCCCAACTCCATCTGTGGGGCTGCCCACAGTACATGGACCCCCTCACTGGATTTGCTGACCACACGTGCAAACAGCCACTTCCCAGCCCCACTCCTCGCAATCCCCCTGAACCCTGTCAAAATTCCCCTCAGTTCTCACCAAGATTAAAAGCAATTCTGAGGGTGAGCGGCTCATTCTGTTAGTTTAACTCTCTCGATTCCTTCCCTCTCCAGAACTCTGTACTTGCTCCGTCACTGGTAATGACAATGAACATCTTCACGATCTCAGGTTTTATTGCAAAGTGATTGAGGACCAGTTAGAATAAGTTATGCTACAGAAACTAAAGAAATCCCGTCAAACAAATGGTATGTAATAGAAAGTCTTAGGGCAGCCGTGTATATTTTCTCCCCCAATGAATCAATTGAAAATGAGAAGCTGTTACCGCCATGTTCCGGGCAGAAGCTATCAAAAGTATAAGCCATGATATTATAATTTGATGATTTTTCATCCGTCAAATGGATATGGCCCAGGGGTGAAAAGTGGATGCTCTGTAACTAGATGATGGTCAAGAGTTATAAAAATGAGGTCCTCTCTGTTCAACATTTCTCCTTTCTTGAAAGGATACTCAATGTCATGCTCAGGGCCTCTAATGGCCAGAAATAAAGTTCCTCCCAGTTCCAGAGCACCCCAGGGCAACCCCAAAACCAGAGCAATTGCTTATTGCCATGTAGACTATGTACTGTGCAATTCCTGGGGTGGCATTTTCATAAATATGTGGGTGGCGCCCCCTGGAGGTATGCAATGCACAACTTGCACAAATGGTAAGTCATTGTATCCCAAAGTCCACAAAGAAGAGGTAAACAAAATTCCCATCGATGTTGCCATCAGTCATGAGTCTGCCTTTTCTTCATGGGACAGTAGCAAAAACAATTTGGCCAAGTGTGCTTGGATGATCTCTAAGATGGAATCAGGGTCTCTCACTTTCAGCACTATTGACATTTGGGGCTGGATCATTATTCTGTCTTAGTGGGAGTTGTCCGGGGCATTGTAGGATGCTTAGCAGCATCGCTGGCCTCTACCCATTAGCTGCCAGTAGCACCACCTCCTCCAGCCGCAACAACCAAAATTGTCTCCAGACATGGCCACATGTTCTCTGGGGGGCAAAATCACCCCCTGGTTGAGAAGCCCTGAAGTAAAGACATAATACGCAGATCACATGTAAGTAAGAGAGCCTAAGGGCCACACAGGTGATGCTGTACCCATGACAAAGCCAGAGTCTTAAAGAGGTTAGAGAGGTGGAGAAAGAGAAAAGAAATGAAGTCCCAGCTGCCGAGAGCAACAGATGCTGACTAGATGTTGTTGATAGTCATCTTTAAACTGAGTTAAAAGATGCTGAGAAGCCATCAGCTCCCATCCTGCTCTCCAGGGACAACTCTGCTGAAAAAGGCCTGGAGATCAACAAAGCCCCAAACACAGGTGCATTGAGCAAAGAAACCAGAGATTGAGACAAAAAAGACATTCCCTCAAAGACTACTCATTTCCAAGAGGGGAGAAAAAGTGGAGTCATGAAAAACAGTTGAGGCTGGGTAGAGTGACTCGCACCTGTAATCCCAGCACTTTGGGATTACTCCCAGGCTGAGATGGGAAGATTGCTTGAACTCAGGAGTTCAAGACCAGCCTGGGCAAAATAGCAAGACCGTGCCTCTAGAAAAAGGGAAAAAATTAGCCAGGTGTGGTGATACATGCCTGTGGTCTCAGCTACTCGGGAGGCTGAGGTGGGAGGATCGCTTGAACCCAGGAGGTAGAGGCTGCAGTGAGCAGGGATCGCACCACTGCACTCCAGCCTGGGCTACAGATCCTGTCTCAAAAAAGAAAAAAATTAAACAAAATTAAGGCCGGGCACGATGGCTCATTCCTGTAATCCCAGCACTTTGGGAGGCCAAGGTGGGCAGATCACGAGATGAGGAGATTGAGACCATCCTGGCTAACACGGTGAAACCCCATCTCTACTAAAAATACAAACAATTAGCCGGACATGGTGCTGGGTGCCTATAGTCCCAGCTACTCTGGAGGTTGAGGCAGAAGAATGGAGTGACCTCGGGAGGTGGAGCTTGCAGTGAGCCAAGATCACACCACTACACTCCAGCCTGGGCAAAAGAGCAAGACCCCATCTCAAAAAAAAAGAAAATTAAAAATTGTTTTGAGACCAAGTCTCACTCTGTCACCCAGGCTGGAGTGAAATGGTGCGATCTTGACTCACTGCAACCTCCGCCTCCTGGGTTCAAGTGATTCTCATGTCTCAACCTTGTGCCTCAACATGACTACAGGCATGTTGTCAACATGCCTAATTTTTGCATTTTTAGTAGAGATGGGTTTTCACCATGTTGTCCAGGATGGTCTTGAACTCCTAGGTTCAAGCAATCTACCCACCTCAGCCTCCCAAAATGCTGAGATTACAGGCATGAGCCACCGTGCCCGACCTCTAACTTTTCATTATGGAAATTTCCCATATACACAAAAAGCAGGGAAAGAATTATACCATGAACCCCCATGCACCCATCATCCCACTGCAAGAACTTGTCAACATTTCGCCAATCTCATTCCAGTACCCACTTTTCTTTTCCTTCTTGCTATTTTAGGATATTTTAAAGCAAATTCCAGACATTTCATTTCACCCACATCCATAACACGCCAGGGTGCATTCCTGATGTAAGGATTTTGTTTTGTTTTATAACCCCCCATGCCATTGCCACAGTTAATAGATTTAACATGAAGAAACTAAGATTCTTGCAGGTGGAGAAAAGATCTAATTACCACCTTAAAGCCTCTCCTACTAGCGCTTCTCAGATCTGAACGTGTATGCAAATCACCTGGGCATCTTGTTAAAATGCAGATTCTGGCCCAGGAGGTCCTTCCGGGTGAGCCCTGAGAGTCTTCAATTCCAAAAGCTCCCAGGTAACGCAATGCTGCGGGTCCATGAATCACACAAGAGGAAGTGTCGGCCAAACAACCACAACAACTGGGTGCAAAGTCCTGACTGTTCCTGACTGCAGGGCCTTCAGTGATCGGGGAAGCCGGGGACCATTTGGGAAAGAAGGGAGGTTTTTCGTATCAGCTCCAGGCCTTGTAGAACTGCCAGGGAATAACAGACCAAAGGGCAGCAAAGTCTAACCAACAGCACGAGTGCATTCATATTCCACAACCACTGCAGCAAAGAACCATGAAATGGGTGGCTTCAAACAATGTCTGGGCCGGGTGCCGTGGCTCACACCTAAATAATCTCAGGACTTTGGGAAGCTGAGGTGGGTGGATCACTTGAGGC
The DNA here is from genome assembly GCF_000001405.40 of Homo sapiens. NCBI lineage: Eukaryota > Metazoa > Chordata > Mammalia > Primates > Hominidae > Homo > Homo sapiens. The sequence continues at coordinate 3,485,622 of NC_000011.10, read as the reverse complement.
CAGGAATTCGAGACCAGCCTGGCCAATATGGCAAAACCTCGTCTCTACTAAAAATACAAAAATTAGCCATGCATGGTGGCAGGCACCTGTAGTCCCCACTTCTTGGGAGGCTGAAGCAAGAGAATGGCTTGAGCCTGGGAGGTGGAGGTTGCAGTGAACTGAGATCGTGCCACTGCACTCCAGACTGGGCAACAGAGCAAGGCTCTGTCTAAAAGAAAAAAAAAAAATTGTCTGGAGGCCAGAAGTCCAAAATCAATCAAAGGTCAGCAGGAGCATGCTCCTTCAGAGGTTCTAGGGGAGAATCCATTCCTTGCGTCTTCCAGCTTATAGAGGCTCCTGGAATTCCTCAACTTGTGGCTGCATGAGACAATCTCTGCCTCTGTGATCACCTTGCCTCCTCCTCTTCTGTCTGGGTCTCCTCCTCTGGAGGAAGAGTGTCAGGCCTCTGAGCCCAAGCTAAGCCATCATATCCCCTGTGACCTGCACGTACACATCCAGATGGCCAGTTCCTGCCTTAACTGATGACATTATCTTGTGAAATTCCTTCTCCTGGCTCATCCTGGCTCAAAAGCTCCCCTACTGAGCACCTTGTGACCCCCACTCCTGCCTGCCAGAGAACAACCCCCCATTTTCCTTTACCTACACAAATCCTATAAAATGGCCACACCCCATCTCCCATCACTGACTGTCTTTTTGGACTCAGCCCACCTGAACCCAGGTGAAATAAACAGCTTTATTGCTCACACAAAGCCTGTTTGGTGGTCTCTTCACACAGATGCATGTGAAATTTGGTGCCGTGACTCGGATTGGGGGACCTCCCTTGGGAGATCAATCCCCTGTCCACCTGCTCTTTGCTCTGCGAGAAAGATCCACCTACGACCTCAGGTCCTCAGACTGACCAGCCCAAGAAACATCTCACCAATTTCAAATCTGGGAAGCAGCTTCTTTTTACTCTCTTCTCCAACCTCCCTTACTATCCTTCAACCTCTTTCTCCTTTCAGTCTTGGCACCACACTTCAATCTCTCCCTTCTCTTAATTTCAATTCCTTTCATTTTCTGGTAGAGATCAAGGAGACACGTTTTATCCGTGGACCCAAAACTCTGGTGCCGGTCATGGACTAGGGAAGGCAGCCTTCCCTTGGCGTTTAATCATTGCAGGGACGCCTCTGATTATTCACCCAGGTTTCAGAGGTGTCAGACCATGCAGGGACGCCTGCCTTGGTCCTTCACCCTTAGCAGCAAGTCCTGCTTTTCTGGGGGAGGCACAGGAACCCCACCCCCTCTTATCTCTGCACCTCGATCCGTTATTTCCATGCCCCGCCCTCTTATCTGTGTGCCCTGATCCCTTATTTCCACAACGTGACCTCCTATCTCTGCACTCCAACCCTTTATTTATGTGCCCCAACCCATTTCCTGCTTTTCTGGAAGGCAAGACCACCCCACCCCTACTCTTTGTGTCTCTACTCTCTCTTTTCTCTAGGCTTGCCTCCTTCACTATGGGCAAGCTTCCACCCTCCATTCCCCTTTCTTCTCCGTTAGCCTGTGTTCTTCAAAACCTAAAACCTCTTCAACTCACACCTGACCTAAAACCTAAATGCCTTATTTTCTTCTACAATGCCACTTGACCCCAATACAAACTCAACAGTGGTTCCAAATAGCCAGAAAATGGCACTTTCAATTTTTCCATCCTACAAGATCTAGATAATTCTTGTCATAAATGGGCAAATGGTCTGAGGTGCCTGACGTCCAGGCATTCTTTTACACATCGGTCCCTCCCTAGTCTCTGTTCCCAATGCAACTCATCCCAAATCTTCTTTCTTTCCCTCCCACCTGTCCCCTCAGTCCCAACCCCAAGTGTCGCTGAGACTTTCTAATCTTCCTTTTCTACAGACCCATCTGACCTCTCCCCTCCTTGCCAGGCTGAGCTATGTCCCAATTCTTCCTCAGCCTCTGCTCCTCTACCCTATAATCCTTTTATCACCTCCCCTCCTTACACTGGGTCCGGCTTACAGTTTCATTCCGTGACTGGCCCTCCCCATCCTGCCCAGCAATTTACTCTTAAAAAGGTGGCTGGAGCTAAAGGCATAGTCAAGGTTAATGCTCCTTTTTCTTTATCCCAAATCAGATAAGGTTTAGGCTCTTTTTCATCAAATATAAAAATCCAGCCCAGTTCATGGCTCGTTTGGCAGCAACCCTGAGATGCTTTACAGCCCTAGACCCTAAAAGTTCAAAAGACCATCTTATTCTCAGTATACATTTTATTACCCAATCTGCCCCCGACATTAAATAAAACTCCAAAAATTAAATTCCGGCCCTGAAACCCCACAACAGGACTTAATTAACCTCGCCTTCAAGGTGTACAATAATAGAGTAGAGGCAGCCAAGTAGCAACATATTTCTCAGTTGCAATTCCTTGCCTCCACTGTGAGACAAACCCCAGCCACATCTCCAACACACAAGAGCTTCCAAACACCTAAAGCGCAGTGGCCAGGCATTCCTCCAGAACCGCCTCTCTCAGGAGCTTGCTACAAGTGCCAGAAATCTGGCCACCAGGCCAAGGAATGCCTGCAACACGGGATTCCTCCTAAGCCATGTCCCATCTGTGTGGGACCCCACTAGAAATCGGACTGTTCAACTCACCTGGCAGCCACTCCCAGAGCCCCTGGATCTCCAGCCCAAGGCTCCCTGACTGACTCCTTCCCAGATCTTCTTGGCTTAGCAGCTGCAGACCGACACTTCCCGATCGAACGCCTCGGAAGCCTACAGGACCATCACAGACGCTCTAGGTTACTCTCACTGTGGAGCGTAATTCCATCCCCTTCTTAATCGATACAGAGGCTACCCACTCCACATTACCTTCTTTTCAAGGGCCTGTTTCCCTTGCCTCCATAACTGTTGTGGGTATTGACAGCCAGGCTTCTAAACCTCTTAAAACTCCCCAACTGTGGTGCCAACATAGACAATACTCTTTTAAGCACTCCTTTTTCATTATCCCCACCTGCCCAGTTCCCTTATTAGGCCGAGACACTTCAACTAAATTATCTGCTTCCCTGACTATTCCCGGATTACAGCTACATCTCATTGCCACCCACCTTAACCCACAAGTAGAAGATACCTCTACTCCCTCCTTGGCGACCTATCATGCACCTCTTACCATCTCATTAAAACCTAATCATCCTTACCCAGCTCAATGCCAATATCTCATCCCACAGCATGCTTTGAAAGGATTAAAGCCTGTTATCACTCACCTGCTACAGCATGGCCTTTTAAAGCCTATAAACTCTCCTTACAATTCCCCCATCTTACCTGTCCTAAAACCAGACAAGCCTTACAAGTTAGTTCAGGATCTATGACTTATCAACCAAATTGTTTTGCCTATCCACCCCAAGGTGCCAAACACATATACTCTCCTATCCTCAATTCCTCCCTCCACAACCCATTATTCTGTTCTGGATCTCAAACATGCTTTCTTTACTATTCCTTTGCACCCTTCATCCCAGCCACTCTTCACTTTCACTTGGACTGAACCTGACACCCATCAGGCTCAGCAAATTACCTGGGCTGTACTGCTGCAAAGCTTCACAGACAGCCCCCATTACTTCAGTCAAGCCCAAATTTCTTCCTTCTCTGTTACCTATCTCCGCATAATTCTCATAAAAACACACATGCTCTCCCTGCCGATCGTATGTGACTAATCTCTCAAACCCCAACCCCTTCTACAAAACAACAACTCCTTTCCTTCCTGGGCATGGTTGGATACTTTCATCTTTAGATATCTGGTTTTGCCATCCTAATAAAACCATTATATAAACTCACAAAAGGAAACCTAGCTGACCCCATAGATCCTAAATCCTTTCCCCACTCCTCTTTCTGTTCCTTGAAGACAGCTTTAAAGACTGCCCCCACCCTAGTCTTGGTTCCCTGACCGGGAAGCGAGGTAATTGACGGAAAGTCGAGGCAGCCCGTTAGGTGGCTTAGGCCTGCCCTGTGGAGCATCCCTGCGGGGGACTCCAGCCAGCTTGAGCGACGCGGATCCTGAGAGCTCTCCCGGGTAAGAAATTGCCCCGGAGGAATGCCTCGTCAGAGCAGTGTGTGGTAGGCCCCCATGGAGGATCAACACAGTGGCTGAACACAGGGAAGGAAGAGGCACTTGGAGTCCGGACATTTGAAACTTGGTAAGACTGGTCTTTGGAACTTGCCCACTCCATTTGAGTGGAAGCGTGGCCTGATCACCCACGGCGTGCCTGTACTGGCACTTTGGTTTTTGTTTTTGACTTGACTTGAATTGCTTGATACTTTGGTTTTGGTTTGACCTGGCATGGATTTCTGGATACTCTGATTTTGGTTTTGATTCTGGTTTGGTGAAAACTGAAAAAGTGTGTGTGTGCCCTTTTTACCCATTCTTTGTTCTGTGGTGTGCGTGTGGTGTGAGCTTGGTGTTTTGTCTCGAGGAAACGTGGGTCAGATACAAAGTAAGCCTACTCCCCTAGGAACTATGTTGAAAAATTTTAAGAGAGGATTTAATGGAGACTTTGGGGAACTTAGAACTTTGTGTGAAATAGATTGGCCAACATTAGAAGTAGGATGGCCATCAGAAGGAAGCCTGGACAGGTCCCTTGTTTCTAAGGTATGGCACAAGATAACTGGTAAGTCAGGACACTCAGACCAGTTTCCACACATAGACACTTGGTTACAGCTGATGCTAAACCCCCCACAGTGGCTAAGAGGGCAGGCAGCAGCAGCGCTAGTAGCAAAGTGACAGATAGCCAAGGAAGGATCCCGCTCCACCCGCCGAGGGAAATCAACTCCTGAAGTTCTGTTCGACCCAGCATCAGAAGATCCATTGCAGGAGATGGCACCAGTGATCTCAGTGGTGCCCTCTCCTTACCAGGGAGGCAGGCTCCCCACTTTTGAGTCCACAGTGCTTGTGCCTCCACAAGACAAACATATCCCTAGGCCACCCAGAGTAGACAAGAGAGGAGGTGAGGACTCGGGAGAAACCCCTCCCTTGGCAGCTCGTTTAAGACCCAAAACGGGGACACAAATGCCCCTGAGAGAGCAGCGGTATACTGGGATATATGAGGATGGTCACGTGGTGGGGAGGCGTGTTTTTGGGTACCAGCCCTTCACCTCTGCCCACTTTCTCAACTGGAAAGACAATACCCCATCCTGTACCGAAAAGCCACAAGCTCTGATTGATTTGCTCCAAACTATTATCCAGACCCATAACCCCACCTGGGCTGATTGCCACCAGTTGCTCATGTTCCTCTTTAACACAGATGAAAGGTGGAGAGTGCTCCAAGCGGCAACTAAGTGGCTAGAGGAACATGCACCAGCTGATTACCAAAACCCCCAAGAGTATGTAAGGACCCAGTTACCAGGAACTGACCCCCAGTGGGACCCACATGAAAGAGAGGATATGCAAAGGCTAAACAGAGACAGGGAAGCTCTCTTGGAAGGATTAAAGAGGGGAGCCCAGAAGGCCACAAATGTTAACAAAGTCTCTGAGGTCATTCAGAGAAAAGAAGAAAGTCCAGCACAATTGTAGGAGAGTCTGTGTGAGGCCTATGGTATGTATACTCCCTTTGATCCCGATAGCCCTGAAAATCAAGGCATGATTAACATGGCTTTAGTTAGTCAAAGCGCAGAAGACATTAGAAGAAAACTGCAGAAACAGGCTGAGTTTGCAGGGATGAACACATCACAGTTATTAGAAATAGCTAACCAGGCGTTTGTAAACAGGGATGCAGTAAGCCGTAAGGAAAACTACAGAGACAATGAACGTCAGGCCCAGCGAAACACCGACCTGTTAGCGGCAGCAATCAGAGGGGTCCCCCAAAATAGGCAAGGGAAGGGGGGCCCTGGGAAGGAAACTCAGCCTGGCTGTCAGAGCTTGCAGCGTAATCAGTGTGCTTATTGTAAAGAAATAGGACATTGGAAAAACAAATGCCCTCAGCTAAAAAGAAAACAAGGTGACTCAGAGCAGGAGGCCCCGGACAAGGATGAAGGCACCCTGCTCAACCTGGCAGAGGGGTTATTGGACTGAGGGGGACTGGGCTCAAGGACCCCTAAAGAGCCTATGGTCAGGATGACAGTTAGGGGTAAAGACATTGATTTTCTTGTAGATACTGGAGCTAAACATTCGGTAGTAACCGCCCCGGTCACCCCCTTATCCAAAAAGATTATTGACATCATTGGAGCCACAGGAGTTTCAGCAAAGCAAGCTTTCTGCTTGCCCCGGACTTGTGCTGTAGGAGGACATAAAGTGATTCATCAGTTTTTGTACACACCTGACTGTCCCTTGTGCTTGTTGGGAAGGGACTTGCTTAGCAAACTGAGAGCCACTATCTCTTTTACAGAGCATGGCTCTTTGCTGCTAAAGTCATGGGCAGAAGACAACCCTCCAGGATTGGCCAGTTAAGCCTAGGGCCCAGCCGGTTAGGCAAAAACAGGAGCCGGTCCCCAGAGAAACTCTTGAAGGTATCCAGGTCCATCTCAAGCACCTAAGAACTTTTGGAATCAGAGTTCCTTGTCAGTCTCCATGGAACACTCCCCTCCTGCCTGTTCCCAAGCCTAAGACCAAGGACTACTGGCCGGTACAGGATTTGCGCTTGGTTAATCAAGCTACAGTGACTTTACATCCAGCAGTACCTAACCCGTACACATTGCTGGGGTTGCTGCCAGCTGAGGACAGCTGCTTCACCTGCTTGGACCTGAAAGATGCTTTCTTCAGCATCAGATTAGCCCCTGAGAGCCAGAAGCTGTTTGCCTTTCAGTGGGAAGATCCGGAGTCAGGTGTCACTACTCAGTACACTTGGACCGGGCTTCCCCAAGGGTTCAAGAACTCCCCCACCATCTTCGGGGAGGCATTGCCTCGAGACCTCCAGAAGTTTCCCACCAGAGACGTAGACTGCGTGTTGCTCCAGTACATTGATGATCTTTTGCTGGGACACCCCACGGCAGTCAGGTGCGCCAAGGGAACAGATGCTCTACTCCGGCACCTGGAGGACTGTGGGTATAAGATGTCCAAGAAAAAAGCTTAGATCTGACGACAGCAGGTACATTACTTAGGATTTACTATCCAAAAGGGGGAGAGCAGCCTAGGATCAGAAAGAAAGCAGGTCATTTGAAATCTACCGGAGCCTAAGACAAGAAGGCAGGTGAGAGAATTCTTATGGGCTGTTGGGTTTAGCAGACTGAAGATCCCAAACTTTGCAGTATAAGCCAAGCCTTTGTATGAGGTCACAAAGGGGTGGGGGGGGGGACAGGGAACGTTTTGAATGGGGATCCCAGCAACAGCAAGCCTTTCATGAGTTAAAGGAAAAACTTATGTCAGCCCCAGCCCTGGAGCTACTCGATCTAACAAAGCCTTTTCCATCGTATGTGTCAGAGAGAGAAAAGATAGCAGTTGGAGTTTTAACCCAAACTGTGGGGCCCTGGCTGAGGCCGGTGGCCTTCCTCTCTAAACAACTAGACGGGGTTTCTAAAGGATGGCCCCCGTGTTTGAGGGCCTTGGCAGCAACTGCCCTGCTAGTACAAGAAGCAGATAAGCTGACTCTTGGGCAAAACCTGAACATAAAGGCCTCCCGTGCTGTGGTGACTTTAATGAATACTAAAGGACATCATTGGCTAATGAATGCTAGACTCACTAAGTCCTAAAGTTTGCTCTGTGAAAATCCCCGTATAACCACTGAAGTTTGTAGCACGCTGAACCCCGCTACCTTGCTCCCAGTATCAGAGAGCCCTGTCGAGCATGACTGTGTAGAAGTGTTGGGCTCAGTTTACTCTAGCAGACCTAACCTCCAGGACCAGCCTTAGGCACCAGTAGACTAGGAACTATACGTGGCTGGGAGCAGCTTCATCAACCCACAAGGAGAGAGATGTGCAAGATATGCGGTGGTAACTCTGGACACTGTTGCTGAAGCCAGATCATTGCCCCAGGGCACTTCAGCTCAGAAAGCTGAAGTCATTGCTTTCATTCGGGCCTGAGAACTCAGTGAAGCTAAGAATGTCAACATTTACACTGACTCTCAATATGCCTTTTCAACCCTTCAAGTGCGTGGAGCATTATATAAAGAAAAGGGCCTATTGAACTCTGGGGGAAAAGACATAAAATATCAACAAGAAATCTTGCAATTGTTAAAAGCCATATGGAGACCCCACAAGGTGGCAGTTATGCATTGCAGGGGACAGCAGCGAGCTTCCACCTTGCTGGGTTTAGGGAATTCCCCCGCTGACTTAGAGGCTCGAAAAGCAGCGTCTGCCCCCTTCCGGGCATCAGTCACAGCCCCCATGCTCCCTCAAGCACCTGATCTTGTACCTACTTATTCTAAAGAAGAAAAGGACTTCCTCCAGGCAGAGAGAGGACAAGTGATGGAGGAAGGATGGATTCGGTTACCGGAAGGGAGAGAAGATGCGCCACAGCTGCTAGGAGCTGCAGTTGTACTGGCTGTGCATGAAACCACCCATCGAGGTCAGGAGTCAATTGAAAAGTTGTTAGGCCGGTATTTCTACATCTCGCATTTGTCAGCTCTTGCCAAAACGGTGACGCAGTGGTGTGTTACCTGCCCACAGCATAATGCTAGGCAATGTCCAGCCGTTCCACCCGGCATACAAGCTTATGGAGCAGCCCCCTTTGAAGATCTCCAGGTGGACTTCACAGAGATGTCAAAGTGTAGAGGTAACAAGTATTTACTAGTTCTTGGGCGTACCTACTCTGGGTAGGTGGAGGCTTATCCAACACGAACTGAGAAAGCTCGTGAAGTAACTCGTGTGCTTCTTCGAGATCTTCTTCCTAGATTTGAACTGCCCTTACGGATCGGCTCAGATAACAGGCCGGCATTTGTGGCTGACTTAGTACAGAAGGCGGCAAAGATATTACGGATCACATGGAAACTGCATGCTGCCTACTGGCCTCAGAGTTCCGGAAAGGTGGAGCGAATGAATCAAACTATCAAAAATAGTTTAGGGAAAGTATGTCAGGAAACAGGATTAAAATGGATACAGGCTCTCCCTATGGTATTATTTAAAATTAGATGTACCACTTCTAAAAGAGCAGGATATTCCCCTTATGAAATATTATATCATAGGCCCCCTCCTATATTGCGGGGACTTCCAGGCACTCCCTGAGAGTTAGGTGAAATTGAGTTACAGCGACAGCTACAGGCCTTAGGAAAAATTACACAAACAATCTCAGCCCGAGTAAATGGCCTGTTAGCTTATTCTCCCCAGTTCACCCTTTCTCCCCAGGTGATCGAGTGTGGATCAAGAACTGGAACGTAGCCTCTTTGTGTCCACTGTGGAAAGGACCCCAGACTGTCGTTCTGAGCCCTCCCACCGCTGTGAAGGTAGAAGGAATCCCAGCCTGGATCCACCACAGCCATGTAAAACCTGCAGCGCGTGAAACCTGGGAGGCAAGACCAAGCCCAGACAACCCTTTCAGAGTGACCCTGAAGAAGACGACAAGCCCTGCTCCAGTCACACCCGGAAGCTGACTGGTCCACGCACGGCCGAAGCCTGAGGAAGCTCATCGTGAGATTCATTTTTCTTAAATTTTGGACTTATACAGTAAGGGCTTCAACTGATCTTACTCAAACTGGGGACTGTTCCCAGTGTATTCATCAGGTCACCGAAGTAGGACAGCAAATTAAAACAATCTTTCTGTTCTATAGTTATTATGAATGTGTGGAAACAATAAAAGAAACTTGTTTGTATAATGCCACTCAGTGCAAGGTATGTAGCCCGAGAAATGACCGACCTGATGCGTGTTATAACCCATCTGAGCCCTCCGCAACCACCGTTTTTGAAATAAGAATAAGAACTGGCCTTTTCCTAGGTGATACAAGTAAAATAATAACTAGAACAGAAGAAAAAGAAATTCCCAAGCAAATAACTTTAAGATTTGATGCTTGTGCAGCCATTAATAGTAAAAAGCTAGAAATAGGATGTGGTTCTCTTAACTGAGAAAGGAGCTAAAGAGTAGAAAATAAATATGTTTGTCATGAGTCAGGGGTTTGTAAAAATTGTGCCTATTGGCCATGTGTTATTTAGGCTACTTAAAAAAAGAACAAAAAGGAACCGGTTTATCTTCAGAAGGGGGAAGCCAACCCCTCCTGTGCTGCCAGTCACTGTAACCCACTAGAACTAATAATTACCAATCCCCTAGATCCCCGTTGGAAAAAGGGAGAACGTGTAACCCTGGGGATCAATAGGACAGGGTTAAACCCTCAAGTTGCCATTGTAATTAGAGGGGAGGTCCACAAGTGCTCTCCCAAACCAGTATTTCAAACCTTTTATGAGGAGCTGAATGTGCCAGCACCAGAACTTCTGAAAAAGACAAAAAATTTGTTTCTCCAATTAGCAGAAAATGTAATTTTCTTACTTACATAACTGTTACTTCTTGTTATGTACGCGGAGGAACCACTATCGGAGACAGATGGCCTTGGGAAGCCCAAGAGTTGGTGCCTACTGATCCAGCTCCTGATATAATTCCAGTTCAGAAGGCCGAAGCTAGCAACTTCTAGGTCCTAAAAACCTCAATTATTAGACAATACTGTAGAGCTAGAGAAGGGAAAGACTTTATCATCCCTGTAGGAAAGCTTAATTGTATAGGACAGAAGTTGTATAACAGCACAATACAGACAATTACTTAGTAGGGCCTAAACCACACTGAAAAGAATCCATTTAGTAAATTTTCTAAATTAAAAACTGCTTAGGCTCATCCAGAATCTCATCAGGACTGGACGGTTCCCGCTGGACTATACTAGATATGTAGGCACAGAGCCTACATTCGGTTACCTAATAAATGGGCAGGCAGTTGTGTTATTGACACTATTAAGCCATCCTTTTTCTTATTACCCATAAAAACGGGTGAGCTCCTAGGTTTCCCTGTCTACGCCGCCCGAGAAAAGAAAGGCATAGTTATAGGAAACTGGAAGGAGAATGAGTGGCCCCCTGAAAGGATCATTCAGTATTATGGGCCTGCCACATGGGCACAAGACGGCTCATGGGGATACCGAACCCCCATCTACATGCTCAATTGGATCATACGGTTGCAGGCCATCTTAGAAATAATTACTAATGAAACTGGCAGAGCTTTGACTGTTTTAGCTTGGCAAGAAACCCAAATGAGGAATGCTATCTATCAGAATAGACTGGCCTTAGACTACTTGCTAGTAGCTGAAGGAGGAGTTTGTGGAAAATTTAACTTAACCAATTGCTGCCTACAAATAAATGATCAAGGACAGGTGGTTAAAAACATAGTCAGGGACATGACAAAGGTGGCACATGTGCCTGTACAGGTTTGGCACGAGTTTAATCCTGAGTCTTTATTTGAAAAATGGTTTCCAGCTATAGCAGGATTTAAAACCCTCATTGTAGGTGTATTGCTAGTGATAGGAGCTTGCTTGCTGCTCCCCTGTGTATTACCCTTGCTTTTTCAAATGATAAAAGGTTTTGTAGCTACTTTGGTTCATCAGAAAACTTCAGCACACGTGTGTTATATGAATCAGTATCGCTCTATCTCACCAATAGACTCAAAAAGTAAAGATGAGAGTGAGAACTCCCACTAAAAAGTGAAAATGCTCAAAGGGGGGAAATATGGTGTGAGACCACCACGTCTCCTGTTGTCCTTCCCAGTTTCTCCCCAACCTCCCCTTTTCCCTAGTTTGTAAGACAGCAAAAAAGGGAGAAAGCAAAAAGTTGGAAAAAACAGAAGTAAAATAAATAGCCAGATGACCTTGGCGCCACCACCTGGCCCTGGTGGTTAAAATGACAATAATATTAACCCCTGACCAAAACTACAGGTGTTATCTGTAAATCCCAGACATTGTATGAGAAAGCACTGTAAAAACTTTTTGTTCTGTTAGCTGAAGTATGTAGCCCCCAGTCACGTTCCTCAGGCTTACTTGATCTATTATGACTTTTTCACGTAGACCCTTTAGAGTTGTAAGCCCTTAAAAGTGCTAGGAATTTCTTTTTCAGGGAGCTCGGCTCTTAAGACACGAGTCTACCGACGCTCCCGGCCGAATAAAAAAACCTCTTCCTTCTTTAATCCGGTGTCTGAGGAGTTTTGTCTGCAACTCGTCCTGCTACACTAGCTCTCCGTGACTCATCCCAACCCTTTTCATTACACACAGCCGAAGTGCAGCGCTGTGCAGTTGAAATTCTTACACAAGGACCAGGATCGCGTCCTGTAGCCTTTTTGTCCAAACAACTTGACCTTACTGTTTTAGGTTGGCTGTCATGTCTCTGTGTAGCAGCTGCTGCCACCCTAATACTTTAAAGGCCCTTAAAATCACAAACTATGCTCAACTCACTCTCTACAGCTCTCATAATTTCCGAAATCTATTTTCTTCCTCACACCTGCCACATATACATTCTGCTCCCCGGCTCCTTCTGCTGTACTCTTTGTTGAGTTTCCCACAATTACCATTGTTCCTGGCCTGGACTTCAATCCGGCCTTCCACATTATTTCTGATACCACACCTGACCCTCATGACTGCATCTCTCTGATCCACCTGACATTCACCCCATTTCCCCACATTTCCTTCTTCCCTGTTCCTCACCCTGACCACACTTAGTTTATTGATGGCGGTTCCACCAGGCCTAATCGCCACACACCAGCAAAAGCAGGCTATGCTATAGAACAAGCCACCAGCCCGCCTCTTAGAACCTCTCATTTCCTTTCCATCGTGGAAATCTATCCTCAAGGAAATCACTTCTCAGTGTTCCATCTGCTATCCTACTACTCCTCAAGGATTCTTCAGGCCCACTCCCTTCCCTACACATCAAGCTCAGGGATTTGCCCCCACCCAGGACTGGCAAATTAGCTTTACTCAACGTGCCCCGAGTCAGAAAACTAAAATAACTCTTGGTCTAGGTAGACACTTTCACTGGATAGGTAGAGGCCTTTCCACAGGGTCTAAGAAGGCCACCACGGTCATTTCTTCCCTTCTGTCAGACATAATTCCTCAGTTTGGCTTTCCCACCTCTATACAGTCAGATAGCAGACCAGCCTTTATTAATCAAGTCAGCCAAGCATTTTTTCAGGCTCTTAGTATTCAGTGAAACCTTTATATTTCTTACAGTCCTCAGTCTTCAGTAAAGGTAGAACAGACTGATGGTCTTTTAAAAACACACCTTACCAAGCTCAGCCACCAACTTAAAAAGGACTGGACAATACTTTTACCACTTTCCCTTCTCAGAATTCAGGCCTGTCCTCGGAATGCTACAAGGTACAACCCATTTGTTGAGGGAAGTCAGGGACCCCAAACGGAGGGACCGGCTGAAGCCATGGCAGAAGAACGTGGATTGTGAAGATTTTATGGACATTTATTAGTTCCCCAAATTAATACTTTTGTAATTTCTTATGCCTGTCTTTACTGCAATCTCTAAACATAAATTGTAAAGATTTCATGGACACTTATCACTTCCCCAATCAATATCCTTGTGATTTTCTATGCTTGTCTTTGCTTTAATCTCTTAATCCTGTCAGCCAAGAAGGATTTATATCATCTCAGGACCTGTAATAATTGCGTTAACTACACAAATTGTACAGCATGTGTGTTTGAGCAATATGAAATGTGGGCACCCTGAAAAAAGAACAGGATAACAGCAATTGTTCAGGGAATAAGAGAGATAACCTTAAACTCTGACCGCCGGTGAGCCGGGCAGAACAGAGCCATATTTCTCTTCTTTCAAAAGCAAATGGGAGAAATATCGCTGAATTCCTTTTCTCAGCATGGAACGTCTCTGAGAAAGAGAATGCGCACCTAGCGATAGGTCTCTGAACTGGCCCCCCCAGGGCGTACCTGTCTCTTATGGTCGAGATTGCAGAAGTGAAATAAACTCCAGTCTCCCATAGCACTCCCAGGCTTATTAGGAAGAGGAAATTCCCGCCTAATAAACTTTGGTCAGACCGGTTGATCTCAAAACCCTGTCTCCTGATAAGATGTTATCAATGACAATGGTGCCAAAACTTCATTAGCAATTTTAATTTCACTTCGGTCCTGTGGTCCTGTGATCTCGCCCTGTCTCCACTTGCCTTGTGATATTCTATTACCTTGTTAAGTACTTGATATCTGTCACCCACACCTATTCGTATACTCCCTCCCCTTTTGAAACTCCCTAATAAAAACTTGCTGATTTTTGTGGCTTGTGGGGCATCACGGATCCTACCAAAGTGTGATGTCTCCCCCGGACGCCCAGCTTTAAAATTTCTCTTTTTTGTACTCTGTCCTTTTATTTCTCAAGCCAGTCGACACAGGAAAATAGAAAAGAACCTACGTGATTATCGGGGCAGGTCCCCCGATACCCATTGGATCTCCCCTATAGAAGCTCCTTTTTATTAGGCCCCAGTCTCATTCCAGACACAAGACCAACTTGGACTGTGCCCCAAAAAACTTGTCATCCCTACTATCTTCTGTCTAGTCATACTCCTATTCACCGTTCTCAACTACTCATATATGCCCTGCTCTTGTTTTCACTGGTGGTTTACACTGTTTCTCCAAACCATCACAGGTGATATCTCCTGGTGCTATCCCCAAACCACCACTCTTAACTCTTAAATAAATAATCTTTGTTGGCAAGGCTATGCTGAACCTCCTTAGGCACTCTCTAATTAGATGTCCTAGGTCCTCCCAATTCTTCGTCCTTTAATACCTGTTTTTCTCCTTCTCTTATTCCGTTTAGTTTTTCAGTTCATACAAAACCGTATCCAGGCCATCACCAATAATTCTACACGACAAATGTTTCTTCTAACAACCCCACAATATCACCCCTTACCACAAAATCTTCCTTCAGCTTAATCTCTCCTACTCTAGGTTCCCATGCCACCCCTAATCTCACTCGCAGCAGCCCTGAGAAACATCGCCCATTATCTCTCCATACTACCCCCAGAAATTTTTCACCATCCCAACACTTCACTACTATTTCATTTTATTTTTCTTATTAATGTACGAAGACAGGAATGTCAGGCCTCTCAGCCCAAGCTAAGCCATCATATCCCCTGTGACCTGCAAGTACACATCCAGATGGCCGATTCCTGCCTTAACTGATGACATTCCACCACAAAAGAAATGAAAATGGCCTGTTCCTGCCTTAACTGATGACATTATCTTGTGAAATTCCTTCTCCTTGCTCATCCTGGCTCAAAAGCTCCCCTACTGAGCACCTTGTGACCCCCACTCCTGCCTGCCAGAGAACATCCCTTTTTCCTTTACCTACCCAAATCTGATAAAATGGCCCCACCCCTATCTCCCTTCGCTGACTCTTTTTGGACTCAGCCCACCTGCACCCAGGTGAAATAAACAGCTTTATTGCTCACACAAAGCCTGTTTTGTGGTCTCTTCACACGGATGCGCATGAAAAGGAGTGTCCTTTTTTTTTTTTTTTTTGAGACGGAGTTTCACTCTTGTTGCCCAGGCTGGAGTGCAATGACATGATCTCAGCTCACTGCCACTTCCTCCTCTTGGGTTCAAGCAACTCTCTTGCCTCAGCCTCCCCAGTAGCTGGGATTGCAGGCATGTGCCACCATGCCCGGCTAATTTTGTATTTTTAGTAGAGATGGGGTTTCTCCATGTTGGTCAGGCTGGTCTCGAACTCCTGACCTGAGGTGATCCACCCGCCTCGGCCTCCCAAAGTGCTGGGATTACAGGCATGAGCCACTGTGCCCGGACAAAAGTGTCCTCTTATAAGGACACTTGTCTTCAGATGTACAGCCTACCTAAAATCCTCCAGGATAATCTCAAGATCCTTAATTACATCTGCAAAGAACCTTTTTCCAACTAATGCCACCTCCACAGATTCTAGGCACAAGGATCTGGATATATCTTGTGCAAAGCCACCATTCAGCTCACTACATTAGAAAGAGGAAATAATAAAAGGCGCAGAAGAAAGAACAGATGCAGTTTGTGTGGCAGTGGCCATCAAGGCAGGATGGGGTAAAACTGTGTTAACAGAACCCCCAGATGGAACTCAAGTGTGGCCGTCTACTCCCAGCTACTCACAGAGAACGTTTCTGTTTCTGACAGCAGAGTAAGAGAAGAGGTGGGAAGAGAGATAGCCCATTCTCTGTTGGCCTAATTCCTAAGGAATTGTGTCTCTGCCTTGGGGTCATTCTCAAGTCTTGTTCAAGGATAAAATGATTTATTGATGGCCGTAATTAAAAAGCAATGCCAACAGAAGCAGCCTCAGCATTTTTCATTTGTACTTACACATGAGCGAGAGCAGTTTAGGGAAACGGGTGCCTTCAGGTTCTGTTTTCTCCATCTAGAAAAGGGCTGCCTTCGTGGAATGCTGGTCCTGGGGAGACGCTTCATTTCTATAGCAGGAATTGATACAGTTTTAAATTCCGATTGGTACAAGGAGCTACCCGTCCTCATTTCAAGCACTTCTGGTTGTTCTGGGTTCAGTGGGTGAGCAATGAGTAGAACTCTGGGGAGGAGGATTTGGAGCGAGCGTGGTTTTGATCCCCAGAGGGAGCTGTTTTTCCATCAATGTCTTGACTGTGATTCAGAATGGGCTTCTCCGCTCAACATGGGAGTACTGGGCTGATTTAAGGCAGGTGATTGACTTGATTTGGTGACTACTTTTATACTAGCTGGTTAACGAGATATTTTCTTCATTAGTTTCAGGCATGTGAGCTTAATGAAGCATTGGACCTTCCAAATTACAAGGAAAATAAAGATATAGCTTATGTGGTAGGTTCAAAGGAGTTAGTGAACAAACACAGTAGGGCCACAAATTATTGTTAAAGACATGAATGCATGAAAGTGTATCTATGTCCAAATGGACTCTCCGCAACCATACTGTTCCACCTGAAAATTAGTAGATAGAAATTCAGCAAATGCTTGGACAGGGGATACTCTCAGAAGTATTCTGACTAAATAGCATGGCTTCTTTTCATATCACTAAAGTAATTTCTTCTCAGATTGACTCTGGACTAAATCTTGTGATACCTACTTGTTCTGATTGTACTTAGCCACCTGCAAATAAGTTGGGGGCAGTGGTAAGAGGAGCTGTTGAATGATATTAAACATTTGTTGAATGCCTACTGAGGATAAAGCCCTGTGCTTTGTGCCAGGGAGATTCCAGAATAAATGAGGCACAGACCTACTCTCAGGAAGCTTTTGCAAACTAATGGAGAAAACACATCTGCAGGCAATGACTTATGGTATAAGAGGAAATGGGGCCAGGTACGGTGACTCACACCTGTAATCCCAGCACTTTGGGAGGCCGAGGTAGGTGGATCACTTGAGGTCAGGAGTTCAAGACCAGCCTGGCCAACGTGGCGAAACACTGTCTATACTAAAAATGCAAAAAAAAAAAAAAAAAAAAAAAAAAAATTAGCCAGGCTTGATGGTGTGCACCTGCAATCCCAGCTACTTGGGAGGCTGAGGCACAAGAATCACTTAAACCTGGGAGGTGGAGACTGTAGTGAGCCGAGATCCCACCACTGCACTCCAGCCTAGAAGACAGAGTGAGACTCTGTCAAAAAAAAAAAAGGAAATAAGATTGGTGTTGAATGGGAAATCTAAGCAGGATGGAATGGCAGGAGAGGACCCACTTGCCCAGCTCCAATAACACTTTTGACAGCCAAGACAATATTGCAGGGACACCCATTCCTCATGGTATCTGAAGTCCCATGAAGGCTTGAGTCTGGAGGCTGGTTCAGTCTTGACTTTAAGATAAGGGGATACAAGGAATGATTTTCATCTATCCCAAGCCAATAGTCCAGCCAAAAATCTAGGTCTGAGATGATGAGAAAAAGCAAGTCATCAACCATGTCAGCCATTTCATCATCATCGTCATCATCATCATCATCATCATCATCATCATCAAAAACAAAAGACGGACCTGTAACCGTCTTGTGTGCCTGGCTCTTGCCTTAGTTCAAAATATAGAAGTAAATTCTATGGCCAGTGAACAATGACCAAAATAGCTCTCATCACTCTTGTCTGCCACCAAGTAAGACGTGCCTTTTTCCTTCCACCATGATTTCGGGACTTCTTCAGCCACATGGAACTGTGAGCCCATTAAACCTCTTTTTCTTTAAAAATTACCCAGTCTTGAGTAATAAAATAGTGGTTTGTCCACAACATCAATGAACGATGCTGTTACTTGTTCCAAACACGTATCATTTAGGAGGTTTGGATAAACAACAACCTAAAATAAATAAGCACTAAGCAAACTCAGGGCTACATAATCCCTGTGGTGAGATAACTGACAATGGGTACCACTGGGACAGTTTACTGTTAAATCACCTCTATCTACATGTGCCCAAGCAGTGAGATACTTGGTTTTAATCCTAAAATATCATGGTGCACATTTACTCCTGCCTCCCAACTGGGCTCTAGCGTCACCCCCTCAGAGAAGCCCGCTTTTCTGTGCTTCCACTCTGCTTTTTTTCAGCATTTAGCAGAGCATCAGTAACCATCCATATCTGGGAACAATGATTGTAAGAAACAGAAACCCATTTGCATGAGCTTGAGGACAAGGAGCAAACCTTATCTCTAACAGGAAAACTCATGGGCACAAGAAACATATGAGAGGCCATGAGAGAATGGAAACTGCAGTTACAGAAACCAAAATTCCTCTTTCTTGCTCTCAGAATTCCATGGTCTTTTTTTTTTTTTTTTTTTTTTTTTGTGAGATGCAGTCTCACTCTGTCGCCCAGGCTGGAGTGCAGTGGTGCAATCTCAGCTCACTGCAAGCTCCACCTCTCGGGGTTCACACCATTCTCCCGCCTCAGCCTCCCAATTAGCTGAGGCTACAGGCACCCGCCACCACACCTGGCTAATTTTTGTATTTTTAGTAGAGATGGGGTTTCACCGTGTGAGCCAGGATGGTCTCGATCTCCTGACCTCGTGATCCGACCATCCTGGCCTCTCAAAGTGCTGGGATTACAGGCGTGAACCACCGCGCCCGGAAGCCCATGGTCTTTCTTATCAGCCCTGTGGACTTTCTTATCTCCGCTTCTCTTACTCACAACCAATTTTCCCTTTTTGCTGGTGGTCCATCATGGCAGCCAGCAGAACCCACCACCAGCTTATCAGTCAGTTACTGGATATCTTGGAGAGGGAGGGAGAGAGGGAGAGAGGGAGAGGGAGAGAGAGAGAGAGAATGACAATTGGGCTTCTGGCCAACCAATTGAGTATAGGGAGGGGAATACCACGGTACAAATATGGCGCCAAGACCTGTTTTCCAGCATGGCCAGTGAGTAGGCAAATTGAGGGAAGGTACCTGCAAACACAGCAGACATCTCAGAACATGCTCTCTGTTCTTAGTTCTCTCTCCTGCCTTCTCCTAGATTGTAAATATCACAAGACAATCTAGGATAGTACCTGGCTCAAAATATTTGAGAAAGAGAAAAAGGAAGGCATTGGATCAAACTGTGGACTTCATGGTTTCCTAAATTCACTCTGCAAATTTTTGGGTTTTTTTTTTTTGAGACAGAGTCTCGCTCTGCTGCCCAAGCTGGAGTGCAATGGCATAATCTTGGCTCACTGCAACCTCCACCTCCCATGTTCAAGCAAATCCCCTGCCTCAGCCTCCTGAGTAGCTGGGATTAAAGGCACGCACAGCTACACCAGTTAATTTTTGTATTTTTAGTAGAGACGGGGTTTCACCATGTTGGCCAGGCTGGTCTCGAACTCTTGACCTCGTGATCCACCCACCTCGGGTGCCCAAAGTGCTGGGATTACAGGTGTGAGCCATCACACCTGGCCAACTTTGCAAGTATTTAAGTGAATGAATGTCAGTCCCTGAGAATCAGAATTTCTTGTGATTTAACGGCATTAAATCTCCATTAGGTTTAATCCTGGTCAGCAGCTGTGGGGTGTCCTGGGTTTGGGATCAGTGGGATGAGGAAGAAGCAGGTTCTCCAAAGCACCACGCAGGGAGGGGAGGTGTTAACTAGGCCAAAGATGATGGGCGGGGTACCTGCCTGGGTTTCAAACAGCTTATGCCAGGCCTAAAACCCGACGCTGAGGAAGAAACTGTATTAAGCAAATTGATGACATAATGGAGGGAGTCAAAAAGTTTAATATTGCTAAGAAGATACAAATATTGATCATGCAATATGTTATGGTTATCACGCCATCTCCTGCTACACGCCAGGTTTCCTTTATGATGAGATACAAGAGATTTGTGGATCTGACCTAACCCTCCAAATTGTAAGGTCCCTGAGAGTGGGTTCATGACATTCATGTTTTATAAATGTGGCATAAAGGCTCATGCTGGCTGCCATGTGGCCCAATGCCAGTTTGATGCTGCATTCAAAGAACCATCATTCCAGCATGCAAGCATACTTAAAGGCAATTGAAATGTTTACCGCCGTCCCTCAAGACAAACACCAAAGAAAAATTATTATCAAAATGCATAGCAACATTTCTTAAAATCTTATTTTCCCATCTCTTTCTCTCTCTCTCTACCACATTCCCAGGAGTTTCCCAGGAGCAAAACTTTCATGAAGACCCAGGAGCAAAATGATTAATGACTTCACTCTATCTGATTCTGATTTAGTTGGTTTAGAGTGGTGTCCGGACATACGTATTTTTTAAAATCTTGCCGGGCACAGTGGCACACACCCGGTCTCAGCTACTCAGGAGGCTGAGGCAGAAGAATCACTTGAGCCCAGGATTTTCAGTCCAGTCTGGGCAACATAGCAAGACCCTGTCTCTGAAAAAAAAAAAAGCAAAAACAAATCTCTCTCAGGTGCAGTCAGGGTTGATAACTAGTTGATCAAATAATTGTGGTAGCCATCCTTCACAATGGACCTTAATATTCCCACCTCCTGGTGTTATTCGTTGTGGAATCTGTCTTAGCTAGTCCTCAATTGGGTCTGGTATCCAGGCCCCACCTTGAGAGGCTAGTCCCACCTCCTACCCCACACATGGTTTTACAATTACTTTCAAGACTGGCCTAAAAATCTAAAATGTATTTTTTTGACCTTGTTTCCAATGAAACAACTATTCTAAACATTCATTTAGGATGGTTAGGGAAATTTGAACACCGGCTAAATATTAGAAGATATTTGCTTCAAAATAACCCAGCTTGGTAATGAGATGATGGCGGCTGAGGCTGGTGATAGGCACAGAGGGCTTCATTATCAAAAAGAAACAAGTGGAAAAAACAGAATTTTTCCATAATAAAAATGTAAGGTAAACACGAAAATGTATTGAGTGCATAAAAAGAATTTATGGTCTCACAGGCATTAGCTTATAATTTGAACATCAAAAATAAAAGTGACGGCCAGGTGCAGTGGCTGATGCCTGTAATCCCAGCACTTTGGGAGACCGAGGTGGGTGGATCACTTGAGCCCAGGAATTTCAGACCAGCCTGAGCAACATAGTGAGACCCCCATCTCTAAAATAAATAAATATAAATAAAAGTGACTAGAATTGATTATAGAACATCAACTCGATTTGAGTCTATAAAGATTACTGGTGGAGGGGGGCAATGGGGAGAAGGAGAAAGAGAATATATTTGTGACCTAGATTATTTTCCTTAGTTTTGAGAGAATCTTCGGGTCTCCTGGGTCTTCTAGCCCAGTATTTATTTTTATTATTTATTTATTTATTTATTTATTTATTATTTTTTTAGATGGATTCTCACTCTGCCACCAGACTGGAGTGCACTGGTGCGATCTCGGGCCACTGCAGCTTCTGCCTCCCAGGTTCAATCTATTCTTCTGTCTCAGCCCCCCAAGTAGCTGGGACTACAGGTACCTGCCGCTTCACCCAGATAATTTGTTTTTTTTTTTTTTTTTTTGAGACAGAGTCTGGCTCTGTTGCCCAGGCTGGAGTGCAGTGGTGCAATCTCGGCTCACCGCAAGCTCCACCTCCCAGGTTCATGCCATTCTCCTCCCTCAGCCTCCCGAGTAGTTGGGACTACAGTCACCTGCCACCAAGCCCGGCTAATTTTTTTGTATTTTTAGTAGAGACAGGGTTTCACCGTGTTAGCCAGGATGGTCTCGATCTCCTGACCTCGTGATCTGCCCGCCTCAGCCTCCCAAAGTGCTGGGATTACAGGCATGAGCCACTGTGCCCGGCCGCACTCAGCTAATTTTTGTATTTTTTGTAGAGATGGTGTTTCACCATGTTGATCCAGGCTGGTCTCAAACTCCTGACCTTAGGTGATCCGCCCGCCTTGGCATCCCAAAATACAAGGATTACAGGCATGAGCCACCACACCCTGCCTATTTTCCTTAGTTTTCAGAGAACCTTTGTGTCCCCTGGGTGTTCTAGCCCAGTATATCTCAAACTTTGCTGCACTGAGGACCTTGTTGAAATGCAGGTTCTCATCGCGAGGCTCAGTGGGCCGGCAAATCTGCACTGGTTTAGGAAGCTCACCCTGAGTACCAAGCTTCAGTGAGGACCAGGCAGGCCCCTGCCTGCCAACGCCCTCTCAGCTGGGCTTAACTCTGGCTCTCTCCTGCCAGGGTTCCTCCCCTCAAAATAGGAGCTATTTTCAAAAGGTCTCTTGGAAAAAAAGCCCTGTTTTAAAATTGGGGTGTTCAGGATTGGCCATCTGCTCACCATGGGGTTTTAAGACCTTTGCCCAGACCCCTGCAACCAACTCAGAACTGACATCTTTACTTTTGAAGGCCCCACTCCACACCATATTAAATTCATTAAAATCAACCGCCATTACAGGCATCTCTCAGGCATCACGCCCTCAGAACGGAGTTGCAGCTGACCACTTGACAGTGTTGTAAAGCATTAAACAAGCATTCATTTCAGCCTTGCAGTTTGCACATTTAGAAGCCAATTGTCTTAGGTCTAAAGCATTCATGTCGAAACATTTTTATGGGCCCCAGACACTATGCTTTCCAGCCTTAATGGCCTCTGCAATGCTGGTTCCTACCGCCCCACCCCTGGGTTCTGGCCGGCTGGCCCACGCCACCTCACTGCTCCCCCATTCAAGTGTGCCTTCGATGTGTGGTTTCCAAACTCATCTACACTTTAGGGTCACCTGGGATTTTTTTTAAATCTTCCAAAACCCAGGCCACACCCAAGAACAATTAATCCTCAACCTCCGGAATGGGACATAGCATCAGTTTTTTGTTTTGTTTTTGAGACAGGGCTTCGCTCTGTTACCCAGGCTGGAGTACAGTGGCACAATCATAGCTCACGACAGCCTCCAACTCCTGGGCTCAAGAAACCCTCCCACTTCAACCTCCACGGTAGCTGGGATCACAGGCGGGCACCACAACGCCTGGCTAATTTTTAAATTTTTTATAGAGACATTATCTCCCTACGTTCTCCAGGCAGGTCTCAAACTCCTGGGCTCAAGCGATACTCCCGCCTCAGCCTCCCAAACTGCTGGGATTATAGGCATGAGCCACCATGCCTGGACATCAGCATCTGTATTTTTTGAAGCACAGACGAGTTTGGGATCTACCGCGCTAGACTGAGCTCGGTTTCCCAGCCCTGTCTGACCATAGGATTTGGCTGGGCTGCTTCTGAAAACAGAGCTCCCCAGGCTCCTTCCCAGGTAATTCTGATTCATTAGGTCTGGGGTGGGCCCCGGAATGTGCATTTTTTATGAGATCCCTCTGGGTGAATCAGGCTAAAGCCAGTTTGGGATCTGAGACCTTGGAGATCATTCCCCAGCTTCCCTCCTAACCCAGTTCCCAGCTTGGCCCACCTCACCCAGGCTGTGTCACATCTGACTTCGCAGATTACACCTGAGAGGGAAGCCCCAGCCATCACAATGCGAGAACATTTTCCAATGACGAGGAAATGCCAAATACATTTTAAAACTCATTCAGGATTAGCGTTCACCTTAAACTTGACAGACTCTGAGAATGGGCTGGCCACATGCTGTGCGCAACCCTTAGTGCTCTTCTGTGACTAATATTTGGATAATTGATTGTTGGAAGCTCAGGAAGCCTCTCTCAGAGGGTTGAAGTTAACTTCTTTATTTCTGAGGTAGGGAAGAAAATGAGGATGTTCTGCCTTTTGCTAGACTGAATACTGTCCTCCAAAAATTCACATTCACCAGGAATCCCAGAATGTGACCTTATTAGAAAATAGGGGCAGGGCATGGTGGCTCATGCTTGTAATCTTAGCACTTTGGGAGGCTGAGGCAGGAGGATCACTTGAGGTCAGGAGTTCGAGACCAGCCTGGCAAGCATGAAAAAACGCTGTCTCTACTAAAAACACAAAAATTAGCTAGGCATGGGGGCGTGCAACTGTAATCCCAGCTACTTTGGAGGCTGAAGCTGAAGAATCACTTGAACCCAGGAGGCAGAGTTGCAGCGAGCTGAGATTGTGTCACTGAACTCCAGCCTGGGCAACAGAGCAAGACTCCATCTCAAAAAAAAAAAAGAAAAGGAAATAGGGTCTCTGCAGATCTAATTACAAAAAGGTCATACTGGAATAGCGTGGACCTTAAATCGAGTAATAATGGCATTCCTCATGGGAAGAGGAGACAGAGACACGCAGGGGAGAAGGCCACATGAGAATGAAGGAAGAGAATGGAATGATGTGGCCACAAGCCAAGGATTGCCAGCAACCACCAGAAGCCAGAAGAGGCAAGGAAGGACTCATCCCTAGAGCCTTCAGAGGGAGCACGGCCCTGCCGTTTCAGATATCAAGCTTCTGGAACTGGAGAGAATGACTTTCTGTTGTCCTGAGCCACCCATTTGGGGAACTTTGTTAGAACAGCCACAGCCAGCTCATGTGCTCCTGAATGCATCTCAGGCATTAATAAACACTGTCTTGACCAGTCTGGGTGGCTCACCCCTGTAATTCCAGCACTTTGGGAGGCCAAGGCAGGCGGATCACTTGAGGTCAGGAGTTCGAGACCAGCCTGACCAACATGGAGAAACCCCATCTCTACTAAAAATACAAAAATTAGCTGGGCGTGGTGTTGCGCACCTGTAATCCCGCTACTTGGGAGGCTGAGGCAAGAGAATCACTTGAATCCTGGAGGCAGAGGTTGCAGTGAGCCGAGATTGTGCCATTGTACTCCAGCCTGGGCAACAAGAGCGAAACTCCGTCTCAAAAAAAATAATAAGTACTGTCTTGACTGTGGTCATCAAAAATATTTGATTAAGGGTTAGCTAGAAAGCCTGCCCCTTTCACAGATGGACAGAAGGGCCAAAAGAAAATAGATTGTTTGCACTGGGGCAAGAAGGATAAGAATCCTATGGGAAAAAAAGAGGGATTTGTTTAGTGAGCGCTGGAGAGAGGCATTTGTTTTTTTGCTTAAAAAAGAAACACAGGTTGGGTGCGGTGGCTCAAGCCTTAATCCCAGCACTCTGGGAGGCCAAGGTGGGTGGATCACCTAAGGTCAGGAGTTCGAGACCAGCCTGGCCAACGCCATGAAACCCCATCTCTACTAAAAAGACAAAAACAAAAGAAAGAAAGAAATTAGCCAGGCATGGTGGAGAGCGCCAGTAATCCCAGCTACTTGGGTGGCTGAGACAGAGGATCACTTGAACCTGGGAGGCAGAGGTTGCAGTAAGCCAAGATGGCATCATTGCACTCCAGCCTAGGCAACAAGAGTGAAACTCTGTCTCAACCAAAAAGAAAGAAAGAAAGAAAGAAAAAAACATAGTTTTAAGTCCACTCAGTGGAGTTTAAAAGTACATTCTCGTTGCACAGTGCTTTTGGAATCTTTTCTAAATTTCTGTTGCACATGATCTAATTTGATCTTCATAGCAACCCTGAGGTGGATAGGGCAGGCCTTTCTGAACACCTATTTTCTAGTTTGCATTAAAAGAACGGAATTGGCTGGGACCAGTGGCTCATGCCTATAATCCCAACACTTTGTGATACAGAAGGGAAGTGCTCAGAAGGGAAGAATGTGGTCCCTTTAAATGATATGGAAGTGAGGAAGGGAAGCACTGGGTAGAGGAGGGTGTGGTCCCTGGCTAGGGCTCCACCCCAGGGCCTGTGCCCACGGACCTAGGTGAGGACAGGTATTTTTGTTTTCCTGCCCAAATGTTGCATTTCCCAAGACCACCCTGGCTGCCACACACCCATTCTGTGCCTATAAAAACCCTGAGACCCTAGCAGGCAGGCACACAGGCAGCTGAACTTCGAGAGGAGCACATCAGCGGAGGAACACAAGGGTGCTGGACGTCAAGAGGAACGCACCAATGGGCACCGACACACCGCAGGCCACTGACTGCAGAACAACACAGAGTTTGGCTGGGACATTCGGAGAAGAGTCAGGCCACTCACCCGACTCCAGGGGTAAACCATCTCCCTTCTGGCTCCCCCACCTGCTGAGAGATACTTCCACTCAATAAAACCTTACACTCTCAGGCCTGTAATTCCAGCACTTTGGGAGGCTGAGGAGGGCAGATCACGAGGTCAGGAGATCCAGACCATCCTGGCTAACACAGTGAAACCCCATCTCTACTAAAAATACAAAAAAATTAGCCAGGCGTGGTGGTGGGTGCCTGTAGTGTCAGCTACTTGGGAGGCTGAGGCAGGAAAATGACGTCAACCCAGGAGGCGGAGCTTGCAGTGAGCTGAGATCGCACCACTTCCGGTATACCAAGGCAAGAACCCCAGGACAAAAAGAGCCCTCTGTCCTTGCAATAAGGCGGGGGTCTAATTGAGCCGACTAACACAAGCTACCTACAGACGGCTAAACTAAAAGAGCACCCTGTAACACACACCCACTGGGGCTTCAACTATAAACATTCACCCCTGGACACTGCCATGGGGCTCCCTGCCTGTCTGCATGCTCCCCTAGAGGTTTGAGCAGTGGGGCACTGAATAAATGAACCACACCCGCATCGCATGTCCTTCGAAGGGGACAACGGAACTTTTCCCATTTCATCTGAGAGGCCAAGGCAGGAGGATCACTTGAGCCCATGAGTTTGAGACCAGCCTACACAACCTAGCAAGACCCCATCTCTACAAAAAAAATAAGTAAACAAAAAAAAAAAGCATTAAAAATTAGCCAGCTGTGGTGGCACACACCTGTAGTCTCAGCTACTCAGGAGGCTGATGTGGAAGGATTGATTGAGCCCAGGAGATTGAGGCTGCAGTGAGCCAAGATTGAACCACTGCACTCCAGCCTGGGCGACAGAGTGACACCCTGTATCGACAACAACAAAAAGAATGGAAAAAAATAACTTCTCAAATAGCTAGCAGAGGCAGATCTGGTTCTCAAATGCAGGTTTTCAAGGTTTCAATTCTTGTTTCTAGCAGTAATATGGAGAAACATGATCACTAATACATGAAGGAGAGGAGGTTTCAAGTTCTGATGAAAAGATGGTAAAGAGAGGAGTTAGTTGACTAGGAGTGACTAGGAATAGGAAGAAAACGCATGACACTACTTAGAGGAAAGAAGAAAAATGAGCATAGAGGTGACTGAGCAGACAGAAAGGACTTGGAAGAAGCGTGTTTGGCCCTGTCTCTAAGTTTTTTCCCTTGCTTTAGTAACTTTCCTGATGACTTGGATGAATCTTCTCTTCCAGGGTACCTAGTGTTCCCTTTCTGTCCACTTCTCCTTTCCCAGGGCCCATACAGTCTGGGAAAGCATGCTCTGCAGGCTTCTCGTATCTTTCCTTCCTTAATCAGCCCCTAGCATCTCTACATAACCCATATACACCTGGAGTTCCACATGTCCCAGTCTTTGCACTGCAGTGAATTCAAAGAATGGTAGACTCTAGCTGGGCGCAGGGGCTCACACCTGTAATCCCAGCACTTTGGGAGGCTGAGGCAGGCGGATCACTTGAGCCTAGGGGTTCAAGACCAGGCCTGGCCAACATGGTGAAACCCCATCTCTACTAAAAATACAAAAATTAGCTGTGCTTGGTGGTACATGCCCTGTAGTCCCAGCTTCTGGGGAGGCTGAGGCAGAAGAATTGCTGGAACCCAGGAGGCAGAGGTTGCAGTGAGCTGAGATCGTGCCACTGCACTCCAGCGGCCTGGGCAACAGAGCAAGGCCCAGTCTGAAAAAAAACAAAGACAAAACTAAACCAAAAAAACACAAAAAACTAAAAACGCGCACACACACAAAAACAAAGGTAGACTCCAATAGGAAAAATTCACTCAAAAGCAATTCAAATAATTATTCAGTCAACCCAGTTCTATCTCAGTTCTTTATT
Source organism: Homo sapiens (assembly GCF_000001405.40). NCBI lineage: Eukaryota > Metazoa > Chordata > Mammalia > Primates > Hominidae > Homo > Homo sapiens. The sequence continues at coordinate 3,457,544 of NC_000011.10, read as the reverse complement.
ATATACATAAGCTTATTCTGTCCAGATGCCCTAGTTTTCTTTTTCTTATCTTTTTTTGTTTTCTTTTGAGACAGGACCTCACTCTGTCACCCAGGCTGGAGTATAGTGGCACAATCATGGCTCACTGAAGCCTCAACCTCCTGGGCTGAAGTAGTTCTCCCACCTCAGCCTCCTAAGTAACTGGGACTACAGGTGCATGCCACCATGCTCAGCAACTTTTTGTATTTTTTGTAGAAACGGGGTCTCACTATGTGGGCCAGGCTGGTCTTGAACTCCTGGACTCAAGAAGTCCACCTGCCTCAACCTCCCAAAGTGCCAAGATTACAAGCATGAGCCACTGCATCTGGCTGATTCCATAGTTTTCTTTTTCTCTTTGCCCATTGCCTGGATTCCATAAACAGAAGGAAAACCCAGGGGCTGACTTTGTAGGCAAGACTCTTTCCTCTTCAAAACGTAAATTGGCTCAAGTGGTACCAAAACTGAAACATGTTTATAACTTAACATCTTTTCTTCCTACCCCTTCAATCTCTTGAGCAATGACAAAAGGCACTGGGCTCTTTATTTGTGTAGGGAAAAGAAAGAGAGATCAGACTGTCACTGTGTCTATGTAGAAAGGGAAGACATAAGAGACTCCATTTTGAAAAAGATCTGTACTTTAAACAATTGCGTTGCTGAGATGTTGTTCATTTGTAGCTTTGCCCCAGCCACTTTGCCCCAACCACTTTGACCCAACTTGGAGTTCACAAAAACATGTGTTGTATAAAATCAAGGTTTAAGGGATCTAGGGCCGTACAGGACGTGCCTTGTTAACCAAATGTTTACAAGCAGTATACTTGGTAAAAGTCATTGCCATTCTCTAGTCACAATAAACCAGAGGCACAATACACTGTGGAAAGCCTCAGGGACCTCTGCCCTTGAAAGCAGTGTATTGTCCAAGGTTTTTCCCCATGTGATAGTCTGAAATATGACCTCGTGGGATGAGAAAGACCTGACTGTCCCCCAGCCAGATACCCGTAAAGGGTCTGTGCTGAGGTGAATTAGTACAAGAGGAAAGTCTCTTGCAGTTGAGATGGAGGAAGGCCACTGTCTCCTGCCTGCCCCTGGGAACTCAAAGTCTCGGTATAAAACCCAATTGTACATTTGTTCAAGTCTGAGATAGGAGAAAAGCTGCCCTGTGACGGGAGGCGAGACATGTTTACAGCAATGCTGCCTTGTTATTCTTTACTCCGCTGAGATGTTTGGGAGGAGAGAAACATAAATCTGGCTTACGTACACTTCCAGGCATAGTACCTTCCCTTGAACTTAATTATGATATAGATTCTTTTGCTCACATGTTTTTTGTTGACCTCCTTAATATCACCCTGCTCTCCTACTACATTCCTTTTTGCTGAAATAATGAAAATCATAATCAATAAAAACTGAGGGAACTCAGGGGCCGGGGCCGGTGCATGTCCTTGGTGTGCTCAGTGCCGGTCCCCTGGACCCACTGTTGTTTCTCTATACTTTGTCTCTGTGTCTTATTTCTTTTCTCTGTCTCTCATCCCACCTGACTAGAAATACCGACAGGTGTGGAGGGGCAGGCCATCCCTTCATCTGGAGCCCAGAGTGGAGCCCTTCTCTAGGGTGAAGTTACGCTAAGAACGTGAGCATTGAGGACAGCCGACGAGAGATTCCCGAGTACGTCCACAGTCAGCCTTGTGGTTAGCTTGTGCGCTCGGAGGAATCCAGGGTAACAATGGGGCAAACTGAAAGTAAATATGCTTCTTATCTCAGCTTCATTAAAATTCTCTTAAGAGGAGGAGTTAAAGCTTCTACAGAAAATCTAGTTATGCTATTTCAAACAATAGAACAATTCCGCCCATGGTTTCCAGAACAGGGAACTTTAGATTTAGAAGATTGGGTAAAAATTGGCAAAGAACTAAAACAAGCAATTAGGAAGGTAAAATCATCCCACTTACAGTATGGAATGATTGGGCCATTATTAAAGCAACTTTAGAACCATTTCAAATAGAAGAAGATAGCGTTTCAGTCTTTGACGCCCCTGAAAGCTGTGTAATAGATTGTGAAGAAGAGGCAGGAACAGAGTGTAAGAAAGGAATGGAAAGTTCACATTGTAAAAATGCAGTAGAGCCTGTACTGGCTTGGTCAATGCAGAATGTTGACTATAATCAATTACAGGAGGTAATATATCCTGAATCATCAAAATTGGGGGAAGGAGGTCCAGAATTATTTGGGCCATCAGAGTTTAGACCACGATGGCCACCAACTCCTTCTCCCGCGGTTCAGATGCCTGTGATGTCACAATCTCAAATGCCAATCCAGGCACAGTATCCGCAATACCAGCCAGTAGAAAATAAAACTCAACCATCGGTAGTTTATCAACACCAGCCGCCAGCCGCATTTCAGTATCGGCCGTCTCCAGAGGTTCAGTATGGATCTCAGGCAGTGCGTCCTGTGCCAAATAGCAAGGCACTACATCAACAACCCACGGCGATGGCGTTTGATCTTACAGTACCACCTAGTGGACAAGATAGTGCACTGCATGAGACCATTGCTACAGCCAGAAAACAGGGAGATCTTGAGGCATGGCAATATCCGGTAATGTTACAACCGATGCCGGCCGGGAAAGCGAGTCAGGCAGGAGCGTCTGTCTGAACTGAGACTAGATATGAATCTTTCACCATAAAAATGTTAAAAGATATGAAGGAAGGAGTTAAACTATATGGACCTAACTCTCCTTATATGAGAACATTATTAGATTCCATTGTTCATGGAAATAGACTTATTCCTTATGATTGGGAAATTTTGGCTAAATCTTCCCTTTCACCCTCTCAGTATCTACAGTTTAAAACCTGGTGGACTGATGGGGTACAAGAACAGGTACGAAAAAATCAGGCTACTAATCCTGTTGCTTATATAGATGCAGACCAATTGCTAGGAACAGGTCCAAATTAGGGCACTATTAACCAACAATCAGTAATGAAAATGAGGCTATTGAACAACTAAGGGCTATTTGCCTCAGGGCCTGGGAAAAGATTCAGGACCCAGGAACCTCCTGCCGTTCTTTTAGTTCAATCAGACAAGGCTCTAAAGAGCCATATCCAGACTTTGTGGCAAGGTTGCAAGATGCGGCTCAAAAATCCATTGCGGATCATAATGCCCGAAAAGTTATTGTAGAAATAATGGCTTATCAAAACGCAAATCCGGAGTGTCAATCAGCCATAAAGCCATTAAGAGGAAAGGTTTCAGCAGGAGTTGATGTAATTACAGAATATGTGAGGGCTTGTGATGGGATTGGAGGAGCTATGCATAAGGCAATGCTATTGGCTCAAGCAATTACAGGGGTTGCTTTAGGAGGACAAGTTAAAACATTTGGGGGGAAATGTTATAATTGTGGTCAAATCGGTCATCTAAAAAAGAATTGCCCAGGCTTAAATAAACAGAGCAAACAAACAAAAAAGAGCCACCTGGCCTGAGCCCAAGATGTGGAAAAGGAAAACATTGAGCTAAGGAATGTCGTTCTAAATTTGATAAAAATGGACAACCATTGTCGGGAAACGGGAAGAGGGGCCAGCCCCAGGCCCCGCAACAAAGTGGGGCATTCCGGATTCAGCCATTTGTTCCTCAGGGTTTTCAGGGACAACAACCCCACAGTAAATACCACCATTTCAGGAAATCAGCCAATTACAATACGACAATTATCCCCTGCCACAGCAGGCAGTGCTGCAGTAGATTTATGTTCTACTCAAATGATTTCTTACTCCCTGGAGAGCCCCCGCAAAAGATTCCTACAGGGGTATATGGCCCGCTGCCAGAAGGGATGGTAGCCTTATTTTAGGAAGATCTAGTCTAAATTTGAAAGGAGTTCAAATTCATACTGGGGTAATTGACTCAGATTATAAAGGGGAAATTCAGTTAGTGATCAGCTCTACTGTTCCCTGGAGTGCCAATCCAGGTGATAGAGTTGCTCAATTACTGCTCTTGCCTTATATTAAAATTGGGGATAGCAAAACAGAAAGAACAGGAGGGTTTGGAAGTACCAACACTGCTGGAAAAGCTGTTTATTGGGCTAGTCAGCTCTCAGAGAATAGACCTGTGTGTACAGTTACTATTCAGGGAAAACAGTTTGAAGGATTAGTGGATACTGGGGCTGATGTTTCTATCATTGCCTTAAATCAACGGCCAAAAAATCGGCCTAAACAAAAGCCTGTCACAGGACTTGTTGGTGTGGGCACTGCCTCAGAAGTGTATCAAAGTTCCAGGATTTTACATTGTCTAGGACCTGATAATCAAGAGAGTACAGTTCAGCCTATGATTACTTCTATTCCAATTAATTTATGGGGCCGAGACTTATTAGAACAGTGGCATGCAGAGATTACTATTCCAGTCTCTCTATACAGCCCCACGAGTCAAAAAATCATGACTAAAATGGGATATCTCCCTGGCAAAGGACTAGGGAAAAATGGAGAAGGCATTAAAGGTCCAATTGAGGCTAAGGGAAATCCAGAAAGAAAAGGACTAGGGTATCCTTTTTAGGGGTGACCACTGTAGAGCCTCCAAAACCCATTCCATTAACTTGGAAAACAGAAAAGCCTGTATGGGTAAATCAGTGGCCACTACCAAAACAAAAGCTGGAGGCCTTACACTTATTGGCAAAAGAACAATTAGAAAAGCATTCATTTTCGCCTTGGAATTCTGTGTTTGTAATTCAGAAAAAATCATGCAGATGGCACATGCTAACTGATTTAAGAGCTGTTAATGCAATAATTCAACCCATGGGGCCTCTCCAACCTGGGCTGCCCTCTCCAGCCATGATCCCCAAAGATTGGCCTTTGATTATAATTGATCTGAAGTATTGCTTTTTTACCATTCTTCTGGCAAAACAGGATTTTGAAAAATTTGCTTTTACTATACCAGCCATAAATAATAAAGAACGAGCCACTAGATTTCAGTGGAAACTGTTGCCTCAGGGAATGCTTAATAGTCCAACTATTTGTCAGACTTTTGTAGCTCAAGTTCTTCAACCAGTTAGAGACAAGTTTTCAGACTGTTATATCATTCATTATGTTGATGATATTTTGTGTGCTGCAGAAACAAGAGACAAATTAATTGACTGTTACACATTTCTGCAGACAGAGGTTGCAAACGCAGGCCTGACAATAGCATCTGATAAGATCCAGACCTCCACTCCTTTTCATTATTTGGGAATGCAGGTAGAGGAGAGAAAAATTAAACCACAAAAAGTAGAAATAAGAAAAGACACATTAAGAACATTAAATGACTTCAAAAATTACTAGGAGATATTAATTGGATTTAGCCAACTCTAGGCATCCCTACTTATGCCATGTCAAATTTGTTCTCTATCTTGAGAGGGGATCCAGACTTAAATAGTAAAATAATATTAACTCCAGAGGCTACTAAAGAAATAGAATTAGTTGAAGAAAAAATTCAGTCAGCAAAATTAAATAGAATAGATCACTTAGCCCCATTCCAACTTTTAATTTTTGCTACTGCACATTCTCCAACAGGCATTACTGTTCAAAATACAGATCTTGTGGAGTGGTCATTCCTTCCTCACAGTACAGTTAAGATTTTACATTGTACTTAGATCAAATGGCTACATTAATTGGTCAGGCAAGACTATGAATAGTAAAATTGTGTGGAAATGACCCAGATAAAATCATTGTTTCTTTAAACAAGGAACAGGTTAGACAAGCCTTTATCAATTCTGGTGCAGGGCAGATTGGTCTTGCTGATTTTGTGGGAATTATTGATAATCATTACCCAAAAGCAAAAATCTTCCAGTTTTTGAAATTGGCTACTTAGATTTTACCTAAAATTACCAGACAAAAACCTCTAGAAAATGCTCTGACGGTGTTTACTGATGGTTCCAGCAATGGAAAAGTGGCTTACACTGGGCCAAAAGAACAAGTCATTGAAACTCAATATCACTCAGCTCAAAGAGCAGAATTGGTTGATGTCATTTCAGTGTTACAAGATTTTAATCAGCCTATTAACATTGTTTCAGATTCTGCATATGTAGTACAGGTTACAAAGGATGTTGAGACAGCCCTAATCAAATATAGTATGGATGATCAGTTAAATCAGCTGTTTAAATTGTTACAACAAACTATAAGAAAAAGAAATTTCCCATTTTATATGGCTCATATCCGAGCACATACTAATTTACCAGGGCCTTTAACTAAGGCAAATGGACAAGCTGACTTGCTAGTATCATCTGCCTTCATGGAAGTACAAGAACTTCAGGCCCTGACTCGTAAATGTAACAGGATTAAAAAACAAATTTGATATCACATGGAAACAAGCAAAAAATGTTGTACAACATTGTGCTCAGTGTCAAGTCTTACACCTGCCCGCTCAAGAGGCAGGAGTTAATCCTAGAGGTTTATGTCCTGATGCATTATGGCAATGGAAGTCACACATGTACCTTCATTTGGAAAATTGTCATTTGTCCATGTGACAGTTGATACTTACTCACATTTCATATGGGCAACCTGCCAGACAGGAGAAACTACTTCCCATGTTAAAAGACATTTATTATCTTGTTTTGCAGTCATGGGATTTCCAGAAAAAATTAAAACAGATAATGGGCCAGGATACTGTAGTAAAGCATTTCAAAAATTCTTAAATCAGTGGAAAATTACATATACAACAGGAATCCCTAATTTCCAAGGACAGGCCATAATTGAAAGAACTAATAGAACACTCAAAGCTCAATTGGTTAAACAAAAAAAAGGAAAAAGTAAGGAGTATAACACTCCCCAGATGCAACTTAATCTAGCACTCTATACTTTAAATTTTTAAAATATATATATAAATCAGACCACTACTTCTGCAGAACAACATTTTACTGGTAAAAAGAACAGCCCACATGAGGGAAAACTGATTTGGTGGAAAGACAACAAAAATAAAACATGGGAAATAGGTAAGGTGATAACATGGGGGAGAGGTTTTGCTTGTGTTTCACCAGGAAAAAATCAGCTTCCTGTTTGGGTACCCACTAGACATTTGAAGTTCTACAATGAACCCATCAGAGATGCAAGGGAAGGCGCCTCCACAGAGACAGAGAACCCGTAATCGAACATCATCGACTCGCAGGGTGAACAAAATGGTGATATCAGAAGAACAGATGAAGTTGCCATCCACCAAGAAAGTGGGGCCGCCGACCTGGGCCCAGCTAAAGAAGCTGACACAGTTAGCTGAAAAAAGCCTGGAAAACACAAGGGTAACACAAACTCCAGAGAATATGCTGCTTGCAGCTTTAATGATTGTATCAACGGTGGTAAGTCTCCCTATGTCTTCAGGAGCTGCTACAGCTAACTATACTTACTGAGCCTATGTGATTTTCCCACCCTTAATTCGGGCAGTCACTTGGATAGATAATCCTATTGAAGTATATGTTAATAACAGTGCAAGGGTACCAGGCCCCACTGATGACCGTGGCCCTGCCCAACCTGAAGAAGAAGGAATGATGATAAACATTTCCTTTGGGTGTCATTATCCTCCTATTTGCCTGGGAAAAGCACCAGGATGCTTAATGCCTACAATCCAAAATTGGTTGATAGAAGTACCTACTGTCAGTGCCACCAGTAAATTTACTTATCATACGATAAGTGGAATGTCACTCGGGTCACAAATGAATAACTTACAGAATTCTTCCTATCAAAGATTATTAAAATTTAGGCCTAAAGGGAAACCATGCCCCAAGGAAATTCCAAAAGAATCAAAAGACCCAGAAGTCTTAGTTTGGGAAGAATGTGTGGCTGATACTGCAGTGGTACTACAAAACAATAAATTTGGAACTATTATAGACTAGGCCCCTTGAGGCCAATTATATTATGACTGTATGGGCCAGACCCACTCATGTTCACAGGCTCCATCTGTCTGGCCCACTAATCCGGCCTAGTTAGTGATTTAACTAAAAGGCTAGACCAGGTTTATAGAAGGCTAGAATCACCCTATCCATGGAAATGGGGTGAAAAGAGGATTTCATCACCCCGACCAAAGTTAGTTAGTCCTGTTGTTGGTCCTGAACACCCAGAATTATGGAAGCTCACTGTGGCCTCATACCACATTAGAATTTGGTCTGGAAATCAAGTTATGGGAACAAGAAATCATAAGCCATATTATACTATTAACCTAAATTACAATCTGAAAATTCCTTTGCAAAGTTGTGTAAAACCACCTTATATGCTAGTTGTAGGAAACATAGCTATTAAACCAGATTCCCAAACTACAACCAGTGAAAATTGTAGATTGTTTACTTGCATTGATTCAACTTTTGATTGGCAGAATGGTACTCTGTAAGAGCAAGAGAAGGCGTGTGGATCCCTGTGTCCATGGATCGACCGTGGGAGGCTTCTCCATCCGTACATATCTTAAGTATTAAAAGGAGTTCTAACTAGATCTAAAAGATTCATTTTTACTTTGATTGCAGTGATTATGGGCCTTATTGCAGTCACAGCTACTGCTGCGCCTGCTGGAATTGCTTTACACTCCTCTGTTCAAACTGCAGAATATGTGAATAATTGGCAAAAGAATTCCTCAAAATTGTGGAATTCTTAGACTCAAATAGATCAAAAATTGACAAATCAAATTAATGATCTTAGACAAACTGTTATTTGGATGAGAGATAGGCTCATGAGCTTAGAATATCTTTTTCAGTTACAGTGTGACTGGAATACATCAGATTTTTGTATTAAACCTCGAGCCTATAATGAATCTGAACATCACTGGGACATGGTTAGACGCCATCTACAAGGAAGAGAAGATAATCTTACCTTAGATATTTCTAAATTGAAAGAACAAATTTTTGAAACATCAAAAGCCCAGTTAAATCTGGTGTCAGAAACGGAGGCAATGGTAAAAGCTGTTGACAGCCTCACTAATCTTAACCCTGTCACTTGGGTTAAAACCATTGGAAATTCCACTATTGCAAATTTTGTATTAATTCTTGTATGTCTGTCCTCTCTATTGTTAGTCTACAGGTATATCCAGCAGCTCCGGAGAGACAGCGACCAGCGAGAAGGGGCCATGATGACGATGGCGGTTTTGTCAAAAAGAAAAGGGGGAAATGTAGGGAAAAGCGAGAGATCAGACTGTCACTGTGTCTATGTAGAAAGGGAAGACATAAGAGACTCCATTTTGAAAAAGACCTGTACTCTAACAATTGCTTTGCTGAGATGTTGTTCATTTGTAGCTTTGCCCCAGCCACTTTGCCTCAGTCACTTTGACCCAACTTGGAGTTCACAAAAACATGTGTTGTATAAAATCAAGGTTTAAGGGATCTAGGGCTGTGCAGGACGTGCCTTGTTAACCAAATGTTTACAAGCAGTATACTTGGTAAAAGTCATTGCCATTCTCTAGTCACAATAAACCAGGGGCACAATGCACCGTGGAAAGCCGCAGGGAGCCCTGCCCTTGAAAGCAGTGTATTGTCCAAGGTTTCTCCCTATGTGATAGTCTGAAATATGGCCTCGTGGGATGAGAAAGACCTGACTGTCCCCCAGCCTGACACCCATAAAGCGTCTGCGCTGAGGTGGATTAGTCAAAGAGGAAAGCCTCTTGCAGTTGAGATGGAGGAAGGCCACTGTCTCCTGCTTGCCCCTGGGAATTGAATGTCTCGGTGTAAACCCGATTGTACATTTGTTCAAGTCTGAGCTAGGAGAAAAGCTGCCCTGTGGCGGGAGGCGAGACATGTTGCAGTAATGCTGCCTTGTTGTTCTTTACCCCACTGAGATATTTGGGTGGAGAGAAACATAAATCTGGCCTACGTGCAAGTCCAGTCATAGTACCTTCCCTTGAACTTAATTATGATATAGATTCTTTTGCTCACATGTTTTTTGTTGACCTTCTCCTTATTATCACCCTGCTCTCCTATTACATTCCTTTTTGCTGAAATAATGAAAATCATAATCAATAAAAACTGAGGGAACTCAGAGGCCAGTGCCCGTGCAAGTCCTGGTGTGCTAAGTGCCGGTCCCCTGGACCCACTGTTGTTTCCCTGTACTTTGTCTCTGTGTCTTATTTCTTTTCTCCGTCTCTCATCCCACCCGACTAGAAATACCCACAGGTGTGGAAGGGCAGGCCACCCCTTCAATTTTGTGACACATAGCCTGTGGCCTCAAAGAACACTGACACCCCGGTAACATCCATTCGAAGAGCTTCTCCGTACCTCCCCTCCTTTATCCCCAAGGTCTCTGGGCCAGAGATCACTGAGTCATTCACAACATGATGTTTAACACCGAGACGCTCTGGAATTGCTCCTTCAAGATGACTCAGAAGAAGACCCAGTGCTGAGACAATCGTGTTCTCTCTCTCTCTCTCTGGATCACCGCTCAGAGACAAGGACTGCCAGAGACCCTGGCTTCCCCAGCTGCTGCCTCCCATTCCTGTACCTGTGGGATGAGAGTTCGAAGCTGTGTGATCTTGACCAAGTTACTTACCCTCTCTAAGCATATGTTTCCCTAAATGTGAAATAGGGATGATGGTGATGTGTTTATTTCACAGATTTGATAGAAGGATTAAATGAGAGATGCATCAAAAGCAGTGGGCACAGGGTCAATGCTCAGTGAGCTTTCTCTTTTCTTATCAATAGACAGGACTCCATGAGGACAGAGACTGGCTTCATCTCGACTGTAGCCTCAGGGCTGGCCACAGCGTCTGCACCCAGCAGGACTTCGGTAAATGTCTGTTTATACACTAACCACAGACTTAGGCATAAAAGCCCTTTGGAAGAAAGTTGACCATTTCATGCACCTTCAGACTATGAAGAGCAATGATGACAACTATAGCTCGAGAGGGTCTCAGTGCCCATTCATCACCACTGTGAAAAGGCAGAAACCAGAGCTGTGTGTTTAACTCCCAGCCCCAAAACCTGTTGGCTTTGCTTTATCACTATGAACTTCCAATGCCATCCCTTTAGAATGGGACCTCTCTCTTCTTCCCCAAGGCACCAGCCTTCACCCCAGACCTCTCCTTATTAGCTGGTTCCTCCTGTCTGTACTGTGAGCCCATGCTGTGCTCGTCAGATAGCAACATGGGAGAATACAGCAGCCCAGAATGCAGGCTGCAGAGTTAGAGCCCCAGAACAGTATCTCAGCCGGCTCCATCCTTCCTCAGCTGGGCGACCGTGGCCATTGACTTCCTCTCTGTGCCTCAGTTGCTCCATCTGTGAAATGACGATTGTCACAGTCCCTGCTTCAAAGAGTCACTGGGAGGATTAACTGAGAAAATGCAAGGAAGGTGCTTGGAAATAAATGCTCAAAAAAAGTCCATCTGGCCAGGCACAGTGTCTCACACCTGTAATCCCAGCACTTCGGGAGACCGAGGCAGGTGGATCACTTGAGGTCAGGAATTCAAGACCAGCCTGGTCAACATGGCAAAACCCCGACTCTACTAAAAATACAAAAATTAGCCAGGCATGGTGGCAGGCACCTGTAATCCCAACTACTTGGGAGGCTGAGGCATGAGAATCTCTTGAACCTGGGAGGCAGAAGTTGCAGTGAGCCGAGATGGTGCCACTGCACTCCAGCATGGGCAACAAGAGCAAAACTCTGTCTCAAAAAAAAAAAAAAAAGTCCATCATTCTTATTAATGGAGGACAAATCATCTCAGTGCTTCTTTGGCTGATCAGTACCCTCAAAGCTAGTGTTATCCAATAGACCAGAGGTCCCCATCCCCCAGACCACAGACCAGTAGTGTTCTGTGGCCTGTTAGGAACTGGGCTGTACAGAAGGAGGTGAGCAGTGAGCTAATGAGTGAAGCTTCATCTGTATTTACAGCTGCTCCCCACGGCTAGCGTTACCGCCTGAGCTCTGTCTCCTGTCAGATCAGCAGTGGCATTAGATTCTGATAGGAGCACCAACCCTATTGTGAACTGCATGTGGAAGGGATCTAGGTTGTGTGCTCCTGATGAGAATCTAATGCCCTGATGATCTGTCACTGTCTCCCACCACCCTGAGATGGGATTATCTAGTTGCAGGAAAACAAGCTCAGGGCTCCCACTGATTCTACATTATGGTGAGTTGTATAATGATTTCATTATATATTATAATGTTCATAACAATAAAGTACACAATAAATGTAATGCACTTGAATCATACTGAAACTTCCCCCCACAAATACGTGGAAACTGGTCCTTGGTGCTAAAAAAAATTGGGGACCACTGCAATAGACTATTCAGTCATGGTCCAATCAAACATTCTGCAATGGTGGGCTTGCTCTACTCTGCACTGTCCAACATGGGAGCTGCTAGCCACCCACATGGGCTGTTGAGCCCTTGAAATGTGGCTGGTGAGAATGAAGAGCTGAATTTTCAATTTTCTCTTAACTAATTTTTTTTTTTTCAGACAGAGTCTTACTCTATCCTCCAGGCTGGAGTGCAGTGGTGCAATCTCATCTCACTGCAACCTCCATCTCCCGGGTTCAAGCAGTTCTCCTGCCTCAGCCTCCTGAGTAGCCAGGATTACAGGAACCCACCATCATGCCCGGCTAATTTTTGTATTTTTGTAGAGAAGAGATTTCACCATGTTGGCCAGGCTGATCTTGAACGCCTGACCTCAGGTTATCTGCCCAACTTGGCCTCCCAAAATGCTGGGATTACAGGCATGAGCCACCACGCCCGCCCTTAATTCATTTCTAAATCACAAAATCTAAACAACAAGTGGATAGGAGCTACCATAGTGTACAAGGCAGCTGTAGAATCACAGGAAATTGTCAATGACCCTGTCCTGCTTCAAGTTGACTTTTCTCCCTCATGGTGAGACTCTAGATTCTTTCCTCTTCTCTCAAATTTTTTAGACTTTCAGGCTTAGACCATGAAAATAAGTTCTGTCCTTCCAAGAAAATAACGTTCATAACACTTACTGTATACCAGGCTGATTTCAGTGCTTTACCTGTATTAATTTACAACAACTCTGAGGCAGGAGCTGTGACTATGCCCATTTAACGGATGACAAAACTGAGGCACAGAGCAGTGCTGGAACTCTCAAAGTCACACAGGTAGCAGGAGGCAGAGCTCGGATTTGAACTCACTTTGGGTTCAGCAACTCACAGCTCTCACCTATGATATAATATTACTTCTGTGGTCAAAACACTTAGACCTGGATTTCACAGGAATCTTGTGCTTGCCTGGCTGCTAGGGAGGTTTTCATCACCTTCCTTATCTCACAGTTCAAAACCCAGGGCCTCCAAGCTCTTGCTACGGTGGCCGTTCACTGGCAGGAGGCTTCTGGGAAGGTTCTCCTTTTCTGTCATTTTTCTTAATTGTGGTTTTTTTGTCTCATTGGTGTTTATCTGCAGAACTTTGTTTCCTTCTGCTCAATTCATAATCAGAGTGCTTTTCCTTCTGGCTGAATTCATAAGTGTTTGTGCAAAAAGAGGTTGGCGCAGAGCCAGGCGACTGACGACACCCGGCTCATCTGGCAAGTGGATATCTAATTGTTGTATCTCGTTCTGCCATTCACAGCTCCTGCTGTGGGGCTGGGTCATCTGCCAGCTCTCCAAGGAGCTGGCGGGAAACCGCTGCAATCAGAGCGAACCCAGGGCCCGGGTGAGCCCGCCTCGACACAGCACTCCAGCTGCCCCCAGTGCCTTTTGGGGACACATCTGCTTTGCCAGGCAGGGCTGTGGGAGGGCCGCCTACCTCCTGTCCATCACAGGGAAAACCTACTCTTGTCCCGCGTCCCTTCCAGGCAGCCTGTGTGGAGATTGCTGCATTCACCTTTAATATGGCTAAAATGTTTTCCTTCAATGACAGTAATGCTGCCAGAATCCATCAAGACACCCAGGAACTGATGTGCTTTGGCAGATGGTGCTGGAAAGATGGGATTCCCGGCAGCCTTTGCATCCCTTGCTCACAGCCCACGAGCATCTCCACTGTCCAGCAGGTCAGGGCACGGTCTCTCTCTCTCGATCTTTCTCACGGTCTCTCTCTCTCACGATCTCTCTCTCTCATGGTCAGGGCAGAAAGAGAGAGAGTCCATCCGGAGCAGACTCAGATTTTAAATTAGTGTCCCCGATAATTTAACATGATCAATGGCTGAGGTATTTCACCAAGTTCAGGAGTCCCAGTTCTCAGAGACAGGCAGCCAGCCATGACTGTAAGACCTGGTCAAACTGTACAAACCAGACAGCAGGTCTCATCCCCTACCCGGGGAGCTCCAGAGAATATCAAAGACTGAAACAGCAGAGGGATGGTCTGGGTGGGGTCATCGTGGCTGGCAAGGGTCTGTGACAGCACCTTGTTAGGCTACTCCCAAGAGGAAATTTGGAGAGAGGGTGGGAGGGCAGCTCTCAGTGCAAGCTAAGTCTCCTGGAAAGTGACTTCCAAACTTTGGAGGATTGTGAGCAAGACGGGACCAACTTCTACCTAAAAGCAACTTCTACCTAAAAGAATGTTAATAGCAAGATAACTCATCCTAATATTGGTCCAAGCTAGGTCTTTATTATGCATCCTAAAGGCTCTGAGAATAACAATGTAACCTCCAAAAGGGCTGCAGGATTTGAGGAATCTCAGGCAACTCGCTTCCTTCTGCTCAGTGACTCCCCTGGAGCACAGCAAAGCAAGGAAACACTTAGAGCCAAGCTTGAGTTCTGAATTTCAAACACAGGGAGTCCATCTCTTTCTACCCAATTGTTCCCTAGAATCAGTAACTAACTCCTTCCCCTTAACGGCACATACTTCCTACCAAAGCACAAGCGCGATGGGCTGTCCATGAGCCTCCCCCAACCATGTGCACCTTGTGACATAAATTCTGTCACCCAAAGAGACCAGAAAAAATGCAAAACCAAAGTGGAGCCTTTCCTTGAATTATAGGTTCTAAAGAGTTTTGGACCCTCTACAAAACCCAAGAGTTAGGAATTGCCTGTAAGAAGCACCAGCTCTTGTTTTAAAGAGGCAATTTAAGAATAATAGCCATGCTGACACCACACTACGCTAAGGGAGAATTATGAACCTAATAAAACTAGCGATTTTCCAATGCTTTTGCTGCTGTAAACACTGACTATGCTAATTAAAGTGTAGAATAGTAAATAGCCACTCTTTTGCATCCAATTAAGTGTTCAGATTATTTCTCAAAAGTATTTGTTAAAAATAGCACTTCTGATAATCATGGGTCCCAAATAAACAGAGTCAAGTGTGGTGTGGTACATGTGTGAGAGTGTGTGCGTGTGTGTGTGTGTGTGTGTATGTGCACACATGTGTCTTTCTGGAGCTCATTTTATGGAGATCCCGCATAGCTCCCCAAATTCCTGTGAGACCAAATAAGAAAAATCACAGTTTTCTAAGACTACAGCTTGGGATATCTTTGGAAAAGGTGTGTATTGAGAACACAGCATATGGAAACTATTTCACGTTGGCAATATCTGTGATTTAACATTGCAAACATTAGAAATGCAACTGGTTCTTCAGAGTCACCTAAGTCCCTCATAATGGCAATATTAGCTTCTTCTAAATAATAAATTAGCCAGTCAAACTATGTTCTACAGCAGGTTAGAAGTTTCATCCTTCTAGTCAATGTCACATTTCAAGGCAAAGTCGATTTATATGTAAGTTAAACGAAGTGCTGTCACTAAAAATTGAGAATTATGTCTAATGCCAATCAGAAATGGAATAAATAAGTATTAGAGGATTTCCAAGTGAAAGCAACCATAGAAATGCTATCATCAGGAAGGAAAATGTATTACCTGCAGAGGTTACAGATAAGACGCTAGAACCCAGAAGAGAAAGAATCTCTGTAAATATTTCCATAAAGTTAATCAAGAGTGGCTGGGTACGGTGGCTCATGCCTGTAATCCCAGGACTTTGGGAGGCCAAAGAGGGTGGATCACGAGGTCAGGATTTCGGGACCAGCCTGGCCAACATGGTGAAACACTGTCTCTATTAAAAATACAAAAAATTAGCCGGGCGTGGTGGTATACACCTGTAATCCCAGCTACCCAGGAGGCTGAGGCAGGAGAATTGGTTTAATCCAGAAGGCAGAGGTTGCAGCTAGCTGAGATCACACCATTGTACTCCAGCCTGGGTGACAGATCATGGCTCCATTTTGAAAAAAAAAAAATAAAGAAAGAAAGAAAGTTAATCAGGGTGAGAATAGGATGAGTTTTTCACCCACAAAAAGAGATGAGATTCACGCATTCTTTCAGCATGCATTCCATCAATAGTGAGCACCTGCTCTGAGCTAGGCCCGTTCTAGGTCTCAGGAAATGAGTAACCAACCAGACATGGCCCCTGATTTGGAGCTCATATTTTAGAGCAGCTAAATGGATAGTAAACAAGTAAGCAAATTTAGATCGTCTTAAATTGGGGGAAGTTCTTTAGAGAAGCACTTCCATAAAGCTGAATCTCATCATAGACTATGACTGCCAGGTGGTAGGAAGGTAATATCTCGCTTGTGGATAGCAGAGCTTCTGAGGCCTTGCAAAGTATTTAGTACTAAGATTTCTGTCTTACGTCAAGTTCCCTAAAAGCAGAGCCTGAGGCAGGGATTAAATGCATGTAATTCATTCAGGAAGAACTCTCAGGAGATAGGAGTAAGGGAAACAGGATATGGCAGGGAAGGATCTGAGTGAGATGTGGTCTCAGCTGGACACCAGCTCCAGTCTGATCTCACAGGGAGCTCCAGAGGATGAACTGCACCACCATGTTATCCCAACCTAAGGTCTTTTGTTCTCCTGTGTCAGCTGGTCCCTGGCCAAGGGCTGCAGACTCTCTTGGGGCCCCAGCAGACTGGAGGAGAAGGAGCATGGTCTGTGGTCTACTCTTTTGTGCAAACCCACCCACCTCTTCCCCAGCTGACACTGCTGGAGGAGGAGAGGGAGAGATGTCATCTCCTCCTATGGCAACCTGTGGGATGGCAATGGCCCTTTTCCTGTTGGGTGTAATCTGCTGCCATCTCTTGCTGTCTGCAGCCTGACACAGAAGGGTGAAGGTCACCAGGTTCCACTGACAGCAGTCTTTGTCTCAAGCAGCAACCCTAGGACCGCGGCTCCCTTGCAAGATTCAGCCACATCTCATGACTGTCTGCAACACACCCCATGCCTTTGATGGAAGGAACCCAATGCCCCATGCTGCACCCATTTCTGCCAGACTGGGGCCCTGATCTCAATTTCTGTCTGCAGTCCCCAACTCTGGGGTCTGCAGACACATTTCACATCCATCCTTAGTACCTCCCAGGAGGCAGAAGCCAGAGGAAATAATCTTTACCCCAATGCACCTGACCATGCCACTTCACTGTATGCTCTTTCTCCCTCTCCAGGAAAAATCAAGCTTGTTGAATGCTTACCAATGTGCCCACGTGCATTTAGCCCCCACAACCACTTCATGGGGCAGCACTATCGTCCCCAAGTTACAGACGAGGAAACTGAGGAGAGCATTTATATAACATGCATCTAAGTGGTGGACAAAGGATCTAACCAGGCAGTGCGGCACCAGAGCACACATTTTTGTTCTTTAGGGAGATGCGGTCTCTCTCTGTCCCTCAAACTGGAGTGCAGTGGCCTGATCATAGCTCACTGCAGCCTTGAACTCCCGGGATCCAGCAATCTTCCTGCCTCAGCCTCCCGAGTAGCTGGGACTACAGGCATTCACCACCAACCCAGCTAATTGTTTAAAAACATTTTTCTAGATATAGGGTCTGATCCCAAACTCCTGACTTCAAGCGATCCTCCTGCCTCAGCCTCCCAAAGTGCTGGGATTACAGTCGTAAGCCCCCGCGCCCAGCCCAGAGCACACTTTTTTTTTTTTTGAGACGGAGTCACACTCTGTCACCCAGGCTGGAGTGCAATGGCAAGATCTCGGCCCATAGCACACTTTTAACCACCATATCATTCTGCCTCTGGGTAGGTCAGTCAAGCTCTGTAGCTGAGCAGATGTCTGTAGAGAGAAGGAGACATCAGTCTCCCCTTCTTCCAAACAGCCCCGAATTTTACAAGTGATTTTCTCAGATCCCTCAGCATCAGGAATGGGGATGAGCAGGGCAGCCTGTCCCCTCCGAACAGCCCAGCAGATATCCCAAGATTACATCTCATTGGCTCTGACTAGGACATGAGCCCAAAGCTGAACCGGTTGCTGTAGCCATGGCATGCAGCATCCTCGGTCCTCTGGCCAGGCCAGAGCCACATCCCACCTCCGGATCCTCGAGTTGAGTCAATACATCTTGAACCAGGCATGGACTGAAGCTCAAGGGGGAGTCAGAGTAATGTGACCCAGCCCAGCATGTAGTGGGTGCTGAGCAGGCAAGCATTCATTACCTACTGCACACACCAGGGAAGGCTTGTGGTGGCTTAGTCCCACGTGGGGGCAAAGAAAAGAGTGCCTGCTCCGTGCCAAAATGTGATGCCCAACACTGTATCTTAAAGCTAGCTGGCTTTTTAATCCCAGCTACTTGGGAGGCTGAGGCAGGAGAATCACTTAAATTCAGGAGGCAGAGGTTGCAGTGAGCCAAGATCACGCCACTGCACTTCAGCCTGGGTGACAAGAGAGAAATTCTGTCTCAAAAAAAAAAAAAAAAAAAAAAAAGCTAGTCGGCTTAATCCTTGCAAAGATGCCATCTACTTTTTGGCATTCTACAGGTAGAAACACTGAGACACTGGAAAATTTTAAAACTCACCACCAGCCGGGCGCGGTATCTCACGTCTGTAATCCCAGCACTTTGAGAGGCTGAGGCAGGAGAATTACTTGAGCCCAGGAGTTCAGGACAAGCCTGGGCAAATTAGCGAGATCTCATCTCTACAAACACTAAAAAAAAAAAAAAAAAAAAAAATTAGGACTAGGCACAGTGGCTCACACATGTAATCCCAGCACTTTGGGAGGCCAAGGCAGGTGGATCACTTCAGCCCAGGCGTTCGAAACCAGCCTGGCCAACACGACAAAACTCTATCTCAACTAAAAACACAAAACTTAGCTGGGCATAGTGGCACGTGTCTATAATCCCAGCTACTTGGGAGGCTGAGGCACGAGAATTGCTTGAACCCAGGAGTCAGAAGTTGCAGTGAGCTGAGATCGTGCCACTGCACTCCAGCCTAGGTGAGAGAGTGACACTGTGTCTCAAAAAAAAAAAAAAATAGGTATGGCGGTACATGCCTGTGGCCCCAGCTACTCAAGAGGCTGAGGTGGGAGGATCGCTTAAGCCCAGGAGTTCAAGGGTGCAATGAGGTATGATTGTACCACTGCACCACTATATATACACATATATATATGTATATGTATATAGTTATGTCTATATATACACATATATATATACATGTATACGTATGTGTATATATATGTGTGTATATATATAAAAAACACACATGCACAGATTCACCACCAACAACTCAGAAATTACCATCTCCCTCTTTTCTAAGGAATTATTTTTCATTTTGCCATCTCTGAAGTTAGAATACACCTTACAATCACTGGAATGTCACGGTCTTGTTGGCAGCATTTTTCTGCTTAGTAACCCATAAAATAATAGCACATCTTGTAACTAAAAGTGTTGTAGATGCTATGAGATCCTGGGGAAGCCCAGAATCTAACTCCACCCTGTCTGACTCCAAACACCACATATTTTCTATGTCTTTGGACTGGGGCACAGATGTAGATAACTCGAGCTTTGCTGATTGTGAGAAAGGTATGAGAAATGGCCCTGATGGAATTTTCTTCTTGTACTTTAAGGGGAAGAAAGCAGCATCATCCCACTATTCCAGGGGAGGTGCTAAATACGAGGGTGAGGCTGTCAAGCGGTCCCTGGTGGAGTCCTACACTCACCCAAACAGCAACGAGACAGAGCGGAGGGAGAACATCGATACCGTCATGAACTGCTTCAGCACAGAAGACTTTGACTTTGTGACTCTGTACTACAGAGAGCCAGATAACGTGGGACATCGATTCGGGCCAGAGGCAGAGAAGAGGAAGTTGATGATTCAGCAAATCGGCAGGACCATCGTGTATCTGGTGGGAGCCACTGAGAAGCACAGCCTGCAGAGCACCTCAGCGTCATCATCACATCAGACCATGGGGTGACCACCGTGAAGAAGAGACCCAACGTCAACAAGATCCCTTGACCAACTACATCAAGTTCAGGGTCTGGGTCAAGTTTGATATTGCGGGCTACGGTGGCTTTGGGCTGCCCCTACCCAAATTGGGGCAAGAGGAAGCCCTTTACCAGGCACTGAAGAATGCGCACCCTCACCTCCAGGTCTACAAGAAGGAGGAGTTTCCAGAACACTTCCATCTCGCTAAACATGACCGGGTTCTGCCAATCGTGATGTATGCCAACTCTAGTTACAGTATTAATGGGATAAGTTCATTCTAAAATGAATAAAGTCACCTTGGATCTAGGAGACAACCATTAGGGAAGGGTGGTTCTCAAAAATCAAACATAAGTGCACAGCCAGGCACGGTGGCTCACGCCTATAATCCCAGCACTTTGGGAGGCTGAGGCAGGTGTATCACCTGAGGTCAGGAGTTTGAGACCAGCCTGGCCAATATGGTGAAACCCCATCTCTACTAAAAATACAAAACTTAGCCGGGAGTGATGGCGTGCATCTGTAGTTCCAGCTACTCTGGAGGCTGAGGCAGGAGAATCGCTTGAACCTGGGAGGCAGAGGCTGCAGTGAGCCAAGATCATGCTACTGCACTCCAGTCTGGGCAACAGAGTGAGACCCTGTCTCAAAAAAAATATAATATAACATAATATAATAAAACAAAATAAAATAAAATAAGTGCACATACTACGAGTTGTAGCCCACAGGGTCCCAAATGTTCCCCACCCCCCGCCCAACCAATGCTGCCCCAAATTACCATTATACAAGATTAATGACCAATTCAACTGGACAAGGCTGATTTAAAAATAAAAATAAGGCTGGCCATGGTGGTTCACACCTGTAATCTCAGTGCTTTGGGAGGCCAAGACAGGAGGATTGCTTAAGGCCAGGAGTTCAAGACCAGCCCGGGCAACATAGGGAGACCCCATATCTACAAAAAACAAACAAATAAATAAATAGCCAGACATGTCAATGCATGCCTGTAGTCCCAGCTACTCAGGAGGCTGAGGTGGCAGGATTTCTTGAGCCCAGGAGGTCAAGGCTGCAGTAAGCTGTGATTGCACCACTGCACTCCAGCTTGAGCAACAGAGCAAGACCCCGTCTCTAAAAAATAAATAAAAAATAAAAAATAAACAGCAACTTCATTATTCAAAATTGTGCGTAGCGCTTCGCTAAACATTGAATAGCAGTTCTTTCATTTTTGTCTTCCCAACAACCCTATAAAATAGATGCTCTTAGTTCCACCATTTTAAAGAAGAAATCAAAACCTAGAGAGAAGTGACTTGAGATTAAAAATGTAAGCTTGGGCTGGGTGCAGCGGCTCACACCTGTAAGCCCAGCACTTTAGAAGGCTAAGGTAGGTAGACTGCTTGAGCTCAGGAGTTTGAGACCAGCCTGGGCAACACAGTGAAACACCATCTCTACAAAAAATGCAAAAAACTGTAGCTGGGCATAGTGGCACGTGCCTGTGGTCCCAGCAACTCAGGAGGCTGAGGTGGGAGAACTGCTTGAGCCCGGGGGTGTTGAGACTGCAGTGAGCCATGATCACGCCACTGTGAGATAGGAGGCAGGACTTGACTCCACAGGCAGGGCTTGGACACCAGACCAAATTGAGGACTAGCTAAAACAGGGCTGGGGCAGAAGCAGCTTTCCACCAGACATGCCCACCAATGTGCCATGTGAGTTTACTATTGCCATGGCAACACCCGGGAGTTACTGCCACTTTCCATGACAATGATCCAATGACTCAAAAGTTACTACCAATTTTCTAGAAATTCCTGCATAAACTGCCCTTTAATCTACATGCGATTAAAAGTGGGTATAAATGTGATTGCAAACTCTCTGCCTCTACTCTCTGCCTCCAGGCTAGCCCTGCCCTACAGGAGCAGTCACAGGGCTGTAACACTGCCTCTTCAATAAAGCTGTTTTCTTCTAAACCTCCAGCTTGCCCTTGAATTCTTTCCTGGGCAAAGGCAAGAACCCTCATGTGCTATTGAGAGGTGTCAGCGTTCTGGCAGCCCTGGAGCTCACTCTCGGTGCCTCCTCTGCCTGGGCTCCCAATTTGGCAGCACTTGAGGAGCCCTTCAGCCCACTGTTGTACTGTGGGAGCCCCTTCCTGAGCTGGCCGAGGCTGGAGGCGTCTCCCTCAGCTTGCGGGGAGGTGTAGAGGGAGAGGCGCGGGCGGGAACCAGGGCTGGGCGCGGCGCTTGCGGGCCAGCGCGAGTGCCGGGTGGGCACGGGCTCGGCAGGCCCACACTCGGATCGGCCAGCCAGCCCCGCCGTCCCTGGGCAGTGAGGGGCTTAGCACCTGGGCCAGTGGTTGCTGTGCTCGATTTCTCACCGGGCCTTAGCTGCCTCTCCGCAGGGCAGGGCTCGGGACCTGCAGCCTGCCATGCCTGAGCCTCCCCACTACCCGCCGTGGGATCCTGCGTGGCCCGAGCCTCCCCAGTGAGCACTGCCCCCTGCTCCACAGCGCCCAGTCCCATCAACCACCCAAGGGCTGAGGAGTGCTGGTGCTGGGCGTGGGACTGGCAGGTAGCTCCACTTGCGGCCCTGGTGTGGGATCCACTGGGTGAAGCCAGCTGGGCTCCTGAGTCTGGTGGGGACTTGGAGAACCTTTATGTCTAGCTGAGGGATTGTAAATACACCAATCGGCCCTCTGTATCTAGCTCAAGGTTTGTAAACACACCAATCAGCACCCTGTGTCTAGCTCAGGGTTTGTGAATGCACCAATGGACACCCTCTATCTAGCTAATCTAGTAGGGACTTGGAGAACTTTTGGGTCTATCTCAGGGATTATAAATGCACCAATCAGCACCCTGTCAAAACGGACTAATCAGCTCTCTGTAAAACAGACCAATCGGCTCTCTGTAAAATGGACCAATCAGCAGGATGTGGGTGGGGCCAGATAAGAGAATAAAAGCAAGCTGCCCGAGCCAGCAGTGGCAATGCGCTGGGGTCCCTTTCCACACTGTGGAAGCTTTGTTCTTTTGCTCTTTGCAATAAATCTTGCTGCTGCTGACTCTTTGGGTCCACACTGCCTTTATGAGCTATAACACTCACCTTGAAGGTCTGCAGTTTCACTGCTGAAGCCAGTGAGACTATGAACCCACTGGGAGGAACAAACAACTCCAGACATGCAGCTTTAAGAGCTGTAACACTCACCTCGAAGGTCTGCAACTTCACTGCTGAAGCCAGCAAGACCAGGAACCCACCAGAAGGAAGAAACTCTGAAAACATCCGAGCATCAGAAGGAAAAAACTCCGGACACGCTGCCTTTAAGAACGGTGACGCTCACCGCGAGGGTCCGTGGCTTCATTCTTAAAGTCTGTGAGACCAAGAACCCCCCAGTTCCGGACACACTATGCTCCACTTGGGGGCTCTCCTGCCCTGCGTCAACTGCGCTCTGGCCTGGGTGGCAGAGAGAGAAACCCTATCTTAAAAAAAAGAAACAAATGGAAGGTTAAGTGCTGCCCCCAAGCCTGCGTGGCTGATCATTATACAGAGTACACAAAGATCACCAAAAAATTCACCACAAAGGCCTCCCGCCACTAGTTCTTATTTGCCCATATCAAAAAATATGCAAGCCTGTTCATACAAAGACACACACAGATGCTCGTAGCAAAATTATTCATAATTGTCACAAGGTGGCAACAACACAAATGCCTATCAACAACAGTTGAATGGGCAAACAAGTACAGTCTACCCGTGTGATGGAACATTAATCAGCCAAAATATAGAATGAAGGGCTGATTCATGCTACAACCAGGATACACTTTGAAACCATTAGGCTAAGTGAAAGAAGCCAGACAAATAGTAGATGATTATATATATATATATATATATATATATATATATATACATACACACACACACACACACGCATATATGTATATATATATGCCCAGAATATGAAAATCCAAAGAAACAAAGTAGATTAATGGTTGCCAGGAGCCAGGGGTGGGGATAGTCAGGGGGAAATAAGGGGTGACTGCTAATGGATACAGGGTCTCTTCTGGGGTTATTAAAATTTCTAAAACTGATGGTGGTGATGGCTGCACAACTCTGTGAATATATTAAAAACCACTGAATTATACACTTTATTTATTTATTTAGAGACAGGGTCTGGCTCTGTTGCCGAGGATGGAGGGCAGTGGTGCAATCTCAACTCACTGCACCCTCCACCTCCCGGGCTCAAACCATCCTCCCACTTCAGCCTCCTGAGTAGCTGGGACTACAGACACACCCACCACACCCAGCTAATTTTTTTTGTATTTTTGGTTAAGACAGGGTTTTGCCATGTTGCTCGGGCTCATCTCAAACTCTTGGGTTCAAGCGATCCTCCCACCTCAGCCTCCCAAAGTGCTGGGATTACAAGTGTGAGCCACCATGCCCGGCCAAATTGTACACTTTAAATGGGTAAATTGTATGGTAAGTGAATTATCTTTCAGCAAGGCTGTTATTAAAAAGCAGCTTTAAGGGCCAGGCATAAGGGCCATGCCTGTAATCCCAGCACTTTGAGAGGCCAAGGCAGGAGGATCACTTGAGCCCAGGAGTTCAAGACCAGCCTAGACAATATGGCAAAACCTGGTCTCTACAAAAAATTTAAAAATTAGGCTTGGCGTGGTGCCTCACGCCTGTAATCCCAGCACTTTGGGAGGCCGAGGTAGGTGGATCACTTGAGGTCAGCAGTTCAAGACCAGCCTGGCCAACATGATGAAACCCTGTCGCTACTAAAAATATTTTTTAAAAATTAGCCAGGCATGGTGGTGGGTGCCGGGACTGAGGCAGGAGAATCGCTTGAACCCGAGAGGTGGAGGTTGCAGTGAGCTGAGATTACCCTACTGCACTCCAACCTGCTGGGAGACAGAGCGAAACTCCATTTCAAAAAAAAAAAATTAAAAATTAGCCAGCGGTGGCGGCTTGTGTTTGTAGTCCCAGCTACTCAGGAGGCTAAAGTGGGAGGATTGCTTGAGCCCAGGAGGTTGAGGCTGCAGTGAGCCAAGACTGTATCACTGCAATCTGGCATCAGCAACAGAACAAGACCCTGTTTCACAATTTTAAAAACAATTAAAAAACAAGCCTAAAGAAAACACAAAAACCAATGCTAACTGTGAGACATAAATGAGGTGGTCTATTTTTTGTTAACTACCAATTAAAACTTCATGGCAGAAACAAAGTTGAAATGATGCTATAGCAGGGCCCCGTGGCTCACGCTAGTAATCCCAACACTTTGGGAGGCTGAGGCGGGTGGATCACCTGAGGTCAGGAGTTTGAGACCAGCCCGGTCAACATGGTGAAACCCCGTCTCTACTAAAAATACAAAAATTAGCCAGGCGTGGTAGCGGGTGCCTATAATCCCAGCTACTCAGGAGGCGGAGGCAGGAGAATCGCTTGAACCCCGGGGGGGCGGAGGTTGCAGTGAGCCAAGATCGCACCATTGCACTCCAGCCTGGGTGACAGAGCGAAACTCCATCTCAAAAAATAAATAAATAATGAAATAAATGATGCTATAAACCTCATGTGAGGGAAGACTGCCCCAGGTACAGCTTGAAGAACCCTTGCTGTGAATAGGAGCCAAATGCGATAATTCTGTTTGCAACTTGCTTCATGTCAGCTTGTTGCAACTCCAGAGTGTAACAGGTATGAGAAAACTCATGGGGTTACTGTTTAATGTTGGTGGAAATATTCACATTAAAATACAACAGTTTATCACCTAAGGTATATTTTATCCCTCAAGTGGCCCGGAACACTGTGATTACTGCACACCAATCACACGCCCATAGCTAAGGCCTTGTCAAGGAGAAATTCCACAGTCACCTGGCCTATTTGTAAACCTGGTTTATGATGATTTGTAACAGGATATCTTGACAGTAGCATGAGGACATTTAACGAGACAAGAACATTCCCCACTGACCAACCAGATAGTTTGAGGGAACAGGATGCTGTGCTCAGTTTAATCTTCTGCTGAACCGACCATTAGGCAGAAAATCCTTTGGGTCAATGCCTCTCACTGAATCCATTTCTCATCCTGTCCACCTGCCTGCTTTGCAGTGCAGAGTAAAGTGGGCCTTCCTTGGCTCTCTTCAGGGACCAATGTGCTTGAGGCCATCATGAGGACATTCATTCTTTTTTTTTTTTTTTTTTGAGAGAGTCTCGCTCTGTCGCCCAGGCTGGAATGCAGTGGTGTGATCTCAGCTCCCCACTGCCACCTCTGCCTCCCAGGTTCAAGTGATTCTCTTGCCTCAGCCTCCTGAGTAGCTGGCATTACAGGCACGTGTCACCAGGCCCAGCTAATTTTTCTATTTTCTGTAGAGACAGCGTTTCACCATGTTGGCCATGCTGGTGTCAAACTCGTGACTTCAAGTGATCCACTTGCCTCGGCCTCCCAAAGCGCTGGTATTACAGGTGTGAGCCAATGTGCCTGGCAGAGGGCTTTCATTCTTGATGGACTGCTCCATAGCCTCAGAGACAGTCGGACTGGTTTCTTCAACCAGAGCGGAGCAGACAGGCAATTTCTGTATCCACCAGGGCAAATATTAGACCAACTCTTCAATGTGCAGAGAACATCACATTTCTTATATGCTATAATATCTGTTGGTCTAAAATATAAATAAATAGTATTGTAGCCAGCCACAGTGGCTCGTGCCTATAACTTCAGAGCTTTGTGGGGCTGAGGCAGGAGGTTCACTTGAGGTCAAGAGTTTGAGACCAGCCTGGGCAACATAGCAAAACCGCCCGCCCCTCACCGCCACCTGCCATCTCTACAAAAATTAAAATAATTAGCTGGGCATAGTAGTGTGGGCCTGTAGTCCCAACTACTTGGGAACCTGATGTGGGTGGATTGCTTGAGCCCAGGAATTTGAGGCTGCAGTGGGCTATGACTGCATCACCGTACTCCAGCTAGACCTTGTCTCAAAAAAAAAAAAGTGTTGCAATTGACATTATTTTATCATTTGAAAAGAAGGACAGACAAGAAAGGTATTTGGCATTTACCAAGCAATTACCCAGAATCCTCATCCCATCCTACCCCCACCTTTCCCCTAAAAATGTATGTATGTGTATTTATACCATAAAAAATACACTTATTTGGCTCTGGAACCAGATTGCTTGGGTTCCATTACCTGATCTAGCATTTGCTCCTGTTGACTCAGTGCAGTCAAGCTCTGTAACTCAGTTTCCCCAGCTGTAAAATGGGGAATGGCGCCTTTACTGGGCTGCCATGACGGTAAAGGAGGGAACGTATATTTATGAAGCATTCAGAACAATTCATGATACATAGTAAGCTCTATATATTTGAGCTTATTATTACTGTCAGTACGATTATCATCATCTTGCTGTTTCCAATGGGTACACTTTCTACATTCTCTTTCTTAAAGACCTTTAAATCCTTGGTATTCTCTCCACCACCACAGAGAGCAGTGTCCTTGTAGTTTAAATTCTCAAAGACTTCATGGATCCAACAAGCATGACATTAACAAAGGGACAGTTTTCTTTCAGCGGATTGGAATCTAAAATGGCTTTTTTATTGTTATTAGTTTTCAGAGAATTATAATGTGTTTCAGCAAAGGCAGCCATGGCTTTGATAATGTCCTCATGGACATGAACATCATATTCAGAGCTTTCGGGCCAGATTTCAAGAGGAATCGCCTGGCCGATCCTTTTAACAGCATCCACATCTACCCATTCGTGTGTAAGCTCCTGGGAGTCACCCCCAAACCCACAACGGCTCCCTGGCAGTCACCCAGGAAATGCTCATGAACTCTTATGACCAGCAGCCAGGTGAGACACAAAAGCAGCTGCCAGAAAACTGTCAGCAGAGTCTGCTCTGTCCTGACATAGAAAAGAATCAAAAAGGGGTCTCATGGTGGGGAGGAGGGAATTCAAGCAGAACAATCCTGTTTCCCAGCAGCTTTGGAGCCCCAGGAACAAGATGTCAACAGCTCCATACAGATAGCACGGGAGGTAGGGAATCCCTCGACCTGCTGGTAACATTTGACATAGTGCCTTTTAGGCAAAGGGACTGTGCTCTATAGAGAAAGTTGGGCTGTAATCTTTCCGGTCCTAAGGAAATCACTGTGTATAGTCTGTCTCCAAGATGCCCCTTCCAGATACGGAAATCAGCCCTCCTTCAATAGCACAGAAAGCTCTTCATAGGGGAGGAGCAAAACCCTGCTGTTCCCTCGATGCTGAAAAAAGGAGAAGGGAGAGTCTGAAACGAGACTGCAAATTCTCAAGACTTCAAACCCCTTCAATTTGGGTAATACAAAGGAAGAATAAAATCATCTCAGAATTTGCTATTGCCTTCTTTTGTGGGTTGTTTACAAACACTGGCTATCTTTCCTTTTGCCAGGAGAGACTTGGATACTGTCCAGTGATCTAACGAACGCTTAAAGCAATTACATGCAAAAAGGAGTAATGGGCTGGGCACAGTGGCTCATACTTGGGACTTTGGGAGGACGAGGTAGGAGGATCACTTGGGGCCAGGAGCTTGAGACCAGCCTGGGCAACATAGTGAGACCCTGTCTCTACAATAAATTAGCTGGATGTAGTGTCACATGCCTGTAGTCCCAGCTACTGGGGAGGCTGAGGCGGGAGGATCGCTGGAACCCAGGAGTTGGAGGCTGCAGTGAGCTGTGATTGTACTACGGCACTCCGATTCCTGCTTTAAAAAAAAAAAAGGAAAAGAGGGGAGGGCAGGGGTGATATACATCCTTTCTCTTCTTGTAAGCCACTGCCCATGATCTCCTTGTGAACATAAAGAAAGCAGTCCCTTTTGTACAAAACTAATTAAATGAAGGACCAATTCACCAAATTATGGAGGATTTTTCTGCTTTTTAAGTTTTGGAGTTTTGCTACAACTATTTTGTAGCCCCTCCCCTGTCCCACATCCCACTGGGAGCCTGGGATAAGCTGCGTCTGACTGTCAGTTACTGATAAGCAGGACATCCCACAAACAGATTTTCAGCGAATTGGCTTTCAGCAAATTGATCATTTGGCAAAGTGGTCATTAGGCAAATGGGTCATTTGGTGAAGAGGTCATTTAGTAAATCGGCTTTCAACGACTTGCCCTATGAGATTTCTCTAGAGTGAGCATTTTCTTGGGTTCAATGTACACTTCATTTCCATAATGAATACTCACTGGCGGCTAGATGGAAAACTTCCCAGGGAACCAGGAGCAGCCAGAACAGCCTCTTAATAATCAGGCAATTAAAAACCCTCTGGTTTCTTAACAGGAGGGAGGTACAGACGGCATCTGCTCTGCAAGGCACAGTGATCGGGCTCAGCATTGTCACTGGAGCTCTTGCGGTTCTGTTTGCTGCTAGTGTGACATACACAGCCCTTCGTCGGAAAAAGGACAGAGTGGTCTTTGGGTCTCCCGTAGTTGATCATCATATGTCGTGATAACCCATGACAACTCCTTGCCACATGCCACGGGAGGTCCAGCACTCCAAGAACCCAGCAGCCAGGGCCGGCTTCATGGGCTTGAACCTGGACAGTCCCACAGGGACACAGAGGAGTCCCCACTGTGGTTTAATAATCTGCCATCACCATCTTGAAATTCTTTATTTTTTAACAAGGGTGGCCAGGGATAGTGGCTCATGCCTGTAATCCTAGCACTTTGGGAGGCCAGGGCAGGCAGATGGCTTGAGCCCAAGGAGTTTGAGACCAGCCTGGGCCACATAGCAAGACCCCATCTCTACAGAAAATACAGAAATTAGCCAAGCCTGTAGTCCCAGCTACTTGTAGGCTGAGATGGGAAAATTACCTGAGCCCAGGGAGGTCGAGGTTGCAGGAGCTGAGATTGTACCACTGCACTCCAGCCTGGATGACACAGCTGGATCTTGTCTAGAAAAATAACCACAAGACCGAGCACGGTGGCTCTTGCCTGTAATCCCAGCACTTTGGGAGGCTGAGGCAGGCGATCACTTGAGGTCAGGATTTTGAGACCAGCCCGGCCAACATGGTGAAACCCCATCTCTACTAAAAATACAAAAATTAGCTGGACAAGGTTGTGCATGCCTGTAATCCCAGCTACTCAGGAGGCTGAGGCAGGAGAATAGCTTGAACCTGGGAGGAGGAGGTTGCAGAGAGCCGAGGTCGCGCCATTGTACTCCGGCCTGGGACACACGAGTGAAACTCCATCTCCAAAAAAAAAAAAAAAAAAAAAAAAAAAAAAACACAACAACAACGAGGGCCCTGCAGGTGGCTGAAAACAACAGAAATGTATTGTCTCGCAGGCCTGGATGCTAGAAGCCCAAAATCAAGGTGTCGGCCGGGCTTCACTTCCTCTGAAACATGTAAGAGAGAATGCTTCCTTGCCTCTTCTGGCTTCTGGTGGCCGCTGGCAATGCTTGGTGTTCCTTGTAGATGCATCGCTCCAGTCTCTCCTCCCTCATCACATGGCTGCCTTCTCCCTGTGTCTCTGTCTTTATCTGACATTCTCCTCTATTATTTTATTTTTTTGAGATGGAGTTTCCCTCTGTCACCCAGGCTGAAGTGCAGTGGCACAATCTTGGCTCACTGCAACCCCCGCCTCCCAGGTTCCAGTGATTCTCCCATCTCAGCCTCCTGAGTAGCTGGGATTACAGGCTCCCGCCACCACGCAGTGCTAATTTTGTGTTGTTAGTAGAGATGGAGTTTCACCGTGTTGGCCAGGCTGGTCTCCAACTCCTGACCTCAAGTGATCCGCCCACCTCACCCTCCCAAATTGTGCTGAGATTACAGGCATGAGCCACCACGCCCGGCCCTCATTCTCTCCTTTTATAAGGACACCTGTCGTTGCATCTGCTTTCTCACCAGCAGACCCCAATCCAGTATGACTCATCATTACTTGATTACATCTACAAATACCCTATTTCCTAATAAGGTCACAGTCCTGGGTACGGAGGATTAAGATTTCCAATTTTTTCCCTGAATCAATTTTTTCTGAGTCAGGGCCTCACCCTATCACCCAGGCTGGAGTACAGTTATGTGATTATAGCTCACTGCAGCCTCAAACTCCTGGGCTCAAGGGATCCCCTGACCTCAGCCTTCCAAGTGGCTGAGACTACAGGTGCACACCACCATCCCCAACTAATTTTTTTTTTTTTTGTACAGATTAGGTCTCACTCTGTTGACCAGGCTGGTCTCCTGACCTCAAGTGATCCTCTTGCCTTGGCCTCCCAAAGCACTGAGATTACAGGCGTTATCCCGTGCCTGGCCCTCTTTCTACACCTCAATCATTGTATCATTAGCCTGAGCTGCCCATATTCCTTATTCTGCCCTTCCCTGACCAATCTCCTCCTTTAACATAACTTCCATCTCGATATGATGGGGCCTGCTGGGCACTGCAAACAGCCTAAGAAAAGTGGAAACTTTACTTGACCTTCAATTCTATTACAAAGTCCACATTGAATGTAATTTATATTTGAACTATAAAATTTTCTGTAAGTTGAAACATGACCTATAAAGGTCTCTACACCCTGAAGCAACGTTTTAGAAAGAAATCAATAGGTCCTTTTCTGCAGAAACCATTAACCATAGGAGAGATAAAGGAAAAACTTCAATGTACTGATTGAACTTCCATGCCCATAGCTTAACTTCTAAAAGGCAACCATTCCATACCGTTAAACTGCCTTAGGTTGTTATTACTGTTATTAAAGAGACCCTAAAAGCCAGAAGTTGAACCTTGACTGTAGTTCTTGCACGTACACGCACAGTCTTGCAACTGAAACCACTCAGATTGTCCTAATGCTGCTCCCCATAGCAACACCACCTGGAATTTTACGTTTGGTTTTAAGTATCAGTCCTAATCTTCACTTGCACCCGAACACACCGCACCTGAGAGAGCCACGTGACATTAAAAAATCCCTTCAGTGAGGCCAGGCGTGGTGGCTCACGCCTGTAATCCCAGCCCTTTGGGAGGCCAAGGCAGATGGATCATGAGTTCAAGAGACACTCGTGGCCAACATGGTGAAACCCTGTCTCTACTAAAAATCCAAAAATTAGCCAGGCGTGGTGACGCGTGCCTGTAATCCCAGCTACTCGGGAGGTTGAGGCAGGAGAATCGCTTGAGCCTGGGAGGCAGAAGTTGCAGGAGACGAGATCATGCCACTGCACTCCAGCCTGGCAACAGAGGGAGACTCTCTGAAACAAAAAAATCCCTTCAGTGCCTTGATCCTTCCAGATTCAGATCCAAGATAGATGACATTTGTCCCTCATCGGAGCCCGCACACCAAGATAAAGATTTCTTCTGGCCGGGCGCGGTGGTTCATGCCTGTAATCCCAGCACTTTGGGAGGCAGAGGAGGGCAGATCACCTGAGGTCAGGAATTTGAGACCAGCCTGGCCAACGTGTTCAAACCCTGTCTCCACTAAAAATACAAAAATGGCCCGGCATGGTGGCTCACGCCTGTAATCCCAGCTACTCGGGAGACTGAGGCAGGAGAATCGCTTGAACCCGGGAGGTGGAGGTTGCAGTGAGCAGAGATCGCGCTATTGCACTCCAGCCTGGGCAACAAGAGAGCGAAACTCCGTCTCAAAAAAAAAAACAAAAGAAGAAAAGATTTCTTCTGTGTGCATGGCTCAGCTCTGTGGTCCGCTAGGGTCTTTCCTCAATCCGCTTCCAATCTATGGAATCAGGAAAGACTGAACCAACCTCGATTTATTAATATTTTAGTATAACATAATACAGTGGTACTTATTATAGTATTGACCGTATATGCCCTTTTGCTCCTTGGAGGAAAGGCAATTAATAGCTATTATGTGAGTTAATAAAATAAGCCCAGGATTTATGAGTGTAACTAACCTGTTCCCATTGGTTTTCCTTCTCTCCTGCAGGCAGAGAGCTGATCAAAACAGCAAAAGCAAAGCAGTGCCCCGGCCCAGTTCTAAAGCCAACCTTCCTTAATCACCCAGACCCATCCCAGGTTAGGACATGCTGTGGATTCTCAGGTGACTCCATCTCAGGATACAGGGACTGAGAGGGTGTATGCAATATCTCAGACCCAGAAACTGTTGATTCTGTCTAAAAACACAGCAATAACCACATCCCACCCTCTTGATTTAAATGAAAGTGTTTGGGGGAATAAAAGATGAACCTTTTTTTTTTTTCTTTGTCAGATCTTGCGCTCATTTGGTTCTGGTGGGGAACAACAGCTGTGAGAGAACACGTGTATTCAAATAGAATTAATTCCCCTCTCTTATTCTCGCAGCTGAGCAGGGCTCAAGTGCCTCTCATCTGAAAGAGGTAATAAGATTTTGTCTGTCTCCTCATCTACCTTTTGCAAGTACACTGAACAAATTAGCTCTCGGGACTCTTCCAAATGGAGTTTTATGAGGGATTTGCTAAGGTAAACGTTTTAGACTTTGAACACAGTTCAGATTTCAGGGGCAGTACTGAAATCTGAACTGTGTTGCTAACTGCCCAGCCTTTCAACTCAAGACACAATAACTTTGAACTAAAATAATTATATTTTTGTTGTTTTCCACTCTGTCCCCCACGTCTATATCACCACCACCCCCAATCCCGCCCCCCAGGAGCTAACTCCTCCTTCCTGTCCCTGCAAGATCAAAACTCCTCCTGGAAGCCCCGCTAGCTCTGTCTGCTCGCCTTCGTGGCAGATATCGCTATTGTACTTTTATACTTATTTGTGTGATAAGTACCTCAATGTCCACTTCTTCCACGAGCCCCTGAGCCCCTGGAGGGCCTGGACCACACCTAGTTTTTCTCACTGTTACATCTCCCTTGCCAGACACATGGTAGGCGCTTAATAAGTATTTGGTGAACGAATGGCTTGTTTGGTGACAGTCCAAAGGGTGGGGGACAGAGGGAAAACTCCCTCCTATCGGGCCCCGGACGGGTGGCGCTGATGGAGAGGAGGCTAGGATAACGCCTCCAGGACCGAAGCGCGCACCCATAAGGCCCCTGCCAAAAAGACCTTCCTGAAGGCGGAGGAACTGCGAGAGTGCCTACGTTGGCCCAAGGCCTGACCGGACGATCCCGGGGACCCTCGCCCTAACCGGCCCCGACTCCCGGGCCCCAAACCCGGACTCGGCCCCGCCTGAAGCTCCGGATCCTGGGGCCCGTCCCTGGCTCCGCGTCGGCAGACCGTGGGCTCGCTCCTGGGCCTGCCTCAAACTCTCCGCAGGTAACGCCTCCCGAACTTGAGCCACGCTCCAATCCCCTCCTCAAACCCCTCCCCGTTTCTCACACCCTGGACCCCTCGCTCCGTCTCGGCCCCGCCCCAAGCCCAGCTCCCTCTCGGCCCCTGAGCCCAGCCCCGACCCGCCTCCCAGTCCCTGGGTCCCTCCCGACACCGGCCCCTCCCTAAGCTCCGCCTCCCAGGGCCCGCCTCCTGAGCGCAGCCAGCAGCCCGGACTCGGCCCCGCCTCCCGGACCCTGGGCCCCTCCCCACGTAGGCCCGTCCTAAGCTCCGCCTCCCAGAGTCCGAGCAGCGCCTGGCCACGTGCTACGACATAGTCAACGCCCCGCCCTGGCCCCGCCTCCTGAGCCGTTCTCCGGGTCTGGCCTTAGCCCCGCCCTAGGACCTGTCTCCTGGGCTCTGCTCCGAGTCTCGCCTCCTGAACCCAATCGTCCTTTACCCCCACCCTAACGCCCGCCTCCAGGACTCTTATCCTGCCCCCACGCAAGGCCCCGCCTCCAGGACGTCTCCAACCTGGATGTTTCCGAAGCCCCGCTTCCAGGATCGCCCTGTCCTGGCCCCGCCCCAGGACACGCCAACCTGAACTCTCCCCAGGACCTGCCCCAACGACGCTTCTCCTGGCCCTACCCCAGGCCTCGCCCTCAAGACGCTCATTCTGGCCCCACCCCAGGCCCCCGCCTCATAACGCTCATCCTGGCCCCGCCCTAGAGCCGCTCCCACGACTCTCATCCTAAGCCTACCCCCAGGCCCCGCCCCCTCTCTGCCCCCGCGCACTGCCCTGGGCCCGCCCCCTTTTCAGTCCAGGCTCGGCTTCCGCCCGGTCTCCCGGCAACGCTGCGGCCCCGCCCCCGTCATGGTGCCCGAGGAGAACGCGGGGACCGAACTCTTGCTGCAGAGTTTCGAGCGCCGCTTCCTGGCGGCGCGCGCACTGCGTTCCTTCCCCTGGCAGGTGGGCGGCGGGGCGAGCGGAGAGGCCCGCGGGGCTCGCGGGAGTCCAGGGGCAGACGGG
The DNA here is from genome assembly GCF_000001405.40 of Homo sapiens. Lineage (NCBI taxonomy): Eukaryota > Metazoa > Chordata > Mammalia > Primates > Hominidae > Homo > Homo sapiens. The sequence goes on along the minus strand of NC_000011.10, from coordinate 3,422,340 downwards.
ATGGGTCTCCGTGCTGAAGCCTCCAGCGCTCCCGCCACGTGAATGCCTGGGCTCCCGCCGGTCAGGTCCGCGCGACCCGGTCCCCGTCCCTGGGGCCTGGCCAGAGTTGCTCGCACCCCTCCTGCCCCGCGAGCTGGCGGGAGAAGCTGGGGGCCTCTCCACCGTCTTGGGGGGCAGACGCGCACTCGTTGTGGGGTACAGTTCACGATCATTTTCACGACTTTTTAAAGACAGTAACCGTTCTGGTCACTGGGACAGAGCTGCCCTCGCCCATTCTAAAAAGTCAGCGCCCTCAGGACCACGGGTAACCACGTCCTCCTGAGCGCAGTGACCAGGTCACAGGCTGTCTCTCCTGCCTCAGTGTTCTCGTCTGTATGTCGAGCACTGCACAGAATCGGCTCATGCTCTGAGGTTCTCACGCCTGTGATGGAAGAGACAGAGAAGGGGGTGGCCTCTCGTCTCCCTGGGGACCTGCCATTCTCAGCACAGGCGCATGGCAGGCAGCAGCCTCCCTTCTGCCAGTAGAGGGGCTTAATGCACCCGGCCCCATTTGTAATTCATGTGCGGTGAGCTCACTGGGATGAGTGAGTTTGGATATATATTCCTCCCTGGGTCTGCCCCATTTTATGGGGTGTTGCTTAATCATTTGCGTTATTCCATTGATATGAAATATTTGCACTCAGAGATCATTTCCGGTCAGGAGAAATTTGTGCACTTTTAACCCAAAATAGAAACCTTCATAAAAGCATCATAGGTCTCCATTCAATATTGACTATAATTGTTCACATGCCCACGCTGAATGCTAACTTGGGCTCACCCTCAACACCCACGAGGTGGGTACTATTATTACCACTCACATTTGACCAGAGGGATTGTTTGATTAGGGTGCAGTAGTTGAGAGTTCAGACCCAGGAGACAGCCTGCCTGCTTCGAAACCTGGCCCAACCCCTGGCCCTGTGTGACCTTGGGCAAGTGACTGCATCTCTCTGTGCTGTTGTTTTCTTATTAATAAAATGGGGGATAGAATGATACCTACCTCTTAGGGTTGTTGTCAGGGTTGAGTACAAAAGCCTGTGGATCAGTGCCTGGCTCATGGTAAATGCATGTCAGTGTTAGATAGTGTTTTTATTCAGTCTCAAAATGTTTAATAAATGCCTTCTATGAGCCAGACACCATGGATCAGCAGTACCCGTGACAGATGAGGGTCTGCTTGCATGGGAGAGCCAGAGAATAAACAAAGAAATGAAGAAACAAGAAAAGACCAGATGAGAGTGGCTTTAAAGCCAATAAAACAGGGAAATGGTGAATGGAGCAACTGGGGAGAAGAGTCACCAAAGTCGGGGAATCAGGGAAGCCTTCCCCAAAGAGGTGGCATTTGAACTGGGGCCTGAGTGGTGAAGCAGCCAGCCATGGGAAGGGCTTGGGGGAACAGGATATGCACAGGTCCTGTGGTGGAAACAAGCCAGCTGTGGTTGAGGAACAACAGCAAGGCAGCCAGTGTGGCTGGAGTGGAGTGAGCAGGGTTGGCCAGGGGTGAGGGAGAACAGGCCAGAGAGAGGGATTAGGACCAGGTCTTGTAGGGCCTTTTACGGCAATGGAAGGAGCTCTGAAGCAATGAAGTGCCTTGCCCTGTGTCACATACCAGCCGAGACAGTCTACCTAATTCGGGAGCCAAAGTTCGCTGCTGGGCTTGAGGCCCCTGTAAAAGGACAATGTAACCCAGGCTGGTATGGGCACATTCTGCATTTCCACTTAGATGGCAAGCCCATCAAACCTTGGTGCCATGGCTGCCCTGGTAACCAGTGCAATCCTGGCTGACCAGTGCAACCAGGGAGCTGGCCCATGACCCAGGTGGCCTCTAAGTAGCCAGGACTAATGCGGCCAAGAGTCAGTCTTCTAGCCTTCTTCCTGTGACTCATCCAGGTGCACCCTGCGACATCTGAAGGTCAGGCTTTCAGCTGCTGTGGCTTCCACTTCCAACTGGCTCCACGTCCCCAGGGAGAGATCACACAGCGCTTTGCCAACACATTCTATTGCGTGTTTAATGTTCCTGTGAAAGCGCCCTTGAGATTTCTCTCTCTCCCCTCCACACAGAGCTTAGAAGCAAAGTTAAGAGACTCATCAGATTCTGAGCTTCTGCGGGATATTTTGCAGAATCCCAGATATTTGTAAGAATCCCAGAGTCCCTGGGACTCATGACCCTGCCTCCTGAATCTCTCCGGAAGACCTGAGAGAAGAACCACAGGTGTGCTTGTACCCTTTAAAAACACACCTGTTCAAAGAACATTGAACATTGAGTCAGCACTGCAGGTGGGTGTCGGCACCTCCGACAGCTCCAGCTCTTTCATTTTCTATCTAAGACTTAGACAAAGACATCAGAATATACAAAAATCTGCATGAGAGGGGGGAATCTAGGGAAAGTTTTTTAAACCATCTACAGCAAAAACAGAGATGACAGGTGCAAAACAGCTTCTAGCATTTGGTAGATGCTCAGAGACTTTCTTTTTTGCATTCATGAGACCTGTCCTGCCCACTCCTGTCTCTTCTAGACCTAAATGGGCCCTTACTTTGCCCAGGGTGGGGTTTGGACTCAAGAGCATCTGCATGCAGGTGAGAGGCAGGATCACCACCCCGCCCAGCCACAGCCTGACTTTGGCCTTGAGGGCCAAGTGCAGATCACCCTGCATCCTGGGTCTTCACCTTTGAAGGGCCATGAGCCCTTCTGAAAAGACAAAGCAATAGACTCCCTCCCAGAGAGAAGTGCACCAGAAGAATACATTTTCCATACAAACTCTGGAGGCAGACATCCTCCACCTCCACCCAGCCAGCCCATCCTAGGGGCCCCGGTGAAGAATTCTTGTGCTAGAGGTGAACCAAGATTATCCATGTGGAAAAGATGCAGCCACAGGAGGGAAGACTTTCGGGGCAATGCAGTAGGTCAGGGCTTCGAGCATGGAGATACCTGAAGTTATCTCGCACCCTGCTCTGAGTTTCACCCTGAGCCTCACTCTCGTAGGTGGTGAAGCATGAAATGTAGGGATAGCTGCTTTAAAACCCAGCACAAGGCTGGGTGCACTGGCTCACACCTGTAATCCCAGGACTTTGGGAAGCTGAAGTGGACGTATCCCCTAAGGTCAGGAGTTCAAGACCGGCCTGGCCAACATGGCAAAAACCCACCTCTACTAAAAATACAAAAATTAGCTGGGCATGGTGGTGCACGCCTATAGTCCCAGCTACTTGGGAGGCTGAGGCAGGAGAATCGCTTGAACCCAGGAGGCAGAGGCTGCGGTGAGCCAAGATTGGGCCACTGCACTCCAGCCTGGGCAACAGAGCGAGACTGTGTGTCAGAAAAAATGAAAAACCAGCACCAGCCTGAAGAGCCTGTGTATTGCGTGGGGTACTTTGCTGCCCTTGGGCAGAATCTGCATCCCTCCCAGCCAGCAGGCACTGCGGACCGTCTCCTCCCTCTCCCTCCAGGCTCCTGTTTTCCCACCGCCCCCCTCCTGCTGCAGCAGTCCCTCTGCCCTCCGTTCCAAGTGCCAGGCCGCGGCCACCTCAGAGCTTGCACCAGCTGTTGCCACTGCCTGGAACTTGCTCGTCCTGCACTCGGCTTCTCTCGACTTTAGCTGGAGTGTCACCCTGAGCGTCCCCTCCCCTCCATCCTGTCCCCAGGGACACACACTCCAAGAGAGCAGTTGCCAAGTGGGCCTTCCCGCCTCTTCCATAGAGCCAGACAGTTGGCGACTGTCCTTACTGCAAACCCTGGTTCACACTGGCACCCCTGGGAGGGAGGTGGTTTGGGCCCACGTGCCCTGTGTTCCTGCTCAGAATGGGCATTAGAAATGCTGCCATAGCCTGTGCCACTGCAGTGGAAGCATTTTTAGGAAACGGTTTATATCTTAAGACAAACTTCAGATGCATGGGGCCAGAACGCTGTGTCCATCTACATCTTTGCTGAGGGATCGGGTAGCCTGGAGTTTGCCCTCTGCTGTGTTGGCTTGAAGCTCATAGGGGACTTAAGACGGGCTCTCGAGCAACCAACGTTCTGTCCTTTGCCGTAGACTGTGAAGCATCCTGTGTGTGTGAAGCACCGGCTGTCAGTCAAGTATGCCCGGTGCTTTCTCTCAGAACTCACCAAAAAGGTCCGTTATGGGGAGTGTCCGCCCAGTAGCCAGACAGCATAGCCACCTGCGTGCTGGAGCCCCTGTCCTTCCCAGGCCCTGGGCCTGCTTTGCAAACAGCAGCATGACAGGGGCCTCCCCAGGCAACTGGCTGCAGCCACGTGTGACCCATGGGAGACAGTGCAGGGCAGGAAGAAGGGGAGGCCAGTGTCTCTCCCTCACTCTGCCTCCTGGGGTTTCCACAGCAGCTGCTTCTCTGGGGCCCCAGCTCCTAGCATATGGATTCTCATTCCTACCAGGCTGGTCCAGCCCACAGCACTGGAACCCTCACCCACACCCTCTGTCCTGCCCGCCGAAGGGTTTGGAGTTTCCTGCTCTTGTCTGTCTCTGGGTTGCCCCATGGGCCCCTGTTGGAAGGTTTAGCTCTTGCCATACCTTTGGAACTAGTTCCTCTGGTGAATTCTCTGCATTGATCCTGCTGGAATGAGCTCTTTCCTGACTGATGCAGGATGGATTTTATTTTTTACTTATTTTTTTGAGACAGAGTCTCACTGTGTTGCCCAGGCTGGATTACCGTGGCACAGTCTCGGCTCCCTGAAACCTCTGCCTCCTGGGTTCAAGCAACTCTCGTGCCTAGCCTCCTAAGAAGCTGGGACTACAGGCACATGCCACCATGCCTGGCTAATTTTTGTATTTTTGGTAGAGACAGAGTTTCACCATGTTGGCCAGGCTGATCTCGAACTCCTGACCTCAGGTGATCCACCTGCCTCGGCCTCCCAATGTGCTGGGATTACAGGCATGAGCCACCGCACCTGGCCTAGGATGGATTTTAAAGATGGGCCCGAAAGTGCAGGGTTTGACATAAGGATGTCGAGAGGCCATTCCTCAGTAGGCAGTAGCAGACCTATCTTAGTGAAAGGGCCACACTTTTAGCAAGTAAACAATCCCCTGCTTCTCCAATACCTGCTTTCTCCCTAATCCTCCCCAAAAGGGTGCATCTGTGGTCACCAGCAGGTCTGCCCTGTGCCACCAGGAGAGGGCAGCAGTCACCCAGTGTATATTGTTGCTGCCCTGTGAATCTTAAGATGGGGCCAGCCATGGAGAAGCAGCCTGCTGACAGCCACAGCCTGCAGCATGGGCCGCCCTCACAGTTCTGCCTGGGCTCACTTAAAAGCACCTTTTGTTTTCCTCCTCTCTGTCATGGTCATGTGGCAGCTCTCACGGAATCCTTGTCTCCTGCCCTAGACTACACCTAACCCTACCCTCTCAACACCTCTCGTTGAAGGCCCTCCCATCCAGGTTTCCCTACCAAGTGAATTTTTTTTTTAGAGACAAGGTCTCTTGCCCAGGCTGTCCTCGAACTCCTGGGCTCAAGCAGTCCTCCCATGTCAGCCTCTAGAGTAGCTGGGACTATTCGGCACACACCACCATGCCCAATGAAGTGAATATTTTACATGCCAGCTGGCTGGTATTACACCATTCCATCCCAAATCTCCCCTCCAAACTTGGTGAAAATCATCTGACCATTTTTACAGATTAGAACGAAAGCAAACAAGCTCTCACTCTGTCTGACCCCAGCACGAGGCTGTCCACACAGAGCTTTTGGACAAGCTGTACGAGGACCTGGCAGAGACCCTGATGGCCAAGGAGTCCACCCAGGGCCACCCGAGCTATTTGCTGGTATGAGAAGGGCACCCTCCTCCCCCTCACAGCCCAGATACCCTTCCTGCACAAAGTGAAAACGTGGGTGTGGGTTCAAATCCTGACTCACCCATTCTGCAGTCTTAGACATGAGGTCCGTCAACCTTCTTTAGCCTCAGTTTCCCTGTCTGTAAATCAAGCACTTCAACAACAACAGCATGTCTCATGGGGTTGTTGGGCATTTGTCCAATAGGTGACACACTCTACCTGCTTCACAAGGACCTGGTGTCCAGTCCTCAAAGAATACTTGACAGGTCCTGGTGTGGTGGTTCACACCTGTAATCCCAGCACTTTGGGAGGCTGAGGTGGGTGGATCCGAGGTCAGGAGTTCAAGAGCAGCCTGGCCAATATGGTGAAACCCTGTCTCTACTAAAAATACAAAAATCAGGCCGGGCGTGGTGGCTCATGCCTGTAATCCCAGCACTTTGGGAGGCTGAGGCAGGTGGATGACCTGAGGTCAGGAGTTTGAGACCAGCCTGGCCAACATGGTGAAACTCTGTCTTTACTAAAAATACAAAAATTAGCGGGTGTGGTAGTAGGTGCCTCTAATCCCAGCTACTCGGGAGGCTGAGGCAGGAGAATCTCTTGAACCCAGGAGGTGGAGGTTGTAGTGAGCCAAGATCACGCCATTGCACTCCTGCCTGGGCAACGAGAGGGAAACTCTGTCTCAAAAAAAAGTGGAAAAATTAGCCACACATGGTGGCACATGCCTGTAGTTGCACCTACTTGGGCAGCTGAGGCAGGAGAATTGCTTGAACCCAGGAGGCAGAGGTTGCAGTGAGCCAAGATTGTGCCACTGACTCCAGCCTGGGTGACAGAGCTCAAAAGAAAATAAGATAAAACATAGATACAGAAAACCACAAAGGAAAAACATAGCATATTGAATCATCACAAGGCAGCCACCCCTTCATAGCCACACCTGGCCCCTGGCCACCACTGACCTGTGCTCCATCACCAGAATTCCGTTGTCTCAGGAATGTTCGATGAATGGAATCCTGTGTGGCCTGAGATGAGTGTCTTTCATGCCACGTGACACCCTTGAGGCCCGTGCAAGCTGTTGGCATGTCAACAGTTAGCTGCTTCTCATTGCTGAGTGGCGATTGGTCCTGTCATGGTTTATTCAGCCATGTGGTGGATGGCTACTTGTCTTCTAAGCCACTTGCCTTCTGATTGCTGGACTGACTCTCTCGCCCTCTCTTGGTGCAGCCCTCGGGAGGCTCAGTCACACTCTCCGAGAGCACAGCCATCATCTCCCATGGCATCACAGGCCTGGTCACATGAGATGCTGCCCTCTACCTGGCAGAATGGGCCATCGAGAACCCGGCAGCCTTCTCTCATAGGTGACCTCGGGGCGCACGGCAGGACACCGAGGCAGGCTCACCCTGGTGCAGTTACAGACATGGTCCCCTTTCCTCCCGCCAGGACTGTCCTAGAGCTTGGCAGTGGCGCCAGCCTCACAGGCCTGGCCATCTGCAAGATGTGCCGCCTCCAGGCATACATCTTCAGCGACTGTCACAGCCAGGTCCTCGAGAAGCTCCGAGGGAATGTCCTTCTCAATGGCCTCTCATTAGAGGCAGACATCTCTGCCAACTTAGACAGCCCCAGGGTGACAGTGGCCCAGCTGGACTGGGACGTCGCGACGGTCCATCAGCTCTCTGCCATCCAGCCAGATGTTGTCATTGCAGCAGGCAATGCCCAGCCCCGGGCACTCTGTGCAGGCGGTGTCCTTGCAGCTCTACCCAGCTCTGGGCTCTGGGAAAAGGGAACAATGGACGCTGTCGGGCATGGACATGATGGGGCTTCCAGAAGAGTTACTCTGGGCCTCCAGGGTGACATCAAAGGACAGGGGTGCCTCTTAAGGTGACCTTCCAGCCACAGCCCTCTTGTTGGAGACAGGCATACTCCCATTACAGTCATCACCACATGGCTCTGTCCCAGAGCCATGCCTCTGTCTTTCAGAGACCACAGGAGGAAAACAACCACTTCTGGGATGAGGACAGGGCCCTTGAGAGAAGGTGGTGTTTGGCTGGGCCACCGAAAACCCCTCGCCCCTGCCAGCACACTCGGTCTCCTCTCTGGTTGAACAGAGCTCTGCCTGTGGTCCTGGGTCCCAGCCCTGAAACCCACAGGTCCAGCGGTGGCCAGGGACACAGGCCCACCCCTGCAAGCCAGCAGACAAATCGGCAGACACCTGAAACACGAAGTTCATGGCAGGGTCAGGCTTTGTGTCATTCACAGCCCTCTAGATAGGCCGAGAACCAGAGCTCATTTTTTAAGGAACACCAGTGAGTCTGGAGATTTTTTTCTTTTGCTTCGGTCTTTTGCAGCTTTCTCTACTAAGGGTTCTCCTTTTTCACCCAAGCAATTGCCTTTCCATCTAATGGCCCAAATGGTCAAATGGCATCTACTAGTCTCATATGACTGCTGCCTCTCTGGCCTCGCCCTGCTGCTGAGGTCAGCATGACCTGGAACTGTCCGCTGGTCCCTTTCAGTAACCTGAAGCTTTCACCGTAGACGTGCTGTATTGCCCAGAATCCATCGTGTCGCTGGTCGCGGTCCTGCGGAGGCTGGCTGCCTACCGGGAGCACCAGCGGGCTCCTCAAGTCTACGTGGCCCTTATCGTCCGCAACCCAGAGACGTGCCAGCTGTTCACCACCGAGCTATGTGAGCCCACACGCCCACCCGGGCCTGCATGGTCCCCGAGCTGTCCCTGCGGGACTCCAGTGGAAGTGAAAGAACTGGGGGCCGAGGAAAAGCTAGGATGCCCCACACTCCCACACCATGCGGGGAACTAGGGCAGAGGCCGGTGAGCAGGGTGGGCCTGGGGCGTGGGAGCTTGCGGCAGGAGGAGGGCAGCTCAGCACAGGGAGGGAGGATCTGAGCCCAGCAGCCCTACTGTGTGCTTCAGAGCAGGGTTCCCTAAGCCCTTGGGCGTCGGTTTCCTCATCTATAAAATGGAGGTGGTGGGAGGGGCAGTCGGGGTCAGGGCTGGACACAGCTGTGGCCTGCAGGACGCTGGAGCACAGGCTGTACAGGCGGATCCACCACGCCACTGTCCTGAGCACCCAGTTGATGGAAGACGAGCAGGGTGACTATAGAGAAGGGGAATTGTCCCCGTAGTGGGCCAGCCACTGTCCTCAGACCTGACATTTGTCAGCCCCCAGCACCTGTGAGAGTGTGCTATCATTGTCCCATCTCACCGACAAAGACACTAGGACACACAGAGGCCAAGCAACCCCTGAGCTCCCACAGACTGCAGCTCGGCCACCTGGCTCTCGTGCCTCCACACTACACCCAAGCCCCCCATTGCCACCAGCCTTTGCCCCAGATCACCCTGAGCACAGCCCCTCCTGGCAGCCATGTGCACAGATGCACGCGCAGCAGCCTCTGCCTGCACACAGAGACGTGGGTCCAATGCCTGTCCACGTGGGGCAGCGCGTTAACTACAGAGCCAACAAACAAGCCAGCACACGAAGGCATACTGGGTTCCACGACAAAGTCCTGCACAACCTCGCACAGGAGGCTGGCCGGGCGCGGGGCTCAGGCCTGTCAACCCAGCACTTTAGGAGGCTAAGGCAGGGGGACTTCTTGACACCACGATTTCAAGACCAACCTGGGCAACATAGTGGGACCCCATCTCCACAAAACATTCAGAAACTAGCCGGGCATGGTTGCGCACACCTGTAGTCCCAGCTACTCGGGAGGCTGAGGTGGGAGGATAGCTTGAGCCCAGGAGGTGGAGGCTGCAGTGAGCCCTGATCTCACCACTGCACTCTAGCCTGGGCAACAGAGCAAGACCCTGTCTCAAAAAGGCAAAAAAAAAAAAAAAAAAAGGAAGTCTTTCTTCAGATACTTATGTGAAAAAATAACTGCAATATCTTTGAAGTGAAAAAAACAGTGCCAAGCAGAACACATAGTATAAGCCCCCACCCACCTTTTTTTTTTTTTTTTTTTTTTTTTTTTTTGGAGACAGTCTGGCTTTGTATTGCCCAGGCTGGAGTGCAGTGGTGCCACGGCCCACTGCAACCTCCCACCTCCCAGGTTCAAGCTATCCTCCCATCTCAGCCTCCTGAGTAGCTGGGACTACAGGTGCGTGCTACCACACCTGGCTAATGTTTGTATTTTTTGTAGAGTCGAGGTGTCGCCATGTTGGCCAGGCTGGTCTTGAACTCCTGACCTCAAGCGATCTGCTGCCTCAGCCTCCCAAAGTGTTAGGATTACAGGCGTGAGCTACTGCGCCCAGCCCCATTTTTGTTTAAAAAATAATAATAATCACCCACACATGTTTATGAGTACCTATATTCCCAACTACTCAGGAGGCTGAGGCAGGAGGATGGCTTAAGCCCAGGAGTTTGTGGCCCCCTTGAGCAACATAGCAAGACTTCATCTCAAAAAAAAAGTATCACAATAATCATTTTCACATAAGTATACCTATTGGGGAAAACCTAGAATATATATGTAGCAGGCTCGTCCAATCTGTGGCCCAACACAAATCTGTAAACTTTCTTAAAACAGTACGAGGTTTTTTTGTGATTTTTTTTTCTTTTAGCTCATCAGCTATTGCGAGCATTAGTGTATTTTATGTGTGGCCCAAGGCGATTCTTCTTCTTCCAATGTGGTGCAGGGAGGCCAAAAGATTGGACATCCCTGATATACACATTAACAGGTGCCATCCTTGGATGGCAGGATTATAGAGACTTCTACACGTTCATGTCTGTACTACTTTATTTTTATAAATACACATTTTCCACTCGTAACAAAAAACTGTGATTGAAAATCATCCCGTGTCACAGTGTCTCACGCCTGTAATCCCAACACTGTAAGAGGCAGAGGATTTGGGAGGCTGAGGTGAGCGGATCACTTGAGGTCAAGAGTTCAAGACCAGCCTGGCCAACACGGTGAAACCCCATCTCTACTAAAAACACAAAAATTAGCCACGCGTGGCGGTGCACGCCTATAATCCCAGCTACTCGGGAGACTGAGGCAGGAGAATCACTTGAACCTGGGATGCATTGCAGTGAGCTGAGATTGCACCACTGCACTCCAGCCTTGGGAACAGAGTAAAACTCTGTCTAAAAAAAAAATAATAAAAGAGTCTGAGGCAGGAGCATCACTTGAGGCCATGCATTCAGGACCCCATCTCTACAAAATAAAAAAATTACTAGCATGGTGGCATGCACCTGTCATCCCAGCTACTCAGGAAGTGGGAGGATTGCTAGAGCCCAGGAGTCGAGGCTGTAGTGAGCAATGACTGTGCCACTGCACTCCAGCCTGAGTGACAGAACAAGATCGTATCTCAAAAAAAAAAAAAAAAAGAAAAGAATCATTCTGGCTAACGGCTCTTCAGACATCTGTGCTTATGAGAACACCAGCCCCTTCTAAGCTGTGTGTGTGTGTGTGTGTGTGTGTGTGTGTGTGTGTGTGTGATTTTGTTTTTTTTTTTTGAGATGGAGTCTCACTCTGTCACTCAGGCTCGAGTGCAGTGGCGCAATCTCTGCTCACTGCAACCTCTGCCTCCTGGGTTCAAGCAATTCTCCTGCCTCAGCCTCCCAAGTAGCTGGGATTACAGGCACCCGCCATTGTGCCTGCCTAATTTTTGTATTTTTGTAGAGATGGGGTTTCACCATGTTGGCCAGGCTGGTCTCGAACTCCTGATCTCAAGTGATCCACCCGCCTTGGCCGGCCTCCCAAAGTGTTGGGATTACAGGCGTGAACCACTGTGCCTGGCCGCTTTCTAAGCTTTGTGAAGAGTGAGTTGACTGAGCAGCCAGGTAAGTGTGGGTTCAGATCTCTGCGTCTGTCCCGCTGTGCCAAGTGCTGGGCAGACGCGGGCAGAGACTGGACAGCGGCACGGTGCCTGCTGCTAGCCATTTCTATGCAAAACCAGATTTCTGGTCCCATCCTGGAGGCCAATTCTAGGCACCTGGGTGGGCCTGAGAACCTGTGAACCAAGTAAACTGACTTGTACACGCCCCCACCCCGCCAGGCCTGTCCTAGCAGCCCCACACAATACGCTCATGTCCTGTCCCCAAACACTGCCATCTTCAAACACATGTCCTCTGTTTCCAGGCCGGGCCGGGATCAGATGGGAAGTGGAACCTCGTCATGACCAGAAACTGTTTCCCTACGAAGAGCACTTGGAGATGGCAATGCTGAACCTCACACTGTAGGACTCACACACGACTCCAACGGGATTGTGAGAATCAAGTCACTCTCGTGGGAAGAGTTTTTATATGGGAAAGCGGATAAAACTTTCATTGGACTGGAATGTTTGGAGAATGTTAATTTCCAAATCAGGAACCACAAACTGCCCTCTGATAAGACATCGGCTATCTAAGCTTGTGGGTGCTCCCTTTCTGCCAGCAGTTCTGGTTCTTAAGAAAATCGCCATCAATCAGACATGAAAACTCTGGCTCCAAAAATAGCATTTTCTTTGTGCAAATAAAAACGTGTGTATCAAGTATGATGTTCCCCCCAACGTGGACACACTCGGTTCCTCACAAAGCCAAGCCCGCTGCAGCTGCCACATCTGTGGACACACTCGGTTCCTCACAAAGCCAAGCCCGCTGCAGCTGCCACATCGGTGGACACACTCGGTTCCTCACAAAGCCAAGCCCGCTGCAGCTGCCACATCCCTGGACACACTCGGTTCCTCACAAAGCCAAGCCCACTGCAGCTGCCACATCCCTGGACACACTCGGTTCCTCACAAAGCCAAGCCCGCTGCAGCTGCCACATCGGTGGACACACTCGGTTCTTCACAAAGCCAAGCCCGCTGCAGCTGCCACATCGGTGGACACACTCGATTCCTCACAAAGCCAAGCCCACTGCAGCTGCCACATCCCTGGACACACTCGGTTCTTCACAAAGCCAAGCCCGCTGCAGCTGCCACATCCCTGGACACACTCGGTTCTTCACAAAGCCAAGCCCGCTGCAGCTGCCACATCCCTGGACACACTCGGTTCCTCACAAAGCCAAGCCCGCTGCAGCTGCCACATCCCTGGACACACTCGGTTCCTCACAAAGCCAAGCCCGCTGCAGCTGCCACATCGGTGGACACACTCGGTTCTTCACAAAGCCAAGCCCGCTGCAGCTGTCACATCGGTGGACACACTCGGTTCTTCACAAAGCCAAGCCCGCTGCAGCTGCCACATCGGTGGACACACTCGATTCCTCACAAAGCCAAGCCCACTGCAGCTGCCACATCCCTGGACACACTCGGTTCTTCACAAAGCCAAGCCCGCTGCAGCTGCCACATCCCTGGACACACTCGGTTCTTCACAAAGCCAAGCCCGCTGCAGCTGCCACATCCCTGGGCTTATGGTGCAGCAGGTGCTTTTTTCAAGACAGGAATCAAAATGTTAGGAACACGGCAGAAAGGTGACACCTGGAGACCAAACGCAGGATGAGGAGTACTGCAGAGGTCACAGGGAAGTCACAGAACAGTAATACGCTAGCAGGGGCATGGGGCGTGAAGAACAGAAGAAGAGAGGAAGTGTTTCCGAGCCTCCAGAAAAGAAATCAGAGCCAAGCACAGCTTCCCGGGTCACAGAACCAATTCATTCACCAGGTGGCACTACTGCCATCATTTCAGCTTCTGGCCACTGGGAGGCGCTGCTCGAAAGGATTTGCCCTGAGACTCTGAGAAGAAGCTGTGGGAAGGACAGCAGGGGTCCCGGGGTTTTAGCCTCTGGCCCAGGAGTTATGTGTCCATAACCAAAGGGAGCACAGTCTGCACCCAGCTCTAATCCCATCGGAGCTGCTGCGACTCCCGCAGGTTCTTCCGGAACTGGTTTAGCTTGCCCGCAGGATCAGGAAAGTTTGAGAAAAGCACCTGCAAAAAAATAAAGAGCAGAGCTTACCTCATTGCCTGTCCCCACCCCATCCCATGTCACCACCTGGCTGACCCCAGGTCCCCTACCCAACAACAACCCCTCCCAAGTTCCTAACTCCCTCACTTGGACTCGAGACTCTTCATGCCCCAGCAGCGCTCTGCCTCCAACTTGACATCATGCTTTCTGGAAACTTCCCCGTATGTCCCACTTTCCCACACTTGGTGCCCTGGAGCACCTCCTGGCCTCTACATGCTGTATGTTCCCCTGCGAGCACCCTCCTCTTGGCCTCCGGCCAAGTCCCACCCATCTGTGGGTAACAAGGGGGTGTCGGTGTTCTTTTCAGCCTTGCTAAACTGTCTGAATCAAGGATCACAAACTACAGCCTGCAGGCCAAATCCAGCCCACAGCCTGTGTTTGTAAATAAAGTTTTATTCGAACAAAGCCACACCCCTTAATCGACAGATGATCTGTGGCTACTTTCACACCACAACAGAGTACCATGGTTCTGACAGAGACTGGGGGACCCAGTCTAAATGACTTCTGACCTGGACCTTTACTGAAAATCCTGCCAATCATTCTGTTGGCAAGAATGATGTATTACTTTTAGCAATAAGAAACAAGTAACCTTTGCAGAATTCCACCCATCTTTCAAGGCTGGTCCCAGAAGCTCCCTTTGCCCACGCACCTACCTGACCCTGATCACTTCCTAAACTGCAGCCCGGCCCACCCGGCTCCAGCATCATTTGTGGAATGTCAGCTCCATAAATCCAGAGGGCAGGTGGGGGTGTGTCCTAACTTTCCCGAGCTTACTGTACCGAAACGGGACAGCAGAGTGGGCCGGACTCTGTGACCTCTGCTCCCTCCCTAGCTTTTCCGCCAGACCCCACATGGTCCCACCCTGGCTGTGGGAAGCAGGGATCAGGGAGCGTGGCTCGGTGCCAGCCTCCAGAACCCTCCCCACCCTGGCGTGGTGGCAGATGTGGCTACCTGCAGCTGAGCTGCCAGTTCCTCTGAGTCCTCAAAGACCAGGCCATTTTCTTCATGTTTCACCAGCTCATGTAAACTGCAGAGAGAACCAAGGGAGCCTGAGAGCTGCCTGGAGAAGACACCAGACCCCTGGGGTGCCCACCTGGGCTCCCCCCAACAACCCATGCTCAAGCCAGGCTGGGGGTTGGAACAGGGGGTGTGGTTTCTGGGAGCTGGTTCTTAGATTTGGCATCTGAAGGGTATAAAGGCCTGGGGGGGTGCACATCGAAATGGCCAAACCGATTTGAGGAGGGAGCCTTAAGGAGGGTTTCTACCTTCTGTGCTGGATGCTCTTCAAGGACTGAAGAATTATTTTTGCATGTTTTGCTTAATTCCATGGCCATGGAACAAGTAAAGGCAACACCCTGGGGACTGGCTCAGCACATAAAAGATGACTTTTCTAGGGCACCAGGTTTGATCCCGACATTCCCTGAGCTCAGCTCACACGAGGGGCTCACATCCCTGACTCCCATCCAGGAGCCGGCTCCTGAGCAGGGGCCAAGGGCTCAGCTTGTGCTGGGGCTACTGCTTCTAGAATCTCCTCTAACACCGCCCTTCCAAATGCCCGTCTACGCTGGGTGCAGTGAGGCCACAGCACGACACTCATTTAACTCATTCAAACCCAGCACGTGAGCTTGGCCAAACAGGACATGGTGGGAGAGAAAGAAACAAAGAAAACCATGTAAGCCTGCAGGCAATTCCCGCCAATTCTACTCTAGGAGCAAAAGCCCCGAGTGGAGTTCCAGTATTTAAGATGCTTTTTTTTCATATTAGGTTGGTGCAAAAGTAATTGCCATCTTTAATGGCAAAAACCGTGATTACTTTTGTATCAACCTAAATATAACATGAGCTCTAAATGGAAGCAACTACTTCAGTGAGGCTCAGCCCAGACACAGTAACCGCAGGGCTCCTCCTCGTGGCCTCCAGTGTGTGCTGGACTGACCCAGGAGCAGGGCCTCACTGTGGGCAGCTCGCTCTGCACTGTTTCCTCCTCAGCGGTGGATCTGTGAAGCTATCCCCAGAAAGATTCGGGTTCTGCTCCTGCCACTTGAAGTTCACGGCACACACAGGCAAACAGCACCCGAACATGTCCACCACCTTCATGGGCAGGTCCAGGCCACTGCAGGACGTGTGCAGACAGACACCCAGATCCACCGACCCTGCTGGGCAAGAGGGGTGCGGTCAGAGCGCTGGTCTCTGCCCTGGGAACACAAATCCTCCCAGCACAGTGAGGCAACATCCCCCGAGGGGAGTGAAAATCGGATAAGTCCCCCGACAGCCCCAAGCACAAGTGGCTTAAGCTGGCCAAGCAGCCACATGGCCTGGCTGGGACATCTGAAAATGTAAGTTGACACTTTTTCTACGTAACCACAATTTGGTTTTTTTGTTGTTGTTTTGTTTTGTTTTGAGACAGAGTCTCACTCCGTCACCCAGGCTGGAGTGCAGTGGCACAATCTCAGCTCACTGCAACCTCCACCTCCCAGGTTCACCTCCCGCATGTAAGCCCAGCATTTTGTGAGGCCAAGGTGGGTGGAACACCTGAGGTCAGGAGTTCAAGACCAGCCTGGCCAACATGGTGAAACCCCATCTCTACTAAAAAAAATACAAAATTAGCGAAGCATCGTGGCAGGTGCCTGTAATCCCAGCTACTCAGGAGGCTGAGGCAGGAGAATTGCTTGAACCTGGGAAGGCGGAGGTTGCAGTGAGCCAAGATCGTGCCATTGCACCCCAGCCTGGGCTACAAGAGCGAAACTCTGTCTCAAAATAATAATAATAATAATAATAATAATAATAAAAAACCACAGCACACCCACTACAAACCAGCTGTCAGTGTGAAAATAAAGTGAAACAGCTTAACATTTCTAAAGACTAGCTGGGGCCAGGCGTGATGGGTCACGCCTGGAATCCCAGCACTTAGGGAGGCCAAGGCAGGAGGATCACTTGAAGTCAGGAGTTCAAGACCAGCCTGGCCAACACGGTGAAACCCTGTTTCTACTAAAAATACAAAAATAAACCAGGTGTTGTGGCGGGCTCCTGTAATCCCGTAATCTACTCGGGAGGCTGAGGTGGGAGAATCGCTTGAACCCAGGAGGCGGAGGTTGCATGAACTGAGATCGTGCACTCCAGCCTAGGCAACGGAGCGAGACTGTCTAAAACAAAGACTAACTGGAGAGTCCTGCCAGGAAAAGGCCCTCAGCCTCCAACTGCTCTGCTCACTCGAAGCTGGAAGATGTGGCTCTAGAGACGCATCAGGACCAAGCCACGACTCCCCACTTGGAGAAGTCAACGGGGAAAGAGACGGAGGCAAAGGAGAACCATCTCACTGGGAGAGGCGACGCTGTTTCACACATCGTCCCTGTACCTCCCAAAGCCACTGCCCTCCCACACCTGGGCAACAGTGGCCCCAACCCCAGGCCCAGCCCTCCTGCAGGAAGGAAGAGGACTGAATGGAGGGCGCGGAAGGCTGAAAGGACGTGGCCTCCTCAAACCCCTTGGTAAAGGGCCTCTGGGGCCACCTGGCAGGGAGGGGCTGGCACACCAGGAAGTAGCCTCCTCCCGGGAGTTCAGCCAGAGCCCAGGTCCTGTCCCCAAGTGGCCTCCAGAGCCACATTTTCAGAAAAAGTACATCCCGCCCACCCCTGTTCCCCCTGCTTAAGGCCCCGCCTCCTCCCTGAGCCTCCTGCTGGCCTCTCACCTAGAAGCGGGGGTAGTCCTCGGCCTCCAGCCAAGGGGTGCAGACCTGGATGTGCTGGAAATGCTTCTGGTGGATGAGGCGGCTGTAATACTCCCTCGGAGGCCCTTTGCCTTCACAGAGAAGAGCAGATACTGCCATGGACTCGTCTCTGTCCCTGCCAATTGGCCTCAGGCCCAAGACACTCCCCCCGAGGAGGGATCCCTTTCCCAGAAGCTCCACCCCTCGGCCGCTCCAGTCAGGTCCCATCCAGGCCCTTCCAGAAGCAACGCAGGAGCCCCTAGACCTGCAGGGGTGTGTGCACTCTGACCCCTGACGCACAGCCCTGCATTTGCAGCCAGCTGGCCTCGGGCTGCAAACATGGCGGGGTAAGCACTGGCCTGGCAGTCGACCGCCCACTGGGTGGACCCAGCCTTCTGTCTGTGTTGTGCACAGGGGACACGAGGACTCCCCCTGCCCTGCCACAGCCCCCAGAGCACATGGCGCAGGTTCCAAACCGCCCCTGCCCTGCCACAGCCCCCAGAGCACATGGCGTGGGCTCCAAACCACTCCTGGGAGCCTAGTGGCCAGAGGAGGGAGGAGAGCAGGACCAGCAGCTGGCCCAGACCCCGCCTCTTCCCACACCACTTCCGCTTTTCTCCGTCCTCAGAGTCACCTTGAAAGGGCTCAGCAGCAGTAACTGTGGGACAGGGGTTCTTCCGTTTGAAAAATTAAAAGAGGCTTGGTTAAGGCACCAATGACATGGCCAGGCACAGTGGTTCGTGCCTATAATTCGAGCATATTGGGAGGCCAAGGTGGGTGGATCACCTGAGGTCAGGAGTTCAAGACCAGCCTGGCCAACATGATGAAACCCTGTTTGTACTAAAAATACAAAAATTAGCTGGGTGTGGTGGGCCCCTGTAGTCCCAGCTACTCGGGAGGCTAAGGCATGAGAATTGCTTGAATGTGAGAGGCGGAGGTTGCAGTGAGCCCAGATCACACCAGTGCACCCCAGCCTGGGCGACAGAGACTCTGTCTCAAAAAAAAAAAAGAAAAAAGACACCAATGATGTAACAACAACAAAAAAAAGATGCTTGGAAACTACTGAAAAAGTAGAAAGTTTGGTATCTACAGATTCAAATCTGGGCTCCCTGCCCTGCTGTGAAATCCTCTGAGCCTCAGTTTCCCCCATGTCAAGCAGTATAAGACCCTATGGCAGAGAGCTGCAGTGAAGATTAAGGAGACAAGATCGTGGGAAGCACAGGGTAAAGGCTGCGTGCCCCTCCCCCTCCGCCATCCCCCAACCAATCAGACACCCAGGGTCCTAGGCGGTACCTGTTATCACACAGACGAGAGAAGGAAGGTTGTGTCCATCAAGAGTCAGTTGTTCAAACTCTGTGTTTAAAAAAAGAAACAATTCTACATGGAATTTCTGATAGAATTTCTTTTTTTTTTTTCCTGACAGACTCTTGCTCTGTCACCCAGGCTGGAATGCAATGGCGTGATCTCAGATCACTGCAACCTCTGCCTCCCGGGTTCAAGTAATTCTCGTGCATCAGCCTCCCAAGTAGCTGGGATTACAGGCGCCCACCACCATACCCAGCTAATTTTTGTATTTTTAGTAGAGACAGGTTTTGCCATGTTGGCCTCGAACTCCTGACCTCAGGTGATCTGCCTGCCTTGGCCTCCCAGAGTTCTAGGATTACAGGTGTGAGCCACCGTGCCCATTCAGAAAAAAAGTTTTAAATAAACAATAGCCAGAGTCACCTGTTCAGGTGGAGAAAGAGCACTGCTCTGGTGGGGAGGCCACCAGCCTCTGTGAGATACTCTCCTGGAGGGGGCATTTCAGCCTGAGGGCCTGGTCACTGAATGACCCAACTGGGGATTCAGGGCGGCCCACCTCCACCACCCCCGCTGTCCCCAGGCTGCCCCACCCAGTGGCCCGGGACAGCAACACGCTGCAGGCCAGGCAAGCAGCTCACAGCTCAGCGGCCCCCGACAAGCCCATAGATCCTCACCGCAGCTACACACCTACTTTCTAAAGCTGCCAGCAGATGGAGAAGTCTTCGTCCTCTATGAGAAGAGAATTGAATGTCAGGGGCCTGTTTCTAGACACCCCTCTTCCAGCTCACACGCCCTCCCCTTCTCATTGAGACTGTGGCGGGGTGGGGGCATGCAGGACTGGCAGGGGTGAGGAGAACACAGGTTGGCCAGGTGCCCGTCACACCAAGCCCAAGTGTTCTAGGGGTCGTGCAGACCTGTCCAGCCTGTGCTGCTGACCAGCAGGGCTGGCCGCTCGCGGAGGCGCATCACCAGCCCGCTCCCAGCATCCCGCTCCATGAAGGCCGACCGCTCCGTGTCTGGGTCCTCAGGTTCTGAGATGAAAGAGCAGGAAAAAAGCCTGTGAGAGGCCACAGAGCAGGCCCGGGACCCAGGACGGGCATCTCCTGCCATGGCAAGGCCTGCAGGCTCCCAAAGGTTGGGGTGCCCAGCCACATCAGCAGCACCAGGCCACCCCTGCCATCTGAGGCCTGGGCTTGCTTTCTCTAATATTGTTGCTGGGTGCTAAGGTTACAACAGCAAACAAGACTGACTCATTCCTTTTCTCCACGCGACTTACTGTCTTATCATCCCCTGGACTCAAGATGAGGGTGCAGGGACACCCTCCCACACCACTCCAGCTTACCCAGGGGCACACCTCAGGGTGTGTGGACCTGCACTAAGGTCCCCTCCTTAGCCCCGTGAGACACCCCAGGGGACACACAGGTCCACAGATCCTGCCACAGGCCTGGGAACCCACTGGCAGGAGAGTAAGACAGCGCAGGGGTCCACAAACATTTCTTAAAGGGCCAGAGAGTAAATACTTCAGGCTTTGCGGGCCACAGGTTCTCTGTTGCAAAACACGATTCTGCTGTTGTAGCTCAAAGGCAGCTGTAGACAACTCAGAAGTTAATGAGTGTGTTGTGTTCCAATGGAACTTGATTTACAAAAGCAGGAGACTGGCCTGTAGCCTTAGTTTGCCAACCCCTGGATGAGTGGGTTCCCAGGTCTGCAGTGAGAAGGGGAGAGGACAGGGCATTGGCAAGCAGGAGAGAAGGCAGCTGAGGATGGGAGGCCTACCAGGCCCTGAACGGAGAGTGCGTGCCGCCCAGCTTCATGAAGAGTTGGTGCTGCAGGTCCAGAGGTCTCTTGAAAGAAAGATGCTGGCTTGTCATAGACGGTCACAGCCCTGCAATGAAATCATGGCAGGGCTATTGGGAGGGCTGAAGAAAGGCCTCAGGAATAGAGGACTCAGAGGCTCCAGGAAAAGAAGGATGCTTGGGGAATCCAAGTCTCAGACGATGACAAGAAGAAGCCTTGCAATTACTTGGGAATGCACAGAGAGATGTTCTAGGACCAAAATTGCCTGGACCCCCTGGCTGGCTGGGAAAGAAACTCTGCCCCCTCCTCTCCCAGCTTCCCCAAATTTTCCCATAATGTTGCCAAGCATTAGTCCAGCGTGGAGGCTACTTTTTGCTCAAACCACTCATTTGGGTCCCACGCCCAATGTAACCCATCCTCAGCAAAACAACCTTTATTTCCTTCTTCCACGTTTCCAGAAAGTTCCCCTAAAGCCCTAGGAATCACCAAATGAAAGGGGCTTTTTACAAACAGGAAACTTAAGTGGAGTGCCAATACACAACATGAATTGCACCAGGCTGGGTCTAAGATAAAACCAGACTGTGGACAGCAAGACAGATAAGACCCACATGGCTCTGCACTGCCTGGGTCTGTTATGGTGTGGAGGAATGTCTTAGTCTGTTGCTCCTGTGGGTGTAGCTAAAGCACGAACCAGGAGTCTTCATCCTTAGAAAGCAGTTAGACAGACACCTGAGAACCAATCCCAAACTGCAGCCTTCCACAGAACCTTCTGGAACCTTCCCGAATGCAACTCATTACTGCCAGAGGGTCTTTGATGAGAGTCTACTCTCCACCATTTGTCTTCAAAGAGAATACCCACATATTCTCTTTCCATGGAAAGGTAAGTTATTAGAGTTTATGCAGTCTGGTATATTAATTGAGAGCTTCAAAGAATGTCACGTTTACGATTCAGTCTCACAGACTGGGTTAAAAAGGCAGTGTTGACTATTAAGTTGTAAATTACTATAATGATCATTATTATTATTCAAGCAAGCTGTGAGAAATGAGCATTATCTCACAATATCTGCATTTTAGTGAACCTGAAGGAAGAGTGTATTTGCTGGAATTACAGAAGCCTGAGAACCACAGGGGAATTCTCACTGCAGGGTATTCAGGGTCAAAGGCTGATTCTATTTTGCATGCTCAATCCTTCCTCAATTTATTTTTATTTCTTTCTTTATTTTTTGAGACAGTGTCTCACTCTGTCGCCCAGGCTGGAGGGCCTTGGTGCAGTCTCAGCTCACTGCAACCTCGCCTCCCGGGTTCAAGTGATTCTCCTGCCTCAGCGTCCGGAGTAGCAGGGATTTGAGGCACCCACCACAAAGCCCAGCTAATTTTTGTATTTTTAGAAGAGACGGGATTTCATCATGTTGGCCAGGCTGGTCTCGAACTCCTGACCTCAGGTGATCCACCCACCTCAGCCTCCCAAATTGTTGGGATTACACATGTGAGCCACCACACCTGGCCGGGCCTAGGTTTTTGAAGAAGGAATTGAACTGAGTGTAGGCCAGGTTGTACTGCTGAAGTGTCTTCTTTGTACTTGGAATGTGCTAGGATGGATAGACTTCAAAGTGCAAAGCGCCTGAAGGATCTCGCATTCATCAATTCTATGCACTGAGCTTCTGTCCCCAGAATACCACTCTCAGAGTAGGAATATGGCAAGGCCAGTTTGATAGGTGGGGCATGGATTGGAGGCTCAGGCCACTGCACTGCACATACAGGTCTTGATGTAAACGGTCTGGTGGAGGTCAAGTTCTGTTTAGCGTGGGTAGACTATGTGACAGAGTGAAGAAAGGTAATGGTCTAAACGCAGCAAAAGTTTCATTCCCACTCACGTGCCAGTCTGTGGAGCAGGCAGCTCCTCTCCTCATGAACCTGGGACCCAGGTATCCTCCATCTTGTGGTTCTGCTTCTCCAGAGCCTTGTCATTTTTTTCATCTAGCTATGGTGACAAGATCTTTTGGATAAGCCATGAATATTAAACCAAAGGCAAACTCTGAAAATTGATTTGACGTGTGGTCAGCTGCTCATTTAGCACAGTCCGGGGAATGCTGGGGTGATGGGCAAGAAGGTTTTCATGAGGAGGTTGAAGAGATCTAAGTATAGGGGTGCCAGCCTGGGGCACTTCAGAAGGGGCACTGGCCTAGGGGTAGCAGCAGGGCGACCCTGATTTCCCTGGGGCAGGGTGTGGCTCACGACGGGGTGCTGAGAACCCACCAAGAAGGCTGGAACTTTCAGCACTCATTGTTTTATGAGGGCCTGCCTGTGTGCCAGGCTGGAAGACACTGACCAGAGGCCCAGGGCAACTGAAGAGTCTCAGCCTGGTCTCTTGGTGCCTGGGGGGTACACTGTACAAGTGATGATGTAGTTCCAAGGGGCAGGACTCTGACCCACACTCCTGGTGCCAATGTCCGTTTTGCCACTCATGTTAGATTTTGCTTCTTTAAGTGAACTTACTCAGGATAGCTGGGTTCTTGGTCATTCTTCCAGTGGTTTTCAAGGGTGAAAAAAGGAGTTTCAGCAAGACAGCTAACGTCTGGATGAGTGAGCCAGGAGGTGTCTGTAGCCTTCCTCTAGAGAGCACTCTGGGCTGGTGGGCGTGAGGACTCCAGTTTCATGCGCGTCCGTGTGAAGATACCACCAAACAGGCTTTGTGTGAGCAATAAAGCTGTTTATTTCACATGGGTGCAGGCAGGCTGAGTGAAAAGAGAGTCAGAGAAGGGAGATAGGGGTAGGGCCATTTTATAGGATTTGGGTAGGTAAAGGAAAATTACAGTTAAAGGGGGGTTGTTCTCTGGCGGGCAGAATGGGGGTCACAAGGTACTCAGTGGGGGAGGTTTTGAGCCAGGATGAGCCAGGAGAAGGAATTTCACAAGACAATGTCATCAGTTAAGGCAGGAACAGGCCATTTTCACTTCTTTTGTGGTGGAATGTCATCAGTTAAGGCAGGAACCGGCCATCTGGATGTGTACGTGCAGGTCACAGGGGATATGATGGCTTAGCTTGAGCTCAGAGGCCTGACACCCAGGGCAGGCTGGCTCAGCCCTTTTGACTTCAGATTTCAGGGAAGGCCAGGGAGCTGGATTGGGTGCCTGGAATTTCTGAGAATTATGTTTCTGAGAGGATTTTGAAACCTAAACAGGAATACTTTACACACAGGTCATCAAGCAGGAACTGGGAAGTTCCAAAACTGCCCTCCTTCATGCCACCTCCTCCCTTCAGAGGCCAAGGGTGGCCAAGCTGTCTCCCACACACCTCAGTGAAAAGTCCCTGGCTGTCCTCCCAACCACCTCGCTGTGACCTTGTGAGGTGTGAGAAGGAGGAAGGGGATCTACGTTCTGGATGAACCTTCCTTCCTCCTTGCTGAGAAATAGTTTAGGCCCCTGCGCCTGCTGGGCCTCAGACCTTCTCAGAGCCCAGGGCCCACTGTGGCTCCTGCAAGCTGCCTGGGAATTCCACGGAGGCTGACTGGCTGCCTCTCTTATTCCCAGTCTGCTGCAACCCATTTCCTAAGCTGGGGTGGCTGAAAACCACAGAAATTCATCCTCTCACAGTTCTGGAGGCCAGAGTCTGAATGCAGGTGTTGGCAGGGCTGTGCTGCCTTTGAAGGTTCTAGGGAAGAATCCTTCCTGGCCTTTTCCAGTTTTGGGTGGTGGCTGGCAATGTGCGGCATTCCTTGGCTTCAGGTGCATCATTCCAGCTGCACACCGCTGTCTTTTTTTTTTTTTTTTTTTTTTATTGATCATTCTTGGGTGTTTCTCACAGAGGGGGATTTGGCAGGGTCATAGGACAATAGTGGAGGGAGGGTCAGCAGATAAACAAGTGAACAAAGGTCTCTGGTTTTCCTAGGCAGAGGACTCTGCGGCCTTCCGCAGTGTTTGTGTCCCTGGGTACTTGAGATTAGGGAGTGGTGATGACTCTTAAGGAGCATGCTGCCTTCAAGCATCTGTTTAAAAAAGCACATCTTGCACCGCCCTTAATCCATTTAACCCTGAGTGGACACAGCACATGTTTCAGAGAGCACAGGGTTGGGGGTAAGGTCATAGATCAACAGCGTCCCAAGGCAGAAGAATTTTTCTTAGTACAGAACAAAATGAAAAGTCTCTCATGTCTACTTCTTTCTACACAGACACAGCAACCATCCGATTTCTCAATCTTTTCCCCACCTTTCCCCCTTTTCTATTCCACAAAACCGCCATTGTCATCATGGCCCATTCTCAATGAGCTGTTGGGTACACCTCCCAGACGGCGTGGTGGCCGGGCAGAAGGGCTCCTCACTTCCCAGAAGGGGCGGCCGGGCAGAGGCGCCCCCCACCTCCCGGACGGGGTGGCTGGCTGGCGGGGGCTGACCCCCCACCTCCCTCCCGGACGGGGTGGCTGCCGGGTGGAGACGCTCCTCACCTCCCAGACGGGGTGGCTGCCAGGTGGAGGGGCTCCTCACTTCTCAGATGGGGTGGCTGCCGGGCTGAGGGGCTCCTCACTTCTCAGACGGGGCGGCTGCTGGGCGGAGGGGCTCCTCACATCCCAGACGATGGGCGGCCAGGCAGAGACGCTCCTCACTTCCCAGACGGGGTGGCGGCTGGGCAGAGGCTGCAATCTCAGCACTTTGGAAGGCCAAGGCAGGCTGCTAGGAGGTGGTGGTTGTAGCGAGCCGAGATCACGCCACTGCACTCCGGCCTGGGCACCTGTGACTATATATATATAGTCACAATATATTTGCTGTCAAAGTATTATCATCAAAACTCTATAGAAAATATACACATCCTTGGGCTGGGCACAGTGGCTAACGTCTGTAATCCTAACACTTTGGGAAGTTGAGGCGTGTGGATCACCTGAGCTCACGAGTTCAAGACCAGCTTGGCCAACATGGCAAACCCCATCTCTACTAAAAATACAAAAATTAGCTGGTGTGGTGGCATGCACCTCTAATCTCAGCTACTCAGGAAGCTGAGGCACAAGAATCGCTCGAACCCGGGAGGCGGAGGTTGTAGTGAGCCCAGATTGTGCCACTGCACTCCAGCCGGTGCGACAGAGTAAGACTCCATGAAAACGCAAAACAAAACAAAATAAAACCAAACAAAAAAAAACAACAAAAACAAACAGGCACTTCTGATGCAGGCCGCAACATGGATGAACCTTGAAGACATTATCGTCAGTGAAATAAATAAATCCCAAAAGGATAAACATGCCCAGGCTCAGTGGCTCACACCTGTAACCCCAGCATTTTGGGAGGCTGAGACAGGTGGATCCCTTAAGCTCAGGAGTTCGAGACCAGCCTGGCCAATATGGTGAAAGCTCGTCTCTATTAAAAATACAAAAATTAGCTGGGCATGATAGCGCACGCCTGTAATCCCAGCTACTCGGGAGACTGAGACATAAGAATTGCTTGAGCCCCCGAAGTGGAAGTTGCAGTGAGCCGAGATCACGCCACTGCACTCCAGCCTGGGTGACAGAGAAAGATTCTACCTCTAAAAAAAAAAATTAAACACGGTATGATTCCACTTATCTATCAAGTGTCTAGAGTAGTTAGACTCCTAGAGTTGCAAACTAGAAAGGTGGCCCCCAGGGGTAGGCGAGAGAGAGGAGTGGAGAGCTTGGCGAATGGTTGCAATTTCCATTTTGAAAAATAAAACTGTTCCGGAGATGATGGCGGTGATGGTTGCTAAACAATGTGAACATACTTAATGTCATTAAACTGTAAACTGAAAAAGAGTGGAAACTGTAAATGTTTATACTGGCCATTCTATATGCACTAATATATATTTATAATTTTTAATATTTATACGTGGTATATTTTCCCATAATAAAAGATGAAAATTAAAGCAGTTGGATCTTTAAAAAGCAAAGAAAGAAGCGAAGAATACACACCAGCTTTCTCCTGATTAGAGGAAGAGCCCCAAAGCTTCTATGGACACTCACTTTTCTCTTCTTCTTGCATGATGATGAGGAAATCTTTAAGAGGTTGGGGAACTTGGGTGACTTTGGCTAATGAGGAGCTCTGTGCCTTGAGCCCCCCAGGGCACAGAACAGTAAATGGCCTGTGCCTCCAGCCCTGCAGTGTGAGGTTCCAGTCCTGTGGGCTCCACAGCCATCACCTGTATCAGGAGGCACATGTCTCAACGTGTCTTCTTGCCAGCCTTGAGGATGGAGTCTGAGCATCCATCGTGCACCACGCAGGGAGGACAGTGGACCTGTTCCCCGTGGTCATGGCCCAGCAAAGGGGAAGGGCAGTTCAGTGAGTGTAGGCAAAAGAAAGAGCGATCAGACTGTTACTGTGTCTATGTAGAAAGGAAAGACATAAGAGACTCCATTTTGAAAAAGACCTGTACTTTCAACAATTGCTTTGCTGAGATGTTGTTAATGTGTAGCTTTGCCCCAGCCACTTTGACCCAACCTGAAGCTCACAAAAACATGTGTTGTAGGAAATCAAGGTTTAAGGGATCTAGGACTGTGCAGGACATGCCTTGTTAACAAGATGTTTCCAAGCAGTATACTTGGTAAAAGTCATCGCCATTCTCTAGTCTCAATAAACCAGGGGCACGATACACTGTGGAAAGCTGCAGGGAGCCCTGCCCTTGAAAGCCGTTTATTGTCCAAGGTTTCTCCCCATGTGATAGTCTGAAAAGTGGCCTCGTGGGATGAGAAAGACCTGACCGTCCCCGAGCCCGACACCCATAAAGGGTCTGTGCTGAGGTGGATTAGTCAAAGAGGAAAGCCGCTTGCAGTTGAGGGAGAGGAAGGCCACTGTCTCCTGCCTGCCCCTGGGAACTGAATGTCTCAGTATAAAACCCGATTGTACATTTGTTCAATTCTGAGATGGGGGAAAAACCGGCCTATGGTGGGAGGTGAGACATGTTTGCAGCAATGCTGCCTTGTTATTCTTTACTCCACTGAGATGTTTGGGTGGAGAGAAACATAAATCTGGCTTATGTACACGTCCAGTCATAGTACCTTCCCTTGAACTTCATTATGACATAGATTCTATTGCTCACATCTTCGTTGCTGACCTTCTCCTTATTATCAACCTGCCCTCCTACTACATTCCTCTTTGCTAAAATAATAAAAATAATAATCAATAAAAACTGAGGGAACTCAGAGGCCGGTGCCGGTGCAGATCCTTGGTATGCTGAGCGCCGGTCCCCTGGGCTCACTGTTGTTTCTCTATACTTTGTCTCTGTGTCTTATTTCTTTCCTCAGTCTCTCATCCCACCCGACTAGAAATACCCACAGGTGTGGAGGTGCAGGTCACCCCTTCAAGTGAGTGCTGAGAAACGGACGGGAGCCTTGTTTGGTTTCCTCCTCCTCAGGACAAACAGGAGAGTGTGGTGGGCAGATGGGAGGAGACCAATGTGCAAACTGTCCGCTCAGCAGACTGTGCAGTTTCTGTTCTTGGTTGTGCTGGGGGTCTCAGAAATCTTATTCAAAATTTTGCTTTCCTCCCCCACTGGTTGTCCTTTTCATAGACATCTCACCCATGATAGCAGGGAATCAGTCCCTCTAAAGTATTCCCTAAGAACAACAAAAAGATTATGAAGGTGATGATGAGGATAAAGAGGATGACGACAGACACCATGGCATCATGAACCCTTACTGAGGGCTTCCTAAAGGCCAGGCTCTGAGCTCTGTGCTCTATGCAGCTTGTTTCATTTCATCTGCATGGTCTCCACGTTATTAGTGCACATTTCAGGATGATTTTACAGACTAGAAAAGGAGCAACGCTTTTCCATATAACTCTTACTAGATCATGAAGTCAAAAAGGGTGAAGTCCAATTTGAACCATCCAGTCTAAGTCCAGACACATGGCATTTGGCCAGTCCTCTCCCTACAACCAACCTGCCCTCTCAAATCCTCATCACTCAGGCGGATGCCCCTGCTCACTGTGCCCTTCCCTTTGCGCGTTCCTTGTAGACCAGAGCTAGACCAGTGGGTGCCACAATCACTGTGTCAAGTATAGAAAGGGCAGCTGAGATCACATCGAGGATTCCAGAAAGAATTGGCACAGGATCATTCGGGGCGCATCTCTCCCTTGCCCCTGTTCCTGGCTTTCCTTACAGCTCTCGACTTCCTCAAAGGAGTCATCAATTCAGTTTGGCTTCCATTCCTATTGAGGAAGCTGGAAAGCGTTTCAAAAATGCTCCTCCGATGTGCCTGTGGTTAAGACCTCTGAGCTCTGCTTAAAACTTTTGGAAGCTGGGAGCCGTGGCTCATGCCTGTAATCCCAGCCCTTTGGGAGGCTGAGGCAGGCGAATCACAAGGTCAGGAATTCGAGACCAGCCTGGCCAACATGGTGAAACCACGTCTCTACTCAAAATAGAAAAAAATGAGCCAGGCGTAGTGGCGGGCGCCTGTCATCTCAGCTACTTGGCAGGCTGAGGCAGGAGAATAGCTTGAACCTGGGATGCAGAGGTTGCAGTGAGCAGAGATCACTCCATTGCACTCCAGCCTGGGCAATGGAATGAGACTCCATCTCAAAA